>NC_000014.9:60217773-60520803 GCF_000001405.40 Homo sapiens
TGGTGATACCAGTGAGGCCTGAGAAATTCACAGCTGCCAAAGAGTACTTGAGCTGGAGGTTGGAAGCCGGGGAGTTGGTTTCAAGGCCTTTTAGAAGCTCTTAGAGTCTGGCATCCTGTTTCATGTGCAGAGTGAAAGCGTGTCCTCAAAAAGCCCTGGATCTGCCCTACTTCCTCTCTGGACTTTCTTGAATATAGAGTGGCAGACAGGGCTAGAACCCCATTCTCCTGACATTCTCTATACCATACACTTACATGTGTGTATGTACATGTCATACATACAGGCATGCACACACACACACAAAACACACACACACACACACACACACACACACACACACACAATTCTTTCCATCTCCACACAAAACTTACTATAACTTGTGTCTGCATTTCAGAAATCCTGGAGTCTCTTACATCTGATAACGGTTCGGGGTCGCTATGTCCCAGTGAACTGTCATCTGGGGGGATGAAATAGCTCCCAGGGTACACTCTCAGTCTAACCAAGTGGATATTCACTGGCCTACACTGAGAGACTCCGAGGGGGACAACTACTCTCGGTAGGTCCTCCCTGCCCTTCAGAACATCACTGTCTCCAAAACAATCCCTTTGTAGGGCACAGGCTTTTGAGCACACATATACCTGAATTTGATTCATGGCCTTGCTGTATGACCCTGGCAAGACTTTCAGCCTCAGTTTCCACATCTACAAGATGAAGATCTAATTCCCTCTTCATGGGGTTGTTGCAGCAACTAAATAAGCTCTTATAAGTAAAGCAGTTCACACAGTGCTGGGCACATGGTAAACTCTCAGTAAATAATAGCAGTTATTTCTATATAGATTGCCCAGCAGAACTCAAGGGCTCAAGGTACATAAGCAGGTGGGACTAGCGGGAAAACCTGCAGCAGTGTAATCTCTGGCTCTGGCCACCCCACCCCTTCCCACCCTGATCTTCAATCAAATCTAAGGGTCCTCGAATAAACTGACAAGTGGCCTAGGCTCTCTGCCATCTCCTTGGGCCAGGGCATATCTACAGGATTGAGGACACATAGGGTAGTAGATCAGGAATTACCTTCGCGGTAGTCCTTTCTTCATCTTTTCTTGGCTGTTTGATCTTAGGCAAATCATTTACACTCTGCATCTCACTTTTCTCATTTGTAAAATGAGAATAGTAATGACATTCTCCCTACAGGAAATTTGTGCAGATTAATGAGATAATGTAGAAAGGGTGCTTAGGGTATAGTTATGTTTTATGATGGAGAAAGAGGACTGATAGTTCAAAAGTGTAGCCTCTGCTAGAAAACTTCCAGTAACAATGAGTTCACAGAAAGGTGATTACATTGTTACTCAGTTATAATTGTTTAAGGTTTTCCCTTTACATTAAATGGGTATCTGTTCATTTCAACCTTGACACATGTGGATTTCATAGGACAAACTCCAGATCCCTAAATTAGAATTTCTGAGGGACAGGGCCTGAACTTGTAGAGTTAAAAGCCCCAGTTTTAACTGTGACAAGCCAAGACTGCCCACCACCGGACTATGGACCAAGAATGACCTGGAGTTGGGGCAGAACTCTCCAGGGCTGACACTAATGTGACCAAGTTCTGTGGATAGCAGGGACAGAAACATAACCTGATTCAAACTGTACGCTTAAATAGAAGTTTGGCTAAAGTGGGAAATGTCCCACTTAGGAAAGTTTATTAGGAAAATCTCCAAATAGCTTAGACCTTCTGGATTTGTCTGACTTCTCCAAATGACCACACTTTAATTTATTCCTCCAATTGTCACCCCCAGGTATCTCCTAAGTGACTTGAGATGAAACAGGGAGAATGGCCACAGAAAGGTTGGCTGAAGGATTAGAGAGATTGTACACCTTCAGACTCAGGGGCTGTCAAACAGTGACAAACAGTGAAGAGTGAGTGAGGAGACTTCCCTCGTGTACCTCCACACACACCTTAATTGGTATCTGCAAGTACTTGTACTAAAATGGGCACATTTTAAAGCAGAAAGAAACTTTAACCACTATTTAGTTTGTGGGTACATAAGACATTCAGCTTACAGGTCAAGAAAGTGTTTTGCCCTATAATGTGTTTTGTCCTATAATGTGTTTTGTACAATAAGTTATTTAAAGCATAAAATGTAAGCAATACAATTATAAGGAAAATATACTGACTTCTATTACTACATTCTTTTTCCATGCTCTTCATCTTGGAATGTATTTACACATTGCCATTTTATATAAAATTATGTTATTTCCCTAGGAGATTGAGAGCTCCTTGAGGGAAGGGATCAGTCCTGATGCAAACTTACACAGCATTCTGAGTATTTGGAAGGTACTCATCAAACACTTGATGAAATATTAAATATCGTGGAACTTGTACTTTATGTTGCTAAACCTAGATCCAAGATAGGGCTGGCCTGTTTAGAAGTTACCACCCCAGCACCTTTTGCCACACTATGACAAAACAACCCTGGGAAGCCCCCAAAAGTTTCTCTGGCTGCTTACCAAGTTTCTCTTTCTGCTTACCAAGGTAACTTTCCACTCCCATTACCTAAGTGACAGGTTATGTGGGTCTCTAGAGACAAGGCTCATGGGATTTAGTTTCTCTTTGCCTTTTCCTTGCAGTGCAACATGTACAACATTGGCTGAAAAAATACTTTTTAT
Organism: Homo sapiens; assembly: GCF_000001405.40. Taxonomy (NCBI): domain Eukaryota; kingdom Metazoa; phylum Chordata; class Mammalia; order Primates; family Hominidae; genus Homo; species Homo sapiens. Next base: position 60,220,435 of record NC_000014.9, read on the forward strand.
AGAGGGTGAGTTAAATTGCAGATAGGTGGTGTCTCTATTTACTCAATTGACCAGGTATAGATCTGGGGCAGTAAGCAGTCTCTTGATGGCTACTGTTGGCAGGATCCTTCTCAGAGCAATCCTTCGAACGCAAACCTGTCTTAATCATTTATTTTGTTTCTGCCATTTTGTTTTGAGATCCCTGATTTCTGGAGGAAGAAAGTTACTTCTGCCCAAGACCTGAGTTTCTCTCCTTATAGCCCCTGGAACCCAGCATGAACCAATCAATCCCTTAAGTGTCATTGTGGTACAAGGCCAAAAATCAAGGCACTCGATATTGTGTGCTACCTTGACATCTTGTAAAATCTGGAGGTACTTGAATGGCCTAACTGCAAGTTCCCCTCCTCACTCTGCTCTTGTAGATGAGGTCTCCTATCTAAACAGTCTTCGTTAAAGTGGCCAAGAACCATTCCTGCTTATCCCTGAGTAGTGGGGTTCAGTCCACAGTATTCAAAAAAGCAAATCACGTCCTCCTGTGGGAATCGGGAGGCACCATATCCTCTTGATCTTAGAAAGCTTGCCTCCAACAGCCCCTCTCTGTTCACTCTGCTCCCAAGTGCAACCCCCATATGCGGCCCTGCATGGCATCCAGTGTCCTCCCGGGCTGTAAGCATATGTGACTAACATACTGCTGCTGATCTCATCAGGCTGGTGTTGGGGGTTGGGTGTTTCGCATTCCCGTGATCCTAGAGCAAAAAACCCTCCCTCGTCAATGAGGTGAGGAGGAGGCGATTAAAACAGCTATGGCCGCACTGTTCCTAAAGTGAATCCTGCGAGTATTAGTTCTTGTGCCCCTTCTTTAGCACCCCTAAGCTGCACCTATTCCCTGCAAATTTTTCACTGCTTCTGCTGCCCTTCTGGAGTGCTAGGTGCTGCATGTCCCACACTTTCCCACCTCCAGTTCTTCACACTTAGCAAGAGACCACCACCTCTTACTCTACCAACACCGACAGTGAGGGGAAGCTTCAGAAACAACTTCTTCAATGTCAGTAAAAAGAAATGATCACTTTCCTTCTCTAGCAACATTAATGTTCTCCAAGTCCTCTTTAATATTTTACTACATTTACCCTGCCACTCTGAGGGTTATCCACACATATTCTGAGAGTAAAGAGAGTTTTTGCTGTGGTGACTCAACTGTCTGTCAAAAGGATAGTCAGCTAGTAGTAGCCCTTTACAAAAAAAAAAAAAAAACCCCACTACTCTGAGAGGCCACTTACTTTTTTCACTTTCTTGCAATGCTTAAGCTGACTAAAATGTGCTCATGGTAGAGTACATTATCAACTGATTGATCTACTTCTTCTTTTTCTTTTTCTTTTTCTTTTTTTTTTTTTTTAAGATGGAGTCTTGCTCTTGTTGCCCAGGCTGGAGTACAGTGGTACAATCTCAGGTCACTGCAACCTCCGCCACCCAGGTTCAGGCGATTCTCCTGCCTCAGCCTCCCCAGTAGCTGGAACTACAGGCACATGCCACCACGCCCTACTAAATTTTTGTATTTTTAGTAGAGATGGGGTTTCGCCGTGTTGGCCAGGCTGGTTTCAAACTCCTAACCTCAGGTGATCCGCCTGCCTCGGCCTCTCAAAGTGCTGGGATTACAGGCGTGAGCCACGGTATCTGGCCTGATCAATCTACTTCTAATGTTCGGTTTCTGCAGTAGGCCTTGACATGCCCTCAGGAGCCATGAAGGGAAAAGAACATCATTCCTGTGTTGCATCAACTGAATTGTGGTGGCTTCCTCCTATATTTTAGGATGTAGATCTTCCTTCTGCAGCTTTATGACCATTTAATCAGTTCACCTGAAGATTAGAAAATTAGATTTATTTAGATTAGTCAGAAAATCTAGGTGTTTATTTATCTAACTTCAGACTAGAGAAGGCCTAAGTTTAAAAGCAAACTAAGAAAACATAAAGTTTACCTATTTTGTAATAGGTAAACTTCTGCAGGCCAAAATTAAAAATCCCTACGTGAAGTCAAAGGTCAAATTGGGGAAAAGATGAAACATATGTATCGGTCAAAGTGTTTCTAGCCTTACTGTTAAAAGAGCTCTTACCAAAAAGATAAAGATAAATTCCCCAATAGAAAGCTCACTATTCCAATAGAAAAGTCATTCTAATATATGATTAGGTAATTTACAAAAGAATCACAAATTGCCAATAGGCCTATGCAAAATGTTCATCCTTTCTAGCAAACAAATGCATGCAAATTAAAGTAAGAGTAAGGCACTATTTTTGCCTATCAAACCAACAGTGAGTGGGCTTTCCTATCTTGTGAGTCTTGGTGGTAAGATAGACAGGGCTCATGTCCCTGGAGGGACAAACACCAGATACTTTCATTCCCACCTCCTGGGCCTGGGCACTCAGATGTGACAATCTAAGATTGTGTGTCTTTTGCTAGTCATGCCGAGAAACTGGAAGACAACAGAACTCTTTCTGGCTGCAGCAGCAACATCCAGTTTCCAGGAGCTGCCAGGGCAGAGCTGCCAGCGTGGTGTATGGTGTCCAGTGTCCAATAACCAGGCCCAGTGCCAGCAGTGGCAGGCTCTCATTAGGCCTCAGTGGCAATGGCAGAGGAGTCCTCGCTGAACTGGATCTGCAGCAAAGACTTGGCTGGGGCTCTGGCTGCACGGGCTTCCTGCATTCCTGCCCATTTTCTAAGTCTGAGGCTCTAGCTTTCCTGACAAACCTGTGGGCTGCCCAATACTTTGAATAAATAAATTCTTGTGGTGGTGTCTGTTGCTTGATTGATAAAGCAATATAAAGAGAAAGCTCTCCAACCTAGTAATTTTACTTCTTGGGACATACCCTACGTAAATCATTAGAAATGTGCACATTTATTTTTATTTTTATTTCAGAAGATTTAGAAGTACAAGTGGTTTTTGGTTACATGGATGAATTGTATCGTGGTGAAGTCTGGGCTTTTAGTGTACCCGTTCCCTGAATAGTGTGAAATGTGCACATTTAAATAAAAGGATATTTTTCAAAGCCCTGTTGAGAGTACCAAGAACAAGGAAAAAATCTGAATGTCCTATAAGAAATTGATTAAATGGATTATAATATGGAATATTATATAGCAATTAAAATCTTGCTCTTAAAGGATACTAAAAGACATGTTAAAATACTCATATGATATAAAATTAAAAAGGAAAATGTTCAACAATCATCTAATTTTTCATAAATAACCAAAATGCTAATGGTTGCTTTCTCTTGAATATGGTAAGTTTTACTTTCTTTATACTTATTTTGTATCTCCTAATCCTCCATAATGAGCATATATTTTTACCTTTATCAAAAAAGTAAACAAAAGCTATATTAGAAAAAATAGATTTATCTGAAACTGTCAAGTGGACTAATTGGTTTTTTGTTTAGTTGCATGTTTGCTTTTCGCAGTTCGGTAATAGATCTTCAACTGGCAAAGGAAAGGGAAGATTTGCTGTACCTTTTTCACAACAACCCAAAGAAGTGTCTCAATAAAACAACGGTTTTAACTTAGGAAACTGAATTTTTAAAAAATTAAAAGGTAACCCAAAAGTCATGTGTCCACCCAGGGCAGGATTTTTGAACTGGGGGAAAGATCAGAAGATAGGTGTGTGGACTGACGAGAGGAGGGTGGAGGGACACAAACTCCTAAAAACCTGGGAAGCACAAATATATTGTCATTCTCCACTGTGTATATTAATTGTCTTTGCTTTATGCTGATGTTGCTCTTAATAATATTCCTTACGGTGCCAGGGCACTTTGTGGTTTATGAAGTACTTGTACTTGCTCATATATTATTATTAGGCTCATTTTACTGGAGAGAAAATTAAGCCCTAGAGAACCTAAATGATTTGTTGAATGTCTAATGTTTATTATGTGGATGAACTGGGCCTAGAAACCAGGTCTTCTGTTCTTTTGACTATTCCTGGAGGTGGCAGAGCAAAGTGGTTGAAAGCTTGGGCTTTGGAGCCAGACAAACCTGGGTGTGCACTCAGCTCTACCACTTCTTAATTGTGCGAACTTGGAGAAATCGCTTAGCCCCTCTCAACTTCCATTTCCTCATCTGTCAGGTGGGGATAAAAACACCTACCTTGGACAGTCCCTACAAGAATAAAAGATAACTGCTATTATTATTACCCTGCCCATGCCCTTGACAAGCCTTGCTTTTAGTCTCCAGGTCAAATTGGATCCACATTGTAGGTTAAATTGTGCCCCCCAAAATTTATTTGTTAAAGCCCTAATTCCCACCTCAGAATGTGACCTTATTTGGAAATAAGGTCTTTGCAAATGTAATTAGTTAGGTTAAAATGAGGCCTCCAGAACTGTGACACACAAATTTTTGTTGTTTATGTCACCTAGTTTGCAGTACTTTGTTATAGCTGCTCCAGGAAGCTAATACAATCCCCTACTCAGTGTGGCACTGGTGATGTCAGTGCCTACTCACAGTTCCACGGAAGTTTTACCATTGCAATCAGCTGCCCTCTATGACCCTTTCTTTCATCCAACTTTATTGAGCAGAGAAAGGTCCTCAAAATGGAAATTCATGAGCGCTGGAGAAGTCCAAATCCTAGATTTAAAAAAAATCAATCTGATTATAAAGATCTAATTAAAATTATACCTTAATCAGAAATGAGCTAAAAGTTGCCATTTGTGCTTTAATGGTCCATCTTTTCAGAGTGGGCTCTCCCTTCAATCGGTGCTTACTCTGGAGCAATAATTCTCAACGTAGAATATCTAGGAATGAAGCTCAGGAAAATGTATTTTTGGAAAGCTTTTCAAGTGATTTTCATGATCAGCTGGTTTTCTAGAATAAAAATAACATTATTTAATTACATTTGAAAATATCACCTGATTGCAATAAACAGCAAACCAAGACCCTAGAGAAGTAAAGTATATGGATTCGTTTCCTATTGCTGCTGTCACAAATTACCACAAATTTAGTGGCTTAAAACAACAAAAATTTATTATCTTACAGTTCCAGAGGACGGAAGCAGTAATATCTGTCTGCAGCACCCTGTTCCTTTGAGGCTTTAAGGAGGAATCGACTTCTTTGCTTTTTCCAGCTGCTAGAGGACTCCTGCACTCCTTGGCTTCTGACCTACCCCACAACCCCTAAATTTCTCTGACCTCTGCTTCCATCATTATGCCTCCTTCTCTGACTCTGATCCTCCTGCCTTCCTCTTATAAGGACACTTGTGATTATATTGGGCCCACTCAGACAATCCATTATAATCTTCGTGTCTCAATATCCTTAACTTAATGACATGTACAAAGTTCCTTTTGCCATATAAGGTAACATATTTACTGGATCCAGGGATTAGAATGCGAACATTTGAGCAGGATCATTATTCTGTTTACCATGGTACAAGAAAGTTGCTTTTTAAATTTTTTATTTTTTTTCTGAGTTAAAGAAGGATTATTGTTGTTTTGAGGTTTACATCCTTTTTGCAATTCTGGACTCTTGGACCTTTGGTCATTTATAGGCCCATCCTCTCTACTTTTCTAATTTTCAGTTAAGAACTAGCATTTTTAAAGTAATGATTTTAGAATAAACTTACTAGTATTTGGATGTCTTTGGAAAAAAAGAGAGCAGAATCTTTTAGTCCATTTTTGTTTTCAGAATTACAGAACCTGAGTTTCGAATGCTGCAGGAATTTTCTAACTATTTCAAAGGATGCTGTTAAATTTTCTAAAATATATTATGATGAAACTTATTTTTACCTATATATTTTGGGGGTAGGAAGAACTGTGTTGCAAAAAAATTTTCAAGCATCAGTATATTATAATATTGCCAAGCAAACATGTCTTACATCACAGTTTCTATGGGTCAGGAATCTGGGTGTGGATTAGCTTGCTCCTCTGCCTCCAGAGCTCTCATGAAACTACAGTCAAGGTGTTGGCCATGGCTTGCAGTCATCTCAAAGCTCGACTGGGGATGGGTCCATTTCCAAGCTCATTCAGGTGGTTGTTGGCAGGCTTCCGTTTCTCCCATGTTGTTGCACCAAGGGCCTCAGTTCCTCATTGGCTGTTAGCCAGAAGCAACCCTTAGTTCTTGCCAAATGGACCTCTCCATAGGACAGTTCACACCATGCTGGCTTGTTTCATCAGTGCAAACAAGCTAGAGGGTAGAGAGTTTCAGCAACACAGAAACCACAATCTTTTGTAACCTAATCTTGGAAGTAATGTACCATCAAGTTCACAATATTCTATCTGTTAGAAAAGAGTCACTAGGTCCAGCACACACTCAGTGGGGAGGGGAATTACACAAAGATGTGAATACCAGGAGATGAGGATGGTTGTGGCCATCTTAGAAGGCTGTCTACTACAGGTGCTAAATAGAAAGACAAGAGTCTACTCCAGACGACCTCTTGGGCCCCTCCTATTCTATTACTTCATGACACTTTCCCCTCTTTTTCCTAAATTCTATCTGTCCATAACACTGGGGTTGTCATTATTGCTGCAGGAATGGACGCAGCTAGCTTTCTGATCCTGTCATTTCTAATAAGTTTTTAGATGCTGATATACTCTGCAATGAATTCCTACTGTGTGCAAAATGTTATGCCTCTATGACTGCTGCCTTCCAGTCCAAACTCCACATTTCCATCAGTGTAATCTTTCTAAAATGCTTATCTAATCCTATCATTTCCTGGCTTACTCTTGAAATAACCTACTGACGGTCTTCACTAAAACCTTGATATGGCAAGCAAGAATCTCGGTTACTAAGACCCACCTATCTCCCATAATTTTTTTATTACTTTACCTCCCATTCCTACATAAAATAACAAGGGATTATTGAGTTATTTGAAGTTGCTCCGGGACTTCATAAGTTCTTTCCCAATCCTTTGTACAATATGCTGTTTCTGCTTGAAATCTATCCCCGGACACAACCACCAACTTTGTCCTCCCTGTTAACTTTGATTCAATTCATAGTCATATATGCATATTTATATCATAGGACTTTATATAATGATTGTATGCTTTGTGACTGTTTGCCTTATTCTGATCTCAGAGGAGTCTGTATGTTTATTTCACAATGCTCTTTTAGCACTTGGCTCTTTCTCATCTTATCACACCACATTGTAATTGCTCATGTATTCATCAGTTTCTCCTCTACAGAAGAGTTCTTCAAACTGTGGGTTGTGACTTGTTAGTGAGTTGTAAAATCAAACTGTAAATTATAACCAAAAGTTTTAAAAACAGTGAAATAATATAAAACAGCAGTGTATATACCATGTAGTAAGGGTGTCTATGTAGTTTCATTTTCAACTTTGTATGTTTATAAGCCTATAAATATACAAATATTATGTATGTGTAAAGTGAAGCAATTCCCACACCACCACCAAACATATTTGTTTGGGCTAGGTTATAGTAAAAAAAGTTTGAAAAACGCTTTATTAAATTGTAAACTCTGTTGGGCTATAACCATATCTGTCTTGTTCTTGACTGTTTTCTGGCCTTGGCATATGGTAGGAATTCAATAAATATTTGTGACCAAATGACTGAACAAACAAATGAATAAAAACCTTATGATTCTGGTCCTTTAATCTATTAACATGGTGTCATACATTGATTGGTTTTAAGATGTTAAAACAAACTTGCATTCCTGTGATAAATTCCAAATAATTACAGCTATAATGATTATGACTCTAACCATTTTTGCATGCTGCTGGATTTGGCTTGTTAGCACAGTCATGTGTCACTCAGCAACAGGGATATGTTCTGAGAAATGCATCATTCAGCGATTTCCTAGTTGTGTGAACATCATAGAGTGTACATACACAAACCTAGATGGCATAGCCTAGTGCACACCTAGGGTATATGAAGTAGTCCATTGTTCATAGGCTTCAAACCTGTACATGTTACTGTACTGAATACTGTAGGCAGCTGTAACACAATTGTAAGTATCTATACATATATATACATAGAAAAGGTATAGCAAAAATACAGTAAGAGATAAAAAAGTGTACACCTGTATAGGGCACTTGTCATGAATGGAGTTTGCAGGACTGGAAGTTGTTCTAGGTGAGTCAGTGAGTGAGTGGTGAGTGAATGTGAAGGCCTAGGACATTACTATACAGTACTGTAGACTACAAACACTGTACACTTAGGCTATACTAAATTTATTTAAAGATATTTCTTTCTTTAATAATAAATTAACCTTAGCTTACTGTAACATTTTTACATTATAAAATTATTTTTTACTTTTGACCATTTTGTAATAATGCTTAGCTTAAAACACAAACACATCCTACAAACAAAAATGTTTTCTCTTTATATCCTTTTTCTATAAGCTTTTTCCTATTTTTAAATACTTTTAGTTTTTACTTTTACACTTTTTTTTTTGTTAAAAACTAAGACACAAACACACACGTTAGCCTGGGCCTACACAGGATCATCAATATCACTGTCTTCTGCCTCCACCTCTTGTCCCACTGGAAGGTCTTCAGGGGCAATAACATGCACGGAGCTGTCATCTCCTATGATAACAATGCCTTCTTCTGAAATACTTCCTGAAGGACCTGCCTGAGGCCGTTTCATAGCTAACTTTGTCGTTTTTGTTTTTTATGAGTAGAAGGAGAGCACTCTAAAATAATGATACAACATATAGTATAGTAAATACATAAACCAGTAACAATTATTGTCATTATCAATTATTATGTACTGTACGTGTGGTATACTTTTATATGACTGGCTCTATATAGGTTTGTTTACACCAGCATCACCACAAACATGTGAGTAATACATTGTACTACAACATTATGATGGCTACATGGTCACTAGGCAATAACAATTTTTCAGCTAAGACCACGATCCTATATGCAGTCCACTGTTGATAGAAACATTGTTAGGCAGCACATGGCTGTGTTTTTTAGGGTTTTTCATCTCCATTCATAAGGAATATATATTTGTAATTTTCTTTCCTTGTGATATATTTGCCTGTTTTTGGTATCACAGTGATACTGGCTTATGGAATGACTTGGAAAGTGTTCCAAATGTTCTAGTTTTTGGAAGAGTTTGTGAATGACTGGTGTTAATTCTTCTTTAAATATTTGGTAGAAGTCAACCATGAAGCCATTTGTTCCTAGGCTTTTCTTTATAGGATGTTTTTTGGTTGCCAAATCAATATTTTTACTTGATCTAGATCTATTCAGATTTTATATTTCTCCTTAGATAAGTTTCCATAGTTTATGCTTTTCTAGAAATTGGCCCATTTCATCTAAACTATTGAATTTGTTGGCATACAAATGTTCATAGTATTCCTTTATAATCCTCTTTATTTCTGTAAAATTGCTAGTAATATCCTCTATTTCATTTCAGATTTTAGTAATTTGAGTCTTCTCTCTTTTTTTTGCCAGTCATGCTAAAGGTTTTCAATTTTGTTGATCTCTTTGATGAGCCATTTTTAGGTTTTTTAAAAAAATTTTCTCCTTTGTTCTTCTATTCCCTAGTCACTTATTTCCATTCTAGTCTTTATTATTTCCTTCCTTCTGCTTATTTGTGGCTTCATTTACTCTTCTCATTTTAGAGTCTTAAGAGGAAAAGGAGGTTATTGATTTGAGATTTTTCTTAATTTTTAATATAGACTTCAAGCTACAAATTTCTAAGCACTGCTTGAGCTGTATCCCATAAACTTTAGCATGTTGTATTTTTGTTTTCAATAATCTCAAAGTATTTTATAATTTCTCTTGTGATTTATTATTTGAACCATTGACTAAGAAAGAGTATGTTGTTTGAGGCCGGGCACGTTGGCTCATGCCTGTAATCCCAGCACTTTGGGAGGCTGAGGCGGGCGGATCACGAGGTCAGGAGATCAAGACCATCCTGGCTAACACGGTGAAACCCCATCTCTACTAAAAATACAAAAAATTAGCTGGGCGTGGTGGTGGGCACCTGTAGTCCCAGCTACTCGGGAGGCTGAGGCAGGAGAATGGTGTGAACCCGGGAGGCAGAGCTTGCAGTGAGCTGAGATCACTCCACAGTGCTCCAGCCTGGGCGACAGAGCAAGACTCCTTCTCAAAAAAAAAAAAAAAAAAAAGAGTACGTTGTTTGAGTTCTACATATTTGAGATTTTTTTTATATTTTCTTCTATTATTGACTCCTAATTTCATTATATTGTGATCAGAGAACGTCCTTTGCATGATTTCGATCCTTTTAAACTTATTGAGACTTGCTTTATGGCCTAACATATGTTCTATCCTGGACAATGTTTCATGTGCACTTGAGAAGAATGTCTATTTTGCTGTTGTTTGGTAGAGTGTTCTATAAATATATGTTGAGTCTACTTAGTTTATCTTCTTGTTCAAGTCTTCTAGGTTTAATTTATAGTGTTATTTATGTTTATTTGAATGATCTTCTGTCTAGTTGTTTTATGCATTGTTGGAAGTGGGGTATTGAAGTCCCCAAATATTACTGTTGAACTGTTAATTTTTCCCTTGCATTCTGTCTGTTTTTCCTTCATATATTTTATGGATTTGTTGTTAAGTGCAAATATGTTTGTAACTGTTATATCCTATTGATGAATTGACTCTTTTATCATTATAAAATGTTCCTCTTTGTCTCTAGTAACAATCTTTGTCCTAAAGTCTATTTTCTCTGATATTAATATACCCTCCCCAAGTCTAATTTCCTTACTGATTGAACAGTATACATTTTTCCATCTATTTACCTTCAACATTTTTCGTGTTTTTGAATCTTAGGTGTCTCTCTTGTTAACAGAATACAATCTGATTCTGTTGGTTTTTTACCCATGCTACTAATCTCTGCCTTATTTAATGTAATTACTGAAAAGATAGGATTTATGCCAACCATTTTGCTATTTGGTTCCTGCATGTCTTACGTCTCTTTTATTTCTCTATTCCTTCATCATTGCCTTCTTTAATATTAAAGAGATACTTTCTAGTATACTATTTTAATTCCTTTGTCATATCCTTTACTACATATGTTATTTGAGTTATTTTCTTAGTGATTGTCTCAGAAGTTACAATTGACATCTTAATTATAACATCTAATTCAGATTAATAGCATCTCACTTTTAATTGTATAGAAAAACTTTGCTTCACTGCAACAAAAGCCAAAATCGACAAATGGGATCTAATTAAACTGAAGAGCTTTTGCACAATAAAAGAAACTATCATCAGAGTGAACAGGCAACCTACAGAATGGGAAAAAAATTTTGCAATCTACCCATCTGGCAAAGGTCTAATATCCAGAATCTACAAGGAATGTAAACAAATTTACAAGAAAAAGAACAAACAACCCCATCAAAAAGTGGGCAAAGGATATGAACAAACACTTCGCAAAAGAAGACATTTATGTGGCCAACAAACATGTGAAAAAAAAGCTCAGCATCACTGACCATTAGAGAAATGCAAATCAAAATCACAATGAGATACCATCTCACACCAGTCAAAATGGTGATTATTAAAAAGTCAAGAAACAATAGATGCTGGTGCGGCTGTGGAGGAATAGGGATGCTTTTACAGTGTGGAAGAGAGTGATTTATCCTTTCTCCTTTGCAATGTTATTATTATACAAATTAAATCATTATACATTATATTCTGATCAGCACTGGTTCATAATTATTGCATTATGCAATTGTTATTTAAATCAGGATAAAAAGCATTATATGCAAAAAATACATTTATACTGTCTTTTATATTTACTTATGCAGTTACCTTTTACAGGTGCTTATGGCTCTTTATTCCTTCACATGGACTCAAGTTACTTTCTAGTGTCCTTTTGTTTCAGTCTGAAGAATTCCCTTTAGTATTTCTTGTAAAGATGGCTTTCTAGCAACAAATTCTCTCAAGTTTTGTTTCTTTTTATCTGAGAATGCCTTCATTTTTCCTTTATTTTTGAAGTACAGTTTTGCTGGATATAGAACTCTTGGTTAACAGTCTTTTTCTTTCAGCACTTTGAATATGCCATCCCACTGCCTTCTGGCTTGTATATTTTTAGAAAAGAAATCAGTGGTAAATCTTACTGCGCATTGCTGTATGTGGTAAGTCATTTCTCTCTTGCTGCTTTCAATATTCCCTCTTTGCTTTTGGTTTTTGGCAGTTTGATTATGTTGTGTCTATCTGAGTTTTTTCTACTTGGAGTTCATTAATCTTATTAATTGCAAACATTAAAGTTTTTCATCAAATTTTGGAGGTTTTATGCTTTTTTTCAAACGTTCTTTCACTCTTTTCTCCCATTTTTTAACGGGACTTTTATTAAGAATATACTGGTCCACTTGATGGTGTCCTATATATCTCTGAGGCTCTATTCGTTTATCTTCACTCTTTTTTCTTTCTGTTCCTTAGACTGGGTGATATCAATTGATCTATCTTCAAATTCACTGATTGTCAAATATGCTACTGGAGCCCTCCAGTCAATTTTTAATTTCAGCTACTATACTTTCAACTCCAGGATTTCAATTTGTTTCTTTTTTTATAATTGCTAACTCCATTAATATTCTTTTTTTGGTGAATCATTGTTCTCATGCTTTCTTTCAGTTCTTTAGACATGAGTTTCCTTAATTCTTTGAACATATTTTAAATAGCTGATTTAAAGCCTTTGTCTAGTAAGTCCAATATCTGATCTTCTCTCAGGATGGTTTCTATCTGCTGTTTTGTTTTTTTTGTTTTTTTGTCTGATGTATGAATTATACCTTCTGGTTTTATTTCATAGGTGATGGTTAATTTTATGCATCAACTTTACTGGATCATGAGACGCTCAGGTATTTAGTAAACATTATTTCTGGGTGTGTCTGTGAGGGTATTTCTACATAAGGTTAGCATTTGAATCAGTAGACTGAGTAAAGCAGATTGCCTTCTTGATATGGGTGGGCATCCTCCAATCTGTCAAGGCCCTGAGTAGAACAAAAAGACAGCTGAAGAGAGCGTTTTCTCTCTGATTGACTGCTTGAGCTAGAACATTGGTCTTCTGCTGTTTTCACATTGGGACTTACACCATCAGCACTATTAGGCCTTTGGACTCAGACTGGAGCTACAGCATCAGCTTTCCTGTAGATGGCAGAAATCATGGGATTTCTCAGCCTGCATCATAGCATGAGCCATTTTCTTAGGCTAAACACACACACACACACGTCCTATTGGTTGTTTCTCTGGAAAACCCGAATACACCATGTCTGGTAACTTTTTGTTGAAAATAAACATTTTAAATGACATAACATGGCAACTCTAGGAATCAGATTCTCCTTTCTTCCCAGGGGGTTGCTGCTGTTTGTTGTTGTTGTTTGTTTAGCAACTTCTCTGAACAAATTCTATAAAGTCTGCATTCTTTGTCATGTGTGACCACTGAAGTCTCTGCTTAGTTAGCTTAGTAGTGCTAATCCTGGGACAGAAACTTCCTTGAATGCCCAGAAACAATAAGTCTCCTGGTGTTTGTAAAGGGGCTCTGTGTGCATATTGGGACACACTCAGCCAGGCAGTATACAACTCTGCCTTAGGTTTTATTTCCTGCTTGTGTAGACCCTTAAAGTTAGCCAGAGGTGACAGCTTAGGGCTTTCTCAGGTCTTTCACTACCATGTACACATCCCTGGGCATACACACAGCATTAAACATGCACATAGCCTTCTAGATTCTCAGGAATGTGCCTGGCATTTTTCAAAGCCCCTATGGACACATCATTCCCCAACTTTTATTTTTAAGCTTTTTGGTTAGCCTATTGTTTGCCTCAGCTGTTATCTATTGCCTCAGATTTCCATGACATTAAACAATCATTGAACATTTTTGATAAGTATTCCCAGGATAAAGGCTGTTTGTGCTGAGCAAGCTCTGAGTCATGTCAATAAAGGCAGCCTTGAGAATGGGGTCTTCTAGGGAACCATCAGGCAGGTCAAACAATGACAGTTCTCTGGAGATGGGGCTTTGAAGGGGCCCCAGTCCTATTCCGCACCTTCCAGTGGTTGTCAGGCTGCTAATTTTTGCTGTAATTGCAGGCTGTTCATTTTCAAGCATACCATGGAACTGGGAGAGGGCATGTGTGGAGTATGGAAATAAGATAAGTTAAAACACAAAAAGCTCACTGTTCTTACCATTATTCAATGATTTTTCTTGAATAAATGTTTCTGATATTGCCACAAGCCTATAGCTAATTTTCAGAGTTATGAAAAAAAAACTGGTTGTGACCATTTTGCCAGTGTTCTAATTGCTTTTATGAAGAATAAGATTTTCTAACATCCTTAGTCTGCAATTTTCTCTGTCTTCTGTTAGTTAGCACCTTCTAACACCTAACCTCAGTTGTCCCCTAGTGCCACTTCTGCCTTATTCTATTATTAAAGCAGTTACAAACACATACCTAACTTCAAGGAAAATGGGCATCTATTCCAACTCATCATGGGGAAACGGAATTGCTCTTCTAGAACACGTATGTTCTAGAACACACGTGTTCTAGAAGAGCATACGAGACTAGAAATATTGTTGTGGCCATTTTGGGAAAATAAGTTTGTCACAGTCTTCCCTCTAGCCATAATAATTTACAACTCTCCCATAGGCAAAATTCCCAACTCTAAAGAACCTCTAAAATCTTATCTGCTTTATATATTTTTTAAAAAACAGCAAAAATTGGAATCAGACAGGGTTCAAATTCTATCTACTCATTTTCTCTACAAATTTGGACGCGTGGCTTAACCTCTGTGAGCTTTTGTTTCTCATCTGTAAAATATAGGTGATGACACCTACCTTGAAGGGATATTGTCAGGATTGATAAAGATTCTAGCAAATGGCAATTGGTCAATAAATTGTAACTATTATTTACATTTCTTGCCATGTTTAATAGAGTTTGACACACTATGTTTTCTTTGTATATGTGGTGTTTGATTAACCTGGCTATTTTCAGATGTTGTGGGTTATGATTTACATCATCTAGAGAATTTTATTGAGAAGTCAGTGAAAATTCTTGCTCTTAGAGGCTTCCAACTAACATTAAATAACCAAGAAAGATATATCCAAATGAGATAGAATTACAAGGAGTACTTCATGGGCTTTTAAACACCCTCTTGTAACATTGCCTTTGGGAATTTAAGTGTAGGACAGCAGAAATTTTATATGTTGTCAATTCAATGTATTACTGTATTTCAGTTTTTGCTTTTCAATTTAGGCAGAACCGACATGTGATGATGATTTTAGTGATGACAGTCTAAATAGTCTGACTGCCTTTAAGCCAATATTTATGGCTACATAACCCAGATATGATACACATGACTCACCAGGCCATATAAGTCACTGGTATTTTATATCAAGCCAAGATTTTTCTTTTGGCATCGCATGTTTCAAGTACTCACATTGTTCCCTTTAACCTTTCCATGCTTTTATTGTGATTGACAACACAAAAGAGTTTTGTGTATCTTGCCTACTTGGACAAAGGTCAGTACTTTTATGTCCCCCAAGAAACATACATACAGTTCTTTAAAAGTTTGGATGCATATATTTTATTATTTCTTTTAAGAACCTAGAATTGTCATAAGTATCATTTGAACAACAAATTATTTGCAACAGATATTTATAAAAGCATTTATATGATATATATAAGAGCCTGGTAAATAGTTTGCAATATAGTAGTCCCCCACTTTGAAGTTTCATTTTCCATAGTTTCTGTTACTTATGGTCAACTGTGGTACAAAAATATTAAATAGAAAGTTCCAGACATCATCGGCTCCTGATATTCAACCATTGACATTGTCATAGCTTGATGATCTAGAATCACCCAAAACAGATGATCCTCCTTCTAATGCATCATGAGAAGGTCAATAGTAGCCTAATGCTGTGTTATTCACCTCACTTCATCTTCTCATGTAGGCATTTTATCATCTCACATCATCACAAGAGAAGGGTGAGTACAGTACAATATGATATTTTGAGAGACAGGGAGAGAGAGAGACCAAATTCATATAACGTTTATTACAGGATGTTGTTATAAATGTTTGACTTTATCATGTTATTGTTGTTAATCTCTTACTATGCCTAATTTGTAAATTAAACTTTGTCATAGGTATGTATATATAGGTAAAAACATAGTTCATAGAGGGTTCAGTACTATCCACAGTTTCAAACATCCACTGAGGGTCTTGGAACAGATCCCTGCAGATAAAGGGGGGACTACTGTCTATTTTTTACATTCCCATCTACGTTTGATGATGTTTGACACAGAGTAGATTCTTTTTTATTTTTCTTTCGAGATGGAGTCTTGCTCTGTGGCCTAGGCTGGAGTGCACTGGCATGATCTCAGCTCACTGCAACCTCCACCTCCTGGATTCAAGCGATTCTCCTGCGTCAGCCTCCCAGGTATCTGGGATTACAGGTGCCCATCACCATACCCGACTAATTTTTGTATTTTTTTTTTTTTTTAGTAGAGATGGGGTTTCACCATGTTGGCCAGGCTGGTCTCGAACTCCTTACTTCAAGTGATCCACCTGCCTCAGCCTCCCAAAGTGCTGGGATTACAAGCATGAGCCACCACGCCCGCTGACACATAGTAGATTCTTAACCAATACTTGGTTTGATGGATTATTCTTTCTGGTGGCTTATGATTTACACCATCTAATGCATAGGCTGAATTTGACAGTGTCATGAAAGTTGCTGTTTTGGTTCATTCATATAGAGTCTACAGATCCTGCAGCTATAATATAATGGCCATAATAACTTTTATTATGAAATATTTATTAGGTGGCTAAAATGTACTAGTTATAAAATTAAAAATAAAATTAGTTATAGTTCTTTTCCAAAGGGCTATTCTGGGTTTACCTTGAAGATGACCAATATAGACTGTGATGGTTAATACTGTCAACTTGATTGGATTGAAGGATACAAAGTATTGATCCTGGGTGTGTCTGTGAGGGTGTTGCCAAAGGAGATTAACATTTGAGTCAGTGGGCTGTGAAAGGCAGACCCATCCTTAATCTGGGTGGGCACAATCTCATCAGCTGCCAACACAGCTAGAATATAAGCAGGGAGAAAAATGTGAAAAGAGAGACTGAACTAGCTTCCCAGTCTACATCTTTCTCCCATGCTGGATCCTTTCTGCCCTTAAACATCAGACTCCAAGTTCTTCAGTTTTGAAACTCATACTGGCTCTCCTTGCTCCTCAGCCTGCAGATGGCCTATTGTGAGACTTTGTGATCATGTGAGTTAATACTTAATAAACTCCCCTTTATGTGTATATCTATTCCATTAGTTCTGTCCCTCTAGAGAACCCAGACTAAGACCATTAAATGAAATAAAGAAAATCTAGGCTGGGAGCAGTGGCTCATGCCTGTAATCCCACTACTTTGGGAGACCAAGGCGGGTGGATCACCTGACGTCAGGAGTTCGAGGCCAGCATGGCCTACACGGTGAAACCACGTCTCTACTAAAAATACAAAAAAATTAGCAGGGCGTGGTGGTGGGCGCCTATAATCTCAGCTACTCTGGAGGCTGAAGCAGGAGAATCGCTGGAACCCAGGAGGCAGAGGTGGCAGTGAGCCAAGATCATGCCATTCCACTCCAGCCCAGGCTGACAACAGCAAGATTCCATCTCAAAAAAAAAAAAAAAAAGATCTAATAGCAACAAAGACTCAACATATGAAGTGTATGTATTTGTTTCATAGGTCCATGAGCAAGAACAAATCTGAATACAGTATGTAAGAAGTTGAATTCATCCTTGGCATTATTGAGGTCTTTACTAAATCCTTTCTTAATTTATTTTACCCTATCTCATCAATACATGTCAAAGCAGCTTGCTTCCCAAGTATTAAAACTTGTCTCTGCAAAGGATCTTGAGACTTTCATATCAAGATGAAAATAACTGCCTTAGGTAAAGCCACCTTAATTATCATCCTCACTGGATAGCACAAGGCATAAATTAATTTATAGAATATTAGTCTTCAGACTTCAGATGTGTTTGGGAGAGTACTGAGAGGTTCTTGTAGACTATTTTGGGGGTAACAAGTATTGACCTGAAATCGAACCACTTAAGTGAGCTTTTATTTTACCTACACTTAACCTGGCCTTCCCACAAGATACTTCTTGCAACATTTTATGAAATTTACCAAGCAAGGTTACTTGAGTTACTGGCAAAAATATCCATATATATTAATAGTTTCCAGAAAATGGAAACATGAACCCCGGTAACAAAAGCTCTGTAAAAGACCACATTCCTACCACCAGAATGTAATCTCTCTGTGTCATTTAAAGCTGAAAGCAAATTTCACCTTCTCTTTAAGGATATATTAAACTGACATGAAAGGATTTTTCTGCCTCCACTTTTGCTTTCCTAAAATCTCTTCTCTAAAGTGCAGCAAGAGCAATACATAGATCGGATCGTGTCATTACTCTGCATAAAAACCGCCAGTGGTTTTCCATCACACTTAGAATAAAATTCTTAAAAATCCTTACTGTGGCCTATAGGCACCCTGCCTATATCATACTCTCCTTCCCTCAGCATGCCGAGACATCTCAGAATTGTCTTCCATGGACATGCCCAGCTCGCTTCCACCCCAGGGCTTCTGCCCTTTCCTGGGACATTCTTCCCCCAGATCTTCTAAGGTGGCTTCTTCCTGTCAGTCAGGTCTGCCCAGGTGCCACCTTCTCTCATAGGATTTCCCTGAGCATCTAAAGTAACCTCTCCTTCAGCCCCTCTGTCACCTTGCCTGCCCATGTCATACTCTGCTCTGCATTCTTTACAGTACTTATCCCTCTCTGCATTGACCTTGTTTGTTTTCTGTTGACCTCGGGTAAACACCATGAACGCTGCCTCTCTTCACAGTATCTCCCTCATCTACAGCTGTGCCTGGCATATTCCGGAGGCTCAACATCTACTGAATGAATGAAATACATGGTGACTCAAGTTCTATAACATAAAATTACAAATACTATATAAAATATAGAAATAGGGCTTGCAGTCTTTCTTTTGAAGCACTATAAGAAGAACAATCTAGAGTTTGGATTCAGAACCAAATGGTCACCTTTGGTACAGATGGCATGAAGGAGAAAACTCACACAAAAGGGGTCCAGCAATGGTAAGGGAGGCAGATCTTTCCAGCAGAGGATCCTTGTCTTCCCTTGATCCCTTGTAGGTCATACGTACATGTTCCATTCACAAAGCTGAAGGACTAGAAGTTAAAACAAGTCTTGAAAAGAATGATTTTTGCCCTATAACCAGCAATTCTAGAGTGAATCTATAACTAAGCCCATATAAAATATGGGATGGATAATGTCAAATCATTTACAATGTATTATTAAAAATACATGGGCCAGGTGCAGTGGCTCACGTCTGTAATCCCAACATTTTGGGAGGCCAAGGCGGGTGGAGGTCAGGAGATTGAGACCATCCTGGCCAACATAGTGAAACCCCGTCTCTACTACAAAAAATACAAAAAGTAGCCGGGGCGTGGTGGTGGGCGCCTGTAATCCCAGCTACTGGGGAGGCTGAGGCAGGAGAATCGCTTGAACCCGAGAGGTGGAGGTTGCAGTGAGCCGAAATCGTGCCACTGCACTCCAGCCTGGTGACAGAGGGAGACTCCATCTAAATATATATATATATATACACACATATATGTATACATATATATACATGTATATACACATATACATATATACATATATACTTATATATACATATATACATATATACTTATATATACATATATACATATATATATACACACACACACACTATGTGCTTAAAAGTAAGTTATGTTTTCTTTTTGTCAACTTTTATTTTTAAGTTCCGGGGTACATGTGCAGGATGTCAAGGTTTGTTACATAGGTAAATGTGTGCCATGGTGGTTTGCCGCACAGATCAACCCATCACCCAGGTATTAAGCCCAGCACCCATTAGCTGTTCTTCTTGATGCTCTCCCTGCACCTCACAGGCCCCAGAGTGTGTTGTTCCCCTTCATATGTCCATGTGTTCTGCTCGTTCAGCTCTCACTTATAAGTGGGAACATGCAGTGCTTGGTTTTCTGTTCCTGCGTTAGTGTGCTGAGGATGACAGCTTCCAGCTCCATTCCAGAGTCTACGAAGAACTTAAACAAATATACAAGAAAAAAAAATTTTAAAGTGAGCAAAGGGCATGAACATTTTCTTATGTATGTACACATTATTGGGTCAGGCAACGTGGTAGGTGCATTGTGTACAGGATGTCATTTATTTCTGCAAGGTAGTTGATATACCCTGTTCCAGAAGAGGAAACCAAGTCTGAGAGAGGTTAAATAACTAGTCTACAGCCTAGGCAAAAGAGAGATGATCTTTGAACTCCAATTCGTGCAGTGGTCAAGGGGTATCCTCTTTGATTGCAACATGTTTAGAATGTTTTAAGGTTATTATTTTTCTGAATGCCTTCAAATGTGACAAGTATGCTCTACTGATCCCCATTGTGTCAGACCCAGCCTGATCTAACATTTATATTACCAGCCTGGTCCCAGTCAAAGGAGCTGGAGTTTTCAGATTCTGGTGCTAACCTGAATTCTACCTACCACTTCTTTACAAAGAGGCCTCTGCCGTGTTTGTACCAGCGGCAGGATGACTTGAAGCTCTCCATGGACATGCGGTGGGGGTGGAGGTGTTGATGGATATTGTCTTGGCTTTTGCCTTATGTGGGATTTTTAAGAAATGTGCAGGAAAAAAAAAACAGGAAAGTGTATTAGGAGAAGGCAGGATAGAAGTTTTCCTCACGTGGAGAGAGCAGGAGAATGGAGGAAGTGACTGCTGGAAGCAAAACTCTAAGAAAAAACCAATTTTACTTGGAGCTTAAAAAAGATTTTGCTGTGTAATGTGCATTGTAACTCTTCTCCCATCTCCCCAAGGCATCTTTGGTAAAGATGTCATTGTTGGGCTTTTTGTTTTCCATGGCACAATGCACTGAAAGGGCCTCAAGGGGAAAGCAAGTCATCTCTGGAAAGCTTAGCCAGAATTTGCAACAGAAAGAGTGGGAATTTTGGAATCAGGTCCTAGGCTTGCAAAAGAGCTCTTTTTCACAGCCTTAGCTTCCTCCTTTGTAAAATGGAAAAAAAAATAGTTTCTTTTTTGCAAAGTTGTTGTGAGAATTAAATAACACTCATGAGGGGCATTGTATGGAGCTTGGCACATTCTAGGCCCTCTTTTTATATTGAACTAATATGATCTTCTCTGTAATTCCCATGAATTAATTCCAGTTCTATTTTGCAAAACATTGATTCTTTAACCTTTTTCATGTAATGGTGCTCCAGTTTGTCTAGATCCTTCAAGAAGAGAAAATGCATATCAACATCTTTGTATCTAGTTGCTCTCAAGCTTAAAATGATGTCATTTTTCAATTATTGCTTTTATTATACAGTAAAAACATATTTAGAAGAGACTCAAGATAAATATTAAAAGTTAAGCTAGTTACTGAACAAATTTCTTAAATATTTACGAAAAATAAGATCAACACACATTTGACCATGGCAGCTTTTCTAAAGGCAAAGGATCTAATTTGGTGATTAACTAACCATATTGAGCACTCATTAGGTGTCAGGGATGTACCAGTTCTTCTACTGTATTTGGGTGTTTTTAATTATGAATAACCAAATACAAAAATCAAAGTAGTTTAAACAATGAGGAGCATTTATTATCACTCTTAAAAATAAATTCCCAAGGTGGGCAATTGCACGGATGGCTCAATGGCTTTACAATGTGAAAGATCCAGCCACTTGCTATCAATTCTTTTCTCTACATTGCCTTGGTTCTTTGCAAGATAACCTTGAAATTCCAGGCTCACATATAGAAATAACAACATATGGCTGAGGAAGGCATTTTCTCTCCTGTGATTCTTCTTATTAGGGAAGAAAACCTCTCTACCCCCTCAAGACTTCTCAATTTCCTTTATCCAGAATTGGGCTACCTCACTATGTCCCCAGGCAGTGCTTCTCAATTTTTTCACACCATGACACAAATACAAAGATAACGTTTTTGTGACACAGAGGGGTACCTGGGTAATGTTGCTTGTGGCCAGTCATACCATCCCAGGGCTTCAGCAGCTCAGCCTCACTTGAATGTCCCAAGGGCTTAAGGGATCCATACCTTATCACATCTATGACCCATCTGAGACATACCAGGGTATGCTGGCACATAGATTGGTATGCTCTGCTCTAAGCTACAAGGGAGGGTGAGAGAGCATGCATCCATATACATGCTCTAGTGAGAGAAGGATCTGCCAACGAGGAGGCTCTGCCAAGTAGTAGGAAGTGGTGGGGCAACCAACCGCATCAGTCATCTTTTCAAGGGTGCCTTCATCTATTCTAATTTTCACAACACATTTTAGGAGGAAGTATTCTGTGGAGGATAAAACCAAGGCTTATAATTTAAATGACTTGCCTGAGGTCACAGAACCAGTGAGTGGTTCAATTGACACAGCAGATGCAGATCCAGGTGTGTGCTGGGAAATGTTTAACAACCACCTTTCCAAATGTAGTTCCAACATGGCTATTGGTTAATATTTTCATTTAAGATAAAAATAAAACAACAAAAATGTATGTTAGAGCTTATTAGTCAATGATGTGACTTCATTGCTAAATTGAATGTTTTTATGCTATTCACCATGTAACAGTTATAGACACGACATGTCTTTTACATTTAATCTGCATAAAACATTTTCTCTGTCACTTAAGCCTAGACCAAGCTTGTCCAACCCTGGGCCTGTGGGCCGCATACAGCCCAGGATGGCTTTGAATGCAGCCCAACACAAATTCGTAAACTTTCTTAAAATGTGAGATTTTGTGTGTGTGTGTGATTTTGTTTCGTTTTGTTTTGTATTAGCTCATCAGCTATCATTAGTGTTAGCGTATTTTATGTGTGGCCCAAGACTATTTTTCTTCTGCCAATGTGGCCGAGGGAAGCAAAAGATTGGACAACCCTGGTCTAGCCCACAACCAGCAAAGCAATAAGTGAAGCCCTCATCTGTGGTGTCCGCTGATCAAGCTACCAAAGAAAACTCACTAAATGTGGTATTGGGAAGAGATGTACAATTACATATAGGGAATTTCCACCATGCAGACACAATGCATGTAAATTGCCTAAAGAACAAAGACAATATTAAAATGTATTAACATAATTTGGAAGTGATGTTTTTATCACATACTACCTTTGTTTAAAATTTATTTCATTGGAAGTTTATCTAACTTAATTTTTATTTCTATTTTTATATTTATTTATTGATTGATTTTTGAGATGGAGTCTCACCTTGTCACCCAGGCTGGAGTGCAATGGCGCAATCTCAGCTCACTGCAACCTCTGCCTCCTGGGTTCAAGCAATTCTCCTGCCTCAGCCTCCCAAGTAGCTAGGATTACAGGCTCCCGACACCACACCTGGCTAATTTTTGTATTTTTAGTAGAGACGGGGTTTCACCATGTTGGCCAGGCTGATCTCAAACTCCTGATCTCAGGTGATCCACCCACCTCAGCCTCCCAAAGTGCTGGGAATATAGGCATGAGACACTGCACCCAGCCTATATCATTTAATTTTTAATAATGAGTATTTAACAAACAGCAGGCAAAATTTCTGAAAATTTAATAATCTGCTGTCATGAGCCAGTATAGGCCAGCTCTCCACACCACGGACTGGAACTAAGTTCAGCACTCTTTCCACTCCTGCTGCCTTTACTACCAGCATGTAAAAGCAATGATGCTCAGTATCGTACGGGGGACAAACCTGGGTACCCGTCATTAATTTCTGTGACCCTGGGTAGTTACTACCAGATGCTTAGTTTTCTCTTCTATAAAGGAGGAGATTAAGAGTCCTTGCCCTGTCTACCTGCAAGGGTTTTTGAGAGGATTAAACTGGTTAGTCTGTATGATAGTGCTTTGTAAACTGCAGAGTCAGGTTCAGATAAAAGGCTTTATGATGATGACAATTTCATTACTGTTTTCAACCAGGCCACCATTGTTAAGGATGCAGTGTGTCGCTGCTTTCAAAAGTATGGTTTAGTTTGAGATCTTCTGTAATGCCCAGGATAGACAGTAAACACCCAGAAGAATTGTTCTGAAGAAGCCCACTCAAATCTGTGCTAGTCTTTACTTAGCACAAATAGGTACCTATATTGGGATGAAAACTATTTATTTGAAGCTTATAATTCACTCTTTTCTAGCTGCTGCTGGATTGTCTGACGGGTCTTTCCTGGAGTTATGGAATACTTCTCAATTTCAATAGTTGAATAAAGGTGTTTTTTTTTCTGTCATGCAGGCTAGGGTGCAGGGGCATGATCTCGGCCCACTGCAACCTCCACCTCCTGAGTTCCAGTGATTCTCCTGCCTGCGATTCTCCTGCCTCAGCTTCCCAAGTAGCTGGGATTACAGGCGTGTGCCACCAGGTGTGGCTAATTTTGTATTTTCAGTAGAGACGGGGTTTCCCCATGTTGGCCAGGCTGGTCTTGAACTCCTGGCCTCAAGTGATCCACTCGCTTTGGCCTTCCAAAGTGCTGGGATTACAGGTGTGAGCCACTGCACCCAGACTATTTTTAATTTCAATTTTTAAAAAAGTTGCTTTGCTTTTTGCACCAGACCAACTCACCAAGTTATTTTCTATGGATTATACCCGTGCACATAATGTAGTTTCCTGATTATAAATTAAATATCCCTAATGTCCACGTTGAAACACTCTCGAAACTTAAATGACCATAAACTATTTGCCTTGAGTTTGCTGAACTTGTCTTTGGGCTGTAAGAAACTCTTTTCTGCCAAGCTCTTTTCCACATCAGGCCCTTTGCCCATGCTGACCCCTCTACCTGGAAAGTTCTCCCCTGATTATGAAGCTGACTCCTTCTCATCCTTTAGATCAAATGCTGCCTTCTTAGAGAGGTCTGCACTGAACACCTGTTTCAAGTCGTCTCCCGGATCTGTTTCCTTATTTATTTTCTTCACAGCATGGATAACAGTATGCAATTTCCTTTCTATCTGCTGACTTATTTGTCTATGCCTCTTATTATTATGTTGGCTCTTTGTGGGCAGGGCTTGCCCATTGATGTCATTATCTACCTCCAGTGTCCCACACAGTGCTTGGTGCACAATAGCTATCTCATGAACAGATGAACTTATCTGACAAGATCCACTCTAGTATTGTAAGGCTGTGGCCATATATGGCTATCTTGAGGTGAAAGCCTACCCTAAAGACTGTCCAGGACTTGGCCTCTGGTGCTCACAGTTGCCCAGGTTTCTCTCAGGTCGCAGGATGAGCCACAGTGGTAGCATAAGACTGCTGGCTGCTCCCCTCTGCCCCTCCCTAATGGGGCTGCCCAGTGATGTCACACAGGACAGGATTCTCTAATCCTTTTGATTCTGTAACAGTCCTCTAAGCAGCTAAGTTTCTCATAATGTATTATGATGTAGGGGAGGGAGGAAGGAGGGCCAGGGTAGGGGGCACACCCTCTCCCTGAATGAAATTCATTTAGGGGCACTGTCTGCTCGCATGTTCTGTTCTGGGAGAAAATGGGTAGCAGAAGCTACAATTTGTACTAAGCTAATGAAAAGAGAGAAAAGAAGAATGGGGAAGAGAAGGGCAAAGAAGGCAAAAAGAGAAGAGAAGAAAAAGGGAGGAGAGAGAAGGAGAAATGAGAAAAGAGGAAACCAAATGAAGAGGATGTGTGAGAGAAAAAAATATGAAACAGGTAGTGAGGGAGGAAGGAATTGTTGAACCTATGTTCTGGTTGGCTTTCTAACTCTTGAGTAGTGACTGGCTTCAGTGGAAAAGGATGGTGAGGGGTATTCTCAAATACTAGCCTCCTGAGGGGGTCATTTACATTACTGCATATATTTTGAGAGGCCCAGGCAAGTCTGCCTCAAGGGTGACTCTCCTGGAGAGTAATTTGGGAGCAGGAATGTAAACCTTTTTTTAAGTCACAATTGTGGTGGAAAGGGAAAGAGAGTATTGCTGATCAGATTAAGCTTTAGACTCCACACTACAGCCCCTGTCCTCACCCCAAGCCTCCCAATTACTAGGCTATCAACACACACTAAATTCAGGACTTTAAAGCCAATCTTGTAGATAATCTTTTTCTTTGTTAATTGAAATATAAACAGATTTCCAAAGCAGAGCAGGATAGTTTTATAATATACCTATAAAAATTACTAAAATGTCATCATCATGGCAATATATTCCCACTAAAATCTTACTGTGAACATCCCAAATATGTGTAGAGGCCCGGCAAAGTCTTACAGTTCAGAAGAGAACTTTCAATCCTCTTTTTTCAATGTTATTTTCCCCTTCTATCTGTCCCCCCTTCTTAGCATAAGGTTTAATAAAAGGGGATATGATGATATTAAACATATTTAATCAGACAATATTGATATCTTTTTAAAATATTAATCTTATAACCCATGAGTTTCCTAGTTCATACCAAAATGTCCCTGCAAGCTGTATTCAGAAATAAATAGTAGGAAGGTGCTGCTTTATCGGCAGTCTGTACAATGCGTAGACTCCTTAAAAATTTCTTTCTGTTCATATTTTCTATTTCTCTCCCTCTTCTTCTACAATTGACCCAGATTCTCCAAGTGCAGAACAGAGAGAAGAAAGGTGTGGAAGCCTAAAGGAAGGAAGCAGAAAGATAGGCAGGCATTTCAAGTTTTCTATGGTCCACTACCGTCACTAGTGACCCAGCTTCTGCTTATAAATAAGAAAATTTGTCTTTTAAGAGCACTCTAAATGGTTGCCATATGAGCTTTTGTAGTTCAGAATGTTAATGAGTCCACCAGCATGCTACTCATGCTGTTACTTGCCTGGAGTATTAAGGATTCCAAGAAGGTAGCGTTTCAAAGATCTCTGATCTAATTTCTTTTTTTGGGGGGTCGGGGAGATATGTGGAGAATTAGGAAATGTATCCTCAGATGATACTGAGACCAAATGCATAGTGAATTTTATTTTTATTTTGTATATGTGGAAATGATCCACGATCATCTTCTAAGGAATTCTGGCCGGGAACAGTGGCTCACGACTGTAATCCCAGCACTTTGGGAGGCCGAGGAGGGTGGATCACGAGGTCAGGAAACCGAGACCATCCTGGCCAACACGGTGAAACCCTGTCTGAACTAAAAATACAAAAAAATTAGCCAGGCGTGGTGGCAGGCGCCTGTAGTCCCAGCTACTCGGGAGGCTGAGGCAGGAGAATGGCATGAACCCGGGAGGCGGAGCTTGCAGTGAGCCGAGATTGTGCCACTGTACTAGCCTGGATGAAAGAGCGAGACTCTGTCTCAAAAAAAAAAAAAAAAAAAAAAAAAAAAGTGAAGGAAACAGAACCTTCCCCAAAGTCATGTTGAGAAAATTAGAGATGGCTTTTTACAACTTTAAAAGCAGCAGCTAAATATTTGCTGAATGCCAGAAAGAATAAATAGGTTGCTTTTGATCTAAGAGTTGGGGCAACAAAATGGTTTAGGAGATAGAAAGTAGTAGGGTGCAAATTGCTATAGTGAGCTCCTCAAGTAAAATAGAGAGGCCTTCAACATAAATTTACCTTTTTTACTGGCCAGAACTCAATTTGGCCAGTAAAAGAACCTGCCTTCTACAATGAAGTCTTTGGTTTGTGTGTGCATCAGAACATCTTTTAAAAATACGGACTTTTCTTCTAACTTCTTTTCCTGCGAATGTGGTGTAGGTCAAATTCGTGAACTGGTTAAGCCGCTGACAAGAGAGGGAAGGGCACCCCAGCCAATGGGAACCCGTGCTGGTGATGTACTGCTCCTAGGCTGCGATTCATTGGCTGCCTAGGGTTTGTCATTCTATCCCCGGCGTCTGCAAGCAGCGTGGGTCGGGTTTTCCAGCTAGCTAAACTGGATTTTGGCCGCTGGCACGTGCAGTTTCTATTAACTTTAGCTCATCTCTACCTCTTAATAGAAGCAGCTGTTATGTTTCTGATTATTCTCCTGATTTTGAAAAATCCTGTTCCCTTAACCTACCTCATTGGAGGTCGTTGGAGGTCCCCTGGGACAGAACCACGTGATTATCTAACATGTGCAAATAAATACAATGTGGAATCCCCTGAACTATAGAGGGAAAACCTGCCAGAAACTCAGAGCATGTGCCCCGTGCGTGAATCAGTTGCACTCGCACATTGGTGGGCGGTGGTAGCGTGCTTGTGTCTCTGCCCTTTGGGTCGCGAGGTGTGTGGCCGTGGCACCTGCTTGGGCTTCCTGGGGTCACTGGGAGAGGAAGGCTCTGGAGGAGTGGGACTCTGGGGTAGGGGGGTCTGGCAGCTGCCTGGGACCCACCATGGGTTCGAAGGGCAGCGGCCAGACCGCGACGGCGCCCAAGAAGGGTGGACAGCTTCGGGTCTGTGCTCGGGGCTGCGTGTACACCATCTTCGCAGGGAGTGGGGTTTGTATCTGCAGGCAGGTAGAAGAGCCAGGGCTCCGGGCGCGGACGCCGTAGGGGTAGCTTCCGAGTCCCTACTTGGCCAAGGGCCGGCACGGAGGGGCTGTCGATCTACTGGGCACCTAATAGCCGCACATTCTGTCCAGTCCCTGGCGCCGGAACGTGAAGGCCCGGGTCCTGGCTGCTATCCGGGATCCGGACGCTCCCTTCGGCTTCGGCCTGGTGCTCCAGGCCGTAAGGCAAAGGCGGCGGCAGCAGCAGCGGCAGAGAAAGAAGCTGGGTAAGGCAGTGACGTCATCTGTGGCGGCCCCTCCCCCGCCCGCCAGCCCTCACCGCAGTTCCTGCCCAACGACATCCGGGTCTCTGTAGCTGCGCGCCGCGCCGCAGCTGTAGCGGCGGCGGAGCCAGCGGGGCGGGGCGAGCGGAGGGGTGGGGGAGGGGCGACGCGGTCGTGAGCGCGCCTGCGCGGGGCCGCGCTAGAGGCGGCGGCGGCGGCGGTGGCGGCGCTAGGGACGGGAGCGCGCGCGGGAGCTAGAGAGCAGTGGTCTCGGCGCTCGTCCGGCCCGCAGCTTCGGGTCCTCAGGCGGCTGTTGCTCCGGAACGGGTGGTTGGGGAGGGGGGGGTGGGGGGACTCTAGACAGCTGAGGCGCGAAAGCGATGAGTCCTCGGCTCTTCCTCCTCCTTCTCCGGGACCCGCTCTCTGCCTCCCTCTCCAACGCCCGGATGATCTGAGCCGCGAGGGCGCCGACAGCCGGGGGCCCGGACGCAGCCCGGCTCCTCCCCTCCTCCGCCCCTTCCCCAGCCTGACCTGGCCCGCCGCTGCAGCGGTGACCCCTCCCCCGGCTGCCGCCGTCGCCGCCGCGGTGACCCCCTCCCCGGCTGCCGCCGCCGCCGCCTCGGCCGACCAGGGACCTGCCCGCCTGCGGCTGCTCCGGGTAAGTGCGGCGCTCGGGCCGACGGCGGGCTGGCGGGCGGTGCGGGCCTGCGCGGCGGCGGCGGCGGGCAGGCCTGGGGCCTGTAAACAAGCCGGGCGTCTGCCCGGGCGCTCCCGGGAGGAGACGCGACAACTCCACCCCCTGGCCGGCCTCCTCCCCCGAGCCGGGCGGCGGACGGCGAGGGGTTAACGCTCGGCGAGGGCGGTGGCGGGGAGGCGGGGGCGGGGTGTTAGTTGCGGTGGCGCGGGGAGGGGGCGCGACCCTCTGGCCGTCCGCGGCCGAGATGGGTGTTTGTGGCGGCGAAGCAGGCGACGGCCGCAGGCCGGCCTGGCCGGAGAGCGGCCTGCAGAACTTTTCCCGAGCGGGGAGGGGGCGTCCCCGCGCCCCCACCCGCTCGGGCGCGCCGCCCCGGCTGTCCTGGGCTTCAGCCCCTGGGAGGGAGGCGGGGAGACTTCCTTTGAACCGGGCTTAGCCTCGAAAAACCTAATTCTGTAGAAATTGCTTAAGGTTTTACAGGGGGCAGGGCTGAGAGACTCCTTCAGAACTCAAGTCAGTGAGTGATGCCTCTAGTTCATTCATTATTAAGGCATCGAACAAATCCATTGAAGTAAATTCCGATTTCTTATCCTTTTAACTACGTAAATCGGGTAAAACTTCTTGATGTTAGAGCTTGGTTGAGGTATGGTTCTGTTCTGCTTGTAGATTTTAAATAAACTTGGAGCCTTTTCTTGAAAGACAGCTGGCTGTGGAGAGCCTTCTACCAACTGCAGTTTTAGATACGTTTTGAAAATTTCATCACCTGAGGTATTTTTCTTCTCTCCTGAAACACCACATGGTACAAATCCACAAAAGTCATGCTTCAGTTGTCCAAGCCATGGGATCTGTGTGCTAGCCCCACCTCCCCGCAAGTTTCCTGCTCATTGGAATAATGAGCTGAATGTGTTTTAAGAAGTGGTTGGAAGAGTATGAGAGATAGGTATCATTTTCTCAAAGGAAATGATTTTGACATTATTGAGAGAAATTAGACATTTTAACAATTGTTTTGTAAAACAGTCTTTTCAAACTTGCACGTTGGGGTTTTAAACACAACCACTTTACATGTGTTGCGCTCCGAAAAGTGGAGGGATTTGTTGAAACACTACTCTGCTGAGACTTAGGGTTCCAGAGCACTTGGGAATTTAGCATAGCTTGGTCCCCAACTCTCTTTGAAACACTTTACTTTTATACTTTTATCTTGCTACATATTGGGCCTTTTCCAAAGATTGTATTTCTGTAACTCCTTATTTTACAAATGAGAAAATTGAAAATAAGGAGATTCTCTATTCTTAGATGCTGCTTTTACTGACTTAATGCTTTCTTTACCAATAAATAATTTGAAGCACAAAGTAACATTTCCTAGTGTTATAGTTTTGTTCTTGTTATGTGTAACTTATATGTATCTGATTAAACTTTCAGTCATGTAAGGATGATTACTTTTAACCTGGAAGTTTACAGCAGTACCACATTATTGAAACTATAATGAACTTCCTGCACATGGCAGTTGCCTAAGACATTTTAATTTGATATCATAAAACATTTTTAGATCGGTGAAGTAATTATATTATGGGAAAGGTGTATTAAGACTGATAATGTTTGAAGTTAACTACCTCAATTATATTTGAGAAATAATAGTCATCAAATTGCTTTTTATTTGGCTTGTATCTTTTTATGTATTTTGTGTACATATTGTATCTTTTTACATGAGGGGCTGAGGTATATGACCTGTTGAAGGGAACAGTGCAGTAGGAGACAAGGATTGTTTAGTCATGGCTGTGCTCCAAAATATCTGTGTCCATGGACAAGTCCTTTAACCTTTTGAGTTTCAGCTTCCAAATCAGTAAAGCCAGTTGGGCAGATTATATTATCACATGTACTGTCCAGTTACTACATTTAAAAATTTTTTTTTATCAATATTGTGTGTCTAGTCAACATACCGTTGCCAAATAAATGCCTGTTATGTGTCAGGCACTTAGATGTTTCAGTGTTCTAAGGCTGGATTTCTTTCTCGGTTCTGTTTTATTTAACAAATTCTAAGTTGGTGATGGTTCTTTAGAAAAGCTGTTCTTGTGTTCTTGTAAGCTATTGATTTTTCTTTTGGGATTGGGATGTGTAGGGAAACTCTTGAGAGGAAGGAGGATGGAGATTTCATGGGAGACAAAGGGTGGTTGAGACTACAGGTTTGAACAAGCACAGGACCCTTGGTAGTCTGATGTGAAGGACATTATAAAAACACATTATGAAGGTTTTTTCTGTCACTTCAAGCTGGGTCTTGTTAAACCTTTGAAAATTCTCTAATACCTCATTTGTTTTTGAAAGAAATCTATAGCAACATCATTTTGTCATGTGGTAAATATTGCTGAGCAGTCACTAAATACCTATAGTCTTTTAGTTTGTTCAGATTACATCTAGGCCATTTGTTTACTCTAATAGCTAATAGAATGTACAGCTGATTTTGGTTTAACTGTGCGTGCATATTTGTAATTTTTAACCAAGAAGTGGCATATGTCCACAAGGAACTTGTTATCTCTGAAATACTCACCCATGAGAGCTGGATTAATTTTTTAAGATGTAAATCTATGCTCATGTAGAAATAATATAACAAGGTGATATTTTGATGATCCTCTCAAATGATTATCTAACTCTTGCCTGGGCACCTGACTCTGAGTCAGTATACTCTTGAATACTTTCCATCCTTAATCAAATCAGGAGAAAGAGATGGCCATGTAAGAAAATTGGCCACGGCAGGGTTTTATAAGAGTTAAGCAAGAAGATAAAACAACACATGGCCCTGTGAAATATATAAACCTTGGAGAAGAGGAGAAGGTATAGTGAGGCAACTGGGTAAAAGTTGTGTCTTCCTCTAAGTAATTTTATGTCACAATATGTCCTGTCTTCCATCTCAAATAACAAATTTTAAAATTAAGTTGTGTTTGTTATTTTGCTATTAGCCAAGATATATAAATTAACTGACCTGGGATTATTAGCCATTTGTATATGAAATAAACTTGGGTTAACCTATATCAAAATCAAAAGATTGATTATATTCTTTACCCTTCACTCTTTCAAATGTCTTATGTTCTCCATATTACGTAACAATTTTATACTTCATTCTGAGTCTCCAGAATATATTCTTTGATGATTTTGACCTTTGAATGTCCTGGCTATCCATGTACTACCTAGATAATCTCGTTACCAGGCTTTTCTTTTGCTGAGGCAGGTCAGAGCTAGAGAAAGTAAGCAATTGAGAGAGGCAAGTTTCTGTATACCTGTATCTAAAATGTAATAGACTTTATAATTTTTGTAAGGAACTGAGGAAAGGTACAGGCTTTTAATGTGTATCAGTAAACTAGACTCTTATACAGTTTTTATAATATTAGAGATGTTTTAAGCTTCCTTGAGTAAATATGTGATAAAGGGGGGATCTTGAGTTTTTATAATTCTTAATATGTTTATTTGGAATCCATTGACCAAGTGTATGTAGTATCCATATTTAAGATCTGGATTAAAAGTGATTAGTTTCTGTGGCTGATACGATTTAGAATTAAGATCTTTTGAGACTAAACTACTTCTAGATACAGAAGAACGTCATGAAAGCCGTACTTTCTTGGCCATTTATTTGTGTTAGGCTTTAATTTTTTGCCATAACCCTCTAAAATATGTGATGTTATCTTCATTTTATAAATAAGGAAATACAGGGTCAGAGAACCTAAATAACGTGCCAGGATCAGATCTGGGTAGATATAAAAGTATTTTTCAAGATATTACTGAGTGGATTTTTCCCAATTAGATGAACCTCCTTATTACCAGGAACCAAAATTTCAAAAGCTAAACATTAACACTTACGATTCATAGATTCCTAGAGTTAAGCAAGTCCATGTTAGTTTATGTAAAGTCTTCCAATGCAAGACTAATGTTTTCTTCTAAAACATTCAGAAAAGATTTAAGAAATTAAGTTCATTTTCTCATTCCCAAAGTTTCAGAAGTTAACAAAGCTAAACATTTTATGTCTTCAAGTACCATTGTTTAGGTTAAGGAATGGAATCCATGTTAATTCTCAAGTGGTTGATATCCTTAATGAAGGATCTAGGGAAATGTTTCTGAACAGATGTAATCAGTAGAGCCACATTGAAGGGCCCCGTGGTGGACATGGTGATAAAACTAACCTTTGAAAGAAAGGACAGTTTGAGTCCCTGTTCTCCTATTTCGTAGCCAGGTGTTCCTGGGTAAGCTACTTGATTTCTTAAACCTGTTTTTTTTTATGTCAAGTGGAAATACTTTTGTCGTAAGGTTATCTTGAAGATTTAATGAAATAATTATATAAAGCATTTGAGATCTTTTCTACCATGAAGAAAGTGCCAAATAAATGGTAGCTGTTATTATTGAGTATATGAAATCTTGAGATACTTAGGGGTATAGAGACTTGCTTAGTATGAGAGGGTTGTCTTTCAGTATAGCTTTTGCAGTGTGCCTGGAAGCCAAACTAGAGATTGAGTAGAGAATTTAGAAGACATTGTAAACTCTGTGAGTTTAGAGAGCTTGCATTTGAATAGACTAAAAGTTATAGAAGAAAGAGAAAGTTGAGTATGAGTAGCTTTATTTGGCTCTGCAAAGCTGGCAAGATGTCAAGGGTTTGGAGTTAATGATTAGGTGGGAGTAGATGGTTAAATTGCGGATAAAGAGTAACAGTAATAAAGCAAAGGTGAATGTTCAGGCTAGAATGATCAGTCAGTAAGGAAGGACAAGGGTTGGTATTTTGAAGAGGAGTTACAGTTTATGGTTAGAAATGAGCAGGAAGATATCATTGCTACAGGAAAGGATGCAAAAGAGTAAGGAAACTAAATCATTCTGATTAACTCAGTTATTACCATTTTTTAAAAATGGAGTCTTTATAAAAGGCGTTAAGGCTTTATATGTGAGTTCTAGGTTAAGTCTGAAAAATTGTCTTGGAATAGTGTGGGTCTTACTACTGCAGACCCAAACCAAGATATTAGCATTCCAACTGGTCTCTTTCCTGCTAGCATCTTGTACTGCATCTCCTCCCTGATTCTATAAACCATCAAAATTCTTTCTAAACTATGGTTTTTCATTATATCATTTCTCTCAGTATACTTCAGTGACTCCCATTTACCTCTGGAATAAAGTTCAGAATTCTTGGTTTGGCTTTTGACACTTTCCATGATTGGACCTCAAGACATTAGTCTGTTATAACCAAACTAGTACACTTGCTATCTCTGGAACACGCTCTTTTCTCTCCATGGATCTTTGCTCATGCTAGTGTGCAGTCTGGAATTTGTGTCTTTCCTTCTCCAGCTTTGGTTTTCTCTTTTAGCAAAGCTCATTTCTAATATTTCTTCTTCCACAAAGTCATCTCTGACCCCCAGAGTGTTTAATCTCTCCTTTCTCTGTACTTAAAGCAATGTCTGTGTATTATTTCTATCATATGTTTTTTTTTTTTTTGTTTTGTTTTGTTTTTGAGACAGAGTCTCGCTCTGTCGCCCAGGCTGGAGTGCAGTGGCGCGATCTCGGCTCACTGCAAGCTCCGCCTCCCGGGTTCACGCCATTCTCCTGCCTCAGCCTCCCGAGTAGCTGGGACTACAGGCGCCCGCTACCACGCCCGGCTAATTTTTTGTATTTTTAGTAGAGACGGGGTTTCACCGTGTTAGCCAGGATGGTCTCGATCTCCTGACCTCGTGATCCGCCCGCCTCGGCCTCCCAAAGTGCTGGGATTACAGGCGTGAGCCACCGCGCCCGGCCTATCATATGTTTTACCTTTAGATATTTGTGTCTAAATTATAATTGCATTCAGTTAATTCTAAAGGGAAAAATAAATTTTTACTTTACACAAAGGCTAGCGGCTAGCACAGTGCTTTATGGATAGTAGACATTCAGATATTTGGTAAGTATTAAGCAAAATCTACCTGGAGTGAAAGTGATTGTTGTAGGAGGAGGTAGTAGAAGTAGTTACAAGCTTTATCGTAGCAGACGTTTCTGACTCTCTTCCTGAATGTTATTTTTTCTGAACCTGGATATTTAAGTGTGAAGATTATACAAATCTGAAGTGTGGCAGTGTTCTTATATTGATGTAGAAGACTAGGTTGACTGATCCTGGACCTACAAGCTTCATTTTAACTTCCTACATTTTGGCTTTGAGGGTTAACAGGACATTTATAATCACATATCTCTTTTCAGAGTATTTTACATTTGCAAATATTATCATGAACTTTGTGTCCTTTTAACCAGAGAGGAATTGTGGAATCACAGGAATTAGATGATGTGTTAAAGAAGAGAGATAACTATCAGCTGATTTAATTTGAACCCAACAAGTATCTAATAATATGCATACTCTGTGTTCAAATAAACCTCTAAGCTAGACTTTCAAGCTTATCAAAATGCTAGACTATTTTCAGTGTTTAGAAAATACCAGCCAGGTGTGGTGGCTTATGCCTGTAATCCCAGCACTTTGGGAGGCTGAGGCAGGTGAATCACAAGGTCAGGAGATGGAGACCATCCTGGCCAACATGGTGAAACTTTGTCTCTACTAAAATACAAAAAATTAGCCAGGCGTGGTGGCACGGGCATGGTGGCCACCCGCCTGTAGTCCCAGCTACCCAGGAGGCTGAGCAGGGGAATTGCTTGAACCCGGGAGGCACAGGTTGCAGTGAGCCAAGATTGCATCACTGCATTCTAGCCTGGCAACAGAGCAAGACATCGTCTAAAAAAAAAGAAGAAGAAAAAAGAAAATACATAGTAAAATTTATTGGCTTTTTAAATGGATAATTTCATATAGTCAGTCAGTGCCGGCTTAGATCCATTTGTTAGAGAACAATGCTAATGAGACCTCTTGATACTTTGTGTTCCTCTTATGTTTTCCTAGCCTTGACGTTAGCAACTAACAATGATAACTAACATTATTGAGCTCTTATGTGCCAGGGACTATTACAATAGATTTTCAATTATTATCTCATTAAATCTTCATAGCAGCCCTATGAGCTAGATACTGTTACTACCTATATCTTAACAGATGAGGAAATTTGAAACAGAGCAGTTATTTGCCAAGAGTTTCAGAGCTATTAACAGAAGCCTAATACATGTTCTTGGACTTTGCAGAAATAATTTGTTGATCCATGCGGTTTCATTGCTACTGCGGAAAGTAAGTCTCTTGGCCATTGTGATGGGTCAAAATCTTTGTACATGAAGGGTATGACTGTTGTTCCATTGTATCCAGAGAGTGAATCTTGTGATTGAGTTGGGATTTGAGGTGGCAGTGTATACTAAGTTTGAAAAGTATATTATCATATGTTAGCTCCCTTTAGAAATTTTCCCCAAGAAGAGCTATTACATTTTTTAATATTAAAAAAGCATAAGATATGGCCATAATACAATTAGTTCCACAAGCCATACACACTTTTTTCTTATGGCTTAAAATTTTATTCATGTTTACTACTTTGCAACCCACTGATATAAATTATTTCACAGATCCTTTATTCAAATGAAATTCTCAGTGAGTCTGAGAAGATAGTCTTAAACACAAGCTAGCTGAGTTTACAATAGAGATTATACTATAAATGGTAACTTCAATGTTTATTGAAAATAAATTCCTTAAAAACAGGTCTTGTTTCATTCATTTAAAGAGATTATCAATATATGACTGTTAAATTTTTATAGTCTCCCTGTTCATTTTCTGATGAACACATGACAGAAAATTGAATGTGAGCTGGAAATACAGCAGACTATGAGAAAGCATGGGTCATGTATAATCACTTTAAATTTAGGCTGGTGTTTTGTATTCATCTATAATATGACCACCTCAGGGAGGGATGTAAGTAAACATTCTTTTTTTAGTTATACTTTAGGTGGCTTAATTATTTTAAAGAATATGTTATTCAAGAATTGTCTATTGTACTGTTTTAAAGAATAAGAATATAATTCATTACCAACTTTGAATGTCTTGGATTCTTAGTACTACCTTTTTCTTTATCATGACTAGTAGGATCACATCATAATTTGGTACTGTGTGTATAAAGATGAAGTGTGCTTACCTTTATTACCAAAATTCAGAAATGAAAATGTGAATGATAAAAGATAAGGGATGGCTATATATTTTTTTGTTTTTGTTTTTCCAAACAGAATCTCATAACTTACCAGGCTTTAGAAAAACATCTTTGCAGTATGCCATCATACCTCAGAATGTTAAGTAGATAGGAAATAAAATTTTCACTTTTTGTAAAGCAGTAGGGTATTATCCTTTCTGACAGCCTGTAAGACTGTTTTGGTTGCCAAGGGGCCAATCTTAGAAGTGGCAGTTTTTGTTTTGTGACCAACCCACAGCTTACCCTTTGTTAGTCCATATCTGTCATCTTCATTTTCTCTTTCTGCGTAAATGCTTCTTGATACAGTAAGCAGGTGTTTCAACTAGTCAGCCATCTAGTGTGATCTTTTCTGGTTTGCTACAGTCAGTAAAATAAGTAGCTCTATAAGTGTAAATAGTATTACTTGTTTTATGTAGTAAAACTCCAAGATTAAGTTAGAGATATTTTTGGCTAGACTACATTGAATGCATTGACAATGGATTTCCCAGCTCCCAGAAATTCGTTTGTGTCTGAATTACTTTATACTTGGCTTATTGTGTAGAGAAAACTTTAGAAAAAGTTCATCCATCCATGAATGTTGAATGAATGAGCAGATTAATAAATAAATAGCTCAGGGAAAGAAAATGTGTGGGCTTTTAGTCATAACTATGTTTTTTCTCTTTTGTTCCCTTCCTTATGTGCCATTTTTCAATAATGGGAGTGTGTATCTAATGATGTTGATAAACTTTTTAAAGTCATTGATGAACAGTAATCTGAAAATCAAGTTTTGATTAAGCCGTAGATTTCTTTTAGGGTCCAATATTTTCTTTTTAGAAATCCACTATGATATTTTTGTAGGGATAAAAGACAACCATGTATTCTATAGATGGAAAATGGTAGGATACAGTTTGTTGGCCGGCCAACTTCTCTGAAAATACTTTTTCCTGCATAGAAGATAATCAGTGTTGACAAGGGAGAAGCCAAGGTATAATGGCTGTTATTCATCTGTCTCATGTATTCGTCAAGTGTCATGTGTTAAATATGAACAAAAAAGACATAATCTCTTTCCTCCTGGATCTTAAAATCTAAAGTGAGAGATAATTCACCAGATAAATGCTGCGATAAGGGAAATAGAGGATTCTATGAGCTTATGACTAAGGATAGATCTGTTTCCTCAGATGTGGAACTAAGAAGTGGCAGTAGTTGAGAAGTTCATTTTGGGCCATGCGATTTGAGGTGTGGCTATTCAAGTATAGGAGGTAGGTGGTTACACATTTTTTAAGCTATTAAATAGAACTTTCACTTGAAAAGGTTTTTTTCTCTCTTTCCTCAGCATCTATCTCCCTACATACACAAAAAAATTGCATGTCACAATTCATGAACTCAGTGAGTGACTCTATTTTGAAAAATGTTAGATTATATCAACTGAAGTCTGTTAGAGGCAAATGCTTTTGGTCATTTTTTTCAGCAGGGACATTTCATATGTGTAAAATATTTAGAATCCCCATGTATTTATATATAAATGAATCTTTTACCATCTTAAATGTTTAATAAGTTATATTTTTCCTTTCTTTCAACTTAAGTATACAAGGTTATCAGCAAACATTTGTAGATGCTCTATGTGAGGTGTTTTGTTTATTAGTTTTAAGGAAGAGAAAAAAGGATGGATTGGATCAGGAAGTCAGTTATTGTTTTCTGGGTTAGTTTGAGTCCAAATCCTCAAATATGCGGCGATTTATAAGTAGCAAACTAGGAATTTAATCCACTTCAGTTTTGGATAACTTGGATAAGACACTTTCTGTCTATAGATCTGTCTATAGATAACTTGGATAAGACAAGTTATCCAAAACTGATAAATCTGAATTAGTTAACAGATGAGGCAAATTGAGATTGTAAATGCTAAAAGATTATTAGAAAACTTTATAAACTAAATAGTTCTATGCCATGTCTTTTTAGTATTTTGCTTGTACTATAATTGTAGTGAAAATAGGTCAGTATCTAATTTTTATAGTCACTAGAGCTCTCCAACTAAATTTAGCTTAGATGTTTTTCTAGCAATTATATACTTACAAAGTTTACTTTTAAAAATTGTGTAATACATGCCTTTATAGAAATTTAAGAAAACGACTTATGGATTATGTACTTCAGATCACAGCACAACTAGAAGATGTTGATACATTACATAAAAAATCAGGAAACCTATGAAGAACATCAAAAGTGGCAAGGTGTGTTCACTTGCACTTTGTGAGATTGAAACTGCTGCCATTATCTGTGCAAACTATGGTTTGAGTACTTTTAATTTAGCAAAGACTAATTATTTTTTAAAAATTTTGGGGTAAAAAAAATGGTCTTTAGCGTAGAAGAGCTTTACCCGACTTACTTTAGTTGGTTCAATTGGTTGATTTTGGTTTGCTTTTTGAAATTTTGTATTGTCTTAATTTGGGGCACATTGAACTCAATAACAGTTCAGTTGCATTATAATTCATTTGGGTAAAGTTTATTGTTGGAGGAGGGTAAGTAAATATTTAACTGAAAAAGTGAAGTAAATATTTATTTAAGGCTATAAGTTGAAATATTTGTCAGCTGAGAAATTTTCAGGTAACTTTTTTAACCTTTGAAAAAAATTTACTATAGCATGAGTATTTTTTATACTGCTATGTATAATCCATAGTCACGTTTTTTAACCTTTTTATATAAAATACTGATACAGAAAACCATACAATCATAGTAATCTTTTAAAATTGCTTTATAATTCACATAGCGTAACATTCACCCATTTAAAGTTTACAGTTCAGTAGTCTTTAGTATATTCAGACTTATGCAACGATTAACACAATTTAATTTTAGAACATTTTCATCACCTCCAAAAGATACCCTGTACTCATTAGCAGTCACTCCCCATTCACCAGTCTCCCAGCCCTTATCAACCATTAATCCATTTTCTGTCTATAGATTTGTCTAGTTTAGGTATTTTATATAAATGGAATACAGGTAACTTTTTATTAGTGATTTTTCACTTACATGTGTCTTGCATGTCTCATGAGATAGCTATGAATAAGTTAGCCTTCTTTTACAACTTAAATAACAATTCTTGTCTGACCGGGAAAAAGTATTAAGTTATTGAGAGACTGCATCCCAATTTAAACCAAGAACCAGACTCCTTACTAGTATTATAACTCAAAAGAATGTGTACCATTAGCCCTTACCTCTGGTGGTGCTTTTCACTGTGAATTGTTCAGCAGCCTCTCAACTTCCCGAAAATACCACTTAAGTCTTAAACTCAGACTTGCATGAGTTTACTGAGATATGTTTACCTTTGCAGCTGGCTTGCCTAGAGTCTACCTTCTTACTACCCTACTAAGTCCAGAATGAGGAAGAATTAAAAGCAAGAAAGGAGATACAGAAGAAGAGATTGCTCAGGCTGAGGAGGGGCAAAGTGATAAGAGCAGGATTAGAAAGAGACATTAAAAATTCAAGGATACTGAGTTTGTTGGCATCAGAATAAATCTTGGAGGCTGTTTTAAGAGGGAATAAAACCTAGAGGGAAGGAATAAAAGGCAAAGATGTTATAAAACATAGGTAAAATATTTAAAATATTTTGTCCTGAATTTTGAATTTTAGGCATATGTCAGTGAAGCACAAAGGATAGCCCCCTTTTTTGATGAGCTTTAGTATCCTTAAGATATTTTCTTTCTAGAACCTTGTGTAGGAATTTTACAGCTGACCATAATCATGTGTTCTCTTTGGTTTGTTCCAACATCTTTGGATTGGAACCAGTACAGAGTAGGAAACCCATATCACCTTGGGATTATTTTTCAGATAAATCTTCCAGAGGATTAAATGGCACCATCCCCGTCAGGTCCAAGTAGGAGGGGAAGAATCCTATTTTGGGTGCTGTCAGATTCAGTGGGCTGTTTAGTTCACTTTTTATCCAGAAAATGGAGCTAAATGAGAAATTGCAGCTTCCAAAGAAAATCATACCTTGATTTTATAGATCAAAGCCTTTCTGATTAGATCAGAATTGTTCCTGAGATTTTAGGGGCATTCAGTTAAAGTGCCCCAAGAAGAGTGATAAATCACATATAGGTGTAAAGTCAATAAAGTCCTATAGTAAGCAGACTGGAATTTAGGGGGAGGGGAATACACACTGTTAGACTGTTGGTACCTATATTTGACTACTAGGATGATTATATATTTTAAATTCTGTATTCAGTTTCTTATCAGAAATACTGCCTACAATATCTTATACTTAATTTTTTAAGGAACAGGTGATAAAGATAGGTTATATTTTCTTCAGAATAATTGATATTCATTATTTAATAGATAAAATGTGTTATCTGAATGTTTATAGTAGTAGAAACCAAGTTTACAAAATGTCTATATATAATTTGTTTTTAATAACCAAGGATTCTTTCTTTACAAAAGATTTCCTCTATATAAATCTTCCTGTTTTATAGATGATCTGTATTATAGGAGAAATGAGTATTTGTTGATTTAACTGGCTAATCTACAGGACTGAGCATTATTAGAGGAGTATTTAAACATAGAAGTCTGTGAAAATATTTTTAGTGCTGAGGGAAATTGGAGGGACTTTCTAGAACCGCAAACTAATAGAAAACCAGGCATAGTGGCTCAAGCCTGTAATCCCAGCATTTTGGGAAGCCGAGGCGGGAGGATTGCTGAAGCCCTGGAGTTTGAGACCAGCCAGGGCAACACAGTGATACCTTGTCTCTACAAAAAAATTTTTAAAATTAGCTGGACGTGGTGGCACATCTATACTCCCAGCTACTTGGGAGGCTGAGACGAGAGGATCACCTGAGCCCAGGAGCTCCACGCTATAGTTTGAGTTGTGATCGTGCCATTGCACTATAGCCTGGGTGACAGAGCAACACCCTACCTCAAACAAACAAACAACAAAAAAACCCTTCTACCTCTGAACATGTGGGGATTTAAAGATTGCTATGATTTAAATATAAATCATGAATATAGAAAATATGAGAACAGAAGAGTATTTGTTAAACAAGACTAAGCTGTGCTGCATAAAGTAAGGCACTATCATTGTGCTGGTATTTTCTGATTCTCTTAGTGCAATAAATGTTAAACTTTACTACTACCTTAGCCATGTTGCAGGGAATTGACATGAATAGTTCCTGGGTTTTGGCTGGGTGCGGTGGCTCACGCCTGTAATCCTAGCACTTTGGGAGGCTTAGGTGGGCAGATCAGGAGTTCAAGACCAGCCCGGCCAACATGGCGAAACCCTATCTCTAATAAAAAACTTAAAAATTAGCCGAACGTGGTGGTGCACGCCTGTAGTCCCATCTACTCAGGAGGCCGAGGCAGGAGAATTGCTTGAACCTGGGAGGTGGAGGTTGCAGTAAGCCAAGATGGCACCACTGCTCCTAGCCTGGGTGACAGAGGGAGACTCCGTCTCAAAAAAAAAAGTTCCTGGGCTTCAAGGGCACTCTAATGTGCACATCTTAAATTCTTAGAGCCTACTTCTATGGACGATTTATGTTACTGTTGATGGAGAATTTGATTTTCTTTTTTATCTTCCCCTTTCCCTTGGCCTTTGTAGGTTTTTTGAAGTGAACATACTTTTATGTATTTACTTATTTATTGAGCAGTTCCCAAATGGCAACTTTATTATTTTATTTCTTCAACTCAGTTGTCTAGTTTACTTCATTTGTATCTAATCTATTTAACTCATCCTTTGAGTTTTTAATATCAACATTTTAAATTTTATTTTTTTAGCTTCAAAGGTGTGCATATGCTTGTTACATGGATATAGCATGTATAATGGTGGAGGTTGGGCTTCTAGTGTACCCATCACCCAAATACTGAAGGTTGGACCCAATAGGTAGTTTTTCAACCCTCACCCTCTCCCACCCAATTGTTTTTATTTCTGAAAGTAATATTTCTTTCTTGGTCTGCCTGATAATTTTTTTATAGTTTCTTATTTTTCGTTAGTTTTCAAAAAATACCTTGTTGGGCATTTTGTCCATAGATGTACTATCTTATGTTTGCTAATTCCAATATCGGAAGTCCTTAGGAAGTTGTACTTAAGGTAGTTTGTTTCTTTCTGTATTTGGTGATTTTTTTTATGAGCTAATATTTGATTAAACCGAATAT
This sequence comes from Homo sapiens, assembly GCF_000001405.40. Classification (NCBI taxonomy): domain Eukaryota; kingdom Metazoa; phylum Chordata; class Mammalia; order Primates; family Hominidae; genus Homo; species Homo sapiens. The sequence goes on from NC_000014.9 coordinate 60,263,915, forward strand.
TTCTCCATCCTCTGTATAGTTGCCTACAATGTAATTTCTACTTTTTTTTTTTTAGCATAAAAGAGTTTCATTTTCCTTTTTATACTCAATAACTTGTTTAATTAGCCAGTATTTTTACCAGTTTCTTTACTTATTGTTCCTTGCATCTTCTCTGAGTCCACTTTTCTTCTTGCTGAAGTACATCCTTTAGTAATCCTTTTAGTAAGAGGCTGGCTTGTAAATGTCCTTAGTTTTTGTGTGAAAGTATATTTTATGCATTACTTTGTTTTTCAGCTAGATAGGGAATTCTTGGTTGATAGGTTTCCTCCCATCAGCAACCTCAGTATATTATTTCATTGTCTTGTGAAACTTGGCAAACTTGGATCTCTGAGAAGTTCGATCTCTGCCTAATTGTTATGCTTCTGTATGTAATTTTTTTTTTCTGGTAGTTTTTTAAAAGATTTCTTTTCTTTATTCTGTCACCACTACTTACTGTGTGACCTTGGGCAAGTTCAAAATGGATATAAAATTGTATCTGTGTCATAGGGTTGTAATGAGGATTAAGTTTTAAAGCACTTAGAACAGAGCCTTGCATATTATAACTGTGACATGTTAATATTTGTTTTATTTTGCCATACTTGATATTCTAAACACATTTCTATGATATGCTTAAGTATGTTGTTTTATCCATAGCTCCTCTTTGAAATACATTGTTGATGGGAAGATTCATATCTTTCTTTGTTTCTAGAAAATTCCTTAGCCTTCATATCTTTGAATATTCATTTTCCAATATTCCTTCTTAGTCTCTGTATTATGTTCTAGGTGGTTCCTCAGTATCATTTTCTAATTTACTAATTCACACTTTGACTTTGTCCAGCTAGAGTTTATGTGGCCTCAGTTCCAGTGAATTTTTTTTAAATATTCAGGCTGTCTCTCTAATAGCCACCTATTCTGGTTTGATTTCTGCCTATTTTTAATTTTTCTTCCTTTAATGACTATTGTGGCTTCCTTTTAACATTTGAAATTATTTTCAGATTGTCATTTTTTCTTCTAGAATGAATTACAGTTGTTGATTTTATTGGCTGTCCATCTTAGTTTAGTTTTCTTTGTGTGTTTTGAGTTTGCTTTTGCAGTCTCCTATTGACTGGAAGTTTTTGTTGTGTTTTCTTTTTCACTCTTCTTATCCAGTGTTTTTACATGCACCTACATCTCTGTCTAAAACCACATCTTTATATTGGAGGCTTGATTCCCTTGATTCTTGGTAACATCAGGATCAGGCTTCTCTTTCCAAGAATAAGACACAAACTAAGATCTATATTTCTTCTCACTGGACACATAATTTCATCTAAACCGTAGCCCCATGCAATGGTTAGTAGTAGCTTTTTCTGGCTCCTTTCATTGGTTGGAAGAGCCTCTCCACCCTAGGTATTGGTTTCAAGCAGTGAGCCTGAGTTCTATCCCAGCCATGCATGGGTACCTTTTTAGTCCCTGTTACTATCCCTACAGGATGTGGACTTTTGGCCATCTCTGTTACTTGAGCCCAGAAGGCTCACAGTTTTAGCTTCAAAAACTGCTTTGTATTTAAAGAGTTCAGTGGCTTGGTCTTTTTTAATATTTTGTTTGTATAGTTAATAAATATTTAACATACATTAAAATGTTTGGAACAGATACATTTCAAAAGTGAATATACAAATCCATTTGGTTGGAAGTTAGTCCATTTTGTGTTGCTATCACAGAATATCACAGACTGGGTAATTTATTAATAATAGAAGTTTATATAGCTCTTGGTTCTGAGGGTGGTAAGTCTAAGATTGAGGGGCTGCGTCTGGTGAGGGCCTTCTTGCCAGATGGAAGGCAGGAATGCAAGAGAGCACAAGTGCAAACAAGGGCAAGACGGGGCCAGACTCGATTTTACCAGGAACTCACTCCTAAGATAAGGGCATTACTCAATTCATGAGGGCAGAGCCTTCATCACCCAGTTACTTTTTATGGACTCACTGGTTATTACTGTCACAATGACAATTCAATTTCAACATGAGTTTTGGAGGTGACATTCAAATCATAGCAGAAGTCAATGTTTAAAATCAATGTATATCCTACATACCCTTCAGAAAGATACTAGTTGACTCTCCTACTTATGAGAGGTATATTTTTTTATTCCTTTGCCAATATTGGGTGTAATAATTTTTTAATCTTTGAGAAGGTAATGTATAAAAAACAAATTTGTGTTTAATAGCTAGCAGGATTGGTCATTGCTCCATATATTTATTACCCATTTATATTCTTTTATTTATTTAATTGCCTGTTCACATTCATTGCCCATTTCTTTTCCTTTAAGGTGTTCATTTTTATTGTCTTTTAAAATAGCTGTTTGTATATTGTAGTAATGTTAACTTTTGTGTATATATTGCAGATGCTTAAAAGACGTTTGCTTTTCAGGTTAATGAGCTTTATTTTATAGTGTAGGAGTTTCTTTTCTCTGGAGTCACTTTTTCTTATTCCTTTGGAATCAGTCTTTTCTTGTCATCCTTAGAAAGTCCTTTCCTACCATAAGATTACAGAAATATTTGCATACATCTACTGGTATTGTTTTATTATTAATACTTCAGACTTCAATCTTTAATCTCTTGGTATTTATTTTAAGGTGTGATGTTGAAGGGATTCAGCTACCCACCACTGGAGGGCAGGAGTGGAAAAGATCAGCTTTCAGGCACCCATTATTGAATCTCTCTGTTCCCAGAGAGCTCTTTCTGGATTCTCAGTTCTATTCCACTGATAAATTTATTCCTGCATTAGTATTGCCTCTTAAATACTATAATTTGGAATCAAGTTTAAATATCAGGTATTGCAGATTCTCATGATTTTAAGAATGTTTTGGCTATTCACATTTATTCATATATATTTTGAAATGATTTAATCAAGGTCTGGGAACAAAAAGGTCCAGTTGTGATTATATTGAATTTATAGATTAAATAAAGGGAGGATAACCATCTTCACAATTTTGAATCTTCCTATCCAAGAAAAAGAAGTGTGTGTTATTCTGAAGCCCTCTTCTTAAAAAGGTTCTATTTCTTGTTATTTATTTAGATATACTTTTATTTCTGTTTTAACTTTCTAAGTGATTACTGTTAATCATTTTCATATATGGTTTTCTATAGTCAAATAATCTTATTGAGTATTTTTTTCCCTATCATTTCAGGTTTTGAGTTTGCCATCATGTCATTAACTGCAAATAGTTGATCTCCTTATAATTTTATGCCTCTTTTTGTTAGCCTTGGCTTATCTCAATAACCATTATTTCTACACATTGCTGAGTTACAGGGATAAGAGTTGGTGTCCTTGTTCTTTTTTCTTTCCTGGGAATTGTTCTAGTACTGAGATTTCCTCTTTGGCTTGAAGTAAGTATTATATTAAGGAATAAATTTTATCAAATCCCTTTCAGAATATGATGAGATGATCATATGGATTGTTTTTAACTTTTAAAAAGATGACTTACATTAGTCAGCTGCCTAATGTTGGCTCATTGTTACGTTCCTAAAATGATCCCTATTTGGTGATTTGTAATATATATTTTACTGACTTTTTGGCATCTGTATTAATAAGTATGTTTGGACTATAGTTTTATTTTTTTAGTGCTGTCTTTGTCAAATTTTATAGAAGGATTATGATAGGTTTGTAAAAAGAATTGGAAATTTTTTTCCTGTAATCTATAGATAACTTAGGTAATTTGAGAGTTACATGTTTCCTTAGGGCTTGAAGGATCTTGTTTTGAAATAGTCTTGCCTGATGCACTTTTATTTTTAATAGCTTATTTTGAGAACAATCCAAATTTAAAATTTGCAAAAATAATACAGTGAACTTCCATATTTATTTAAATGGCCAATTGTTAACATTTTTCCACATTAGTTTTACAGACTTTTTTCCCTGTGTATGTGCATATATGTATTCATATTCTCTTGGCATGCACACACACATTTTGTTATTTTTTAGTTTTGCTGAACCATTTAAGACTCAGTATGGACATCATGAACCTTTACTCTTAAATATTTAAATGTGTGTCCCCTAAGAACAAGGACTATCACTTTCTCTTACATAACCATAGTTCAATTATCAAATTTAGGAAATTTAACATTCATACAATACTATTATCTAATATACAATCCATAGTCAGATTTTATCAGTTGTCCCAGTAATGTCCTTTATAACAATCTTCCCCTCCCCATTCCTTCACCCTTTGCCTTCATCCAAGCCAGTCCATAATCACATATTACAGTTTGTTGTGACCTCCTTGGTCTCCTTTAACCTGGAGTGGTTCTTTAGTCTTTTTGCATTTTGTTTTTCATGAGCTCTGAAGTTTTTTGAGGGATAGTTCTTTAATAACTTTCTCATATTGTTCCAGGTTTCTGGTCTTCACTCTAGCACTAATTGAAAAAAAAAAAATTTGTTTTCCGAGAACTGTTACTTTCCTCCATATTTTCAAATTTATTAACAGAGAATTGTACAGAGTGATTTATTTTACAACAATAAAATTCTATTTGTGAGGTGAGTATAGCCTGTTTGGCTTCTAATTTTAAATAATTTTTTTAGTTAGACTATTTAGTGGCTTACCTATTTTATTTTTTTCACATATAACATGTACTATAATTTTACGTAATATATTCCTTCAGCTTTTATTTTATTTTGTATGTGTGTGTGGTTCATTTTTCTTTTTAGGTTGAATATTTAGTATACTGATTTTCTTTAGTATACTGGTTTTTTTAACTAAGTGTGAATTTTTTTTTTTCTATTTTCAACACACTATTGCTGGCTTAAAGGTGAGGTTTCTTAATAAGGTTTGGTCACATCTCAGAATTTGATAGGAGATTTTTCTCATTATTGTTTCTAAATATTCTATAATTGTAGAAATATGTAAACTCAATGCAAAAAACTGGTGTAGGAGCTTACTTTTTAAGCAATTTCCACGTTTGAGGTTTTCTTCTTTCTTTACACATTATCAATATCTACTATTAATGTATAATTCAGATGTGTCATTTCATTATTTCATTTTCTTTTTTTTTTTTTTGGTCTGTGGGGTAGGATGGGGGAGTGTGTTAGAAATCTATAAGCTTTTCTTTCCAACATATAATCCAATAATTATTTGATTTTTCAATTAATGTTTTAAGTGTGTTTGAACAGAATATATAGTCTTGAAATTTTGGACCACATCTTTTACCAATTTAAAACATGGCTCTTATTCTGTTTATTGCTTTATTCCTTGTGATTTACTTTGTCTGAAATTGAAATTGCAATTCTTGGTATCTTTTTTGCCTAGTGTATTTCGACCACAACAAAGTACTTTTATACTGACATCTTTATTTTTGAGTTTCTTGGTTTTGATTAGTCTCTTGATTGCATGAATCTATCTTTAAATAGTTTATTTTTTCAGAAATGAAACATGGATAACACTACTTTAGTGCTGGCATATTTGATCATGTCTTCTTCATGTCTTCTTATTGCGTTTACATATAAATGACAACCTTGCTGGTCGTAGTATTCTTGGAATAAAACCTCTTTATCCTCAACGTTTATAGGCATTACTTCGTTGCCTATCATCTGATGTTGCAAAGAAGTCTGGGACCAGCCTGATTTCTTTTTTCTTTTTCTTTTTTGGCATGTTTATTTTATTTTTTTTATTTGAGACAGTCTTGCTCTGTCACCCAGGCTGGAGTGCAATGGTGCGATCTAGGCTCACTGCAGCCTCCGCCTCCTGGGTTCAAGTGATTCTCCTACCTCAACCTCCCGAGTAGCTGGGATTACAGGCGTGCGTTATTATGCCCGGCTAATTTTTATATTTTTAGTAGAGATGGGGTTTTGTCATGTTGGCCAGGCTGATCTCAAACTCCTGACCTCAGGTGATCCTCCTGCCTTGGCCTCCCAAAGTGCTGGGATTATAGGCGTGAGCCATCGTGCCCAGCCGATGGCATGTTTATTTTGTCTGAATTGTATTCTTAAAATTTGTAATCTTCAAATTATGCTTCGGTATTGGTCAGTTTCTACTAAATGTATCTAGTACTTGATAAACGCCATTCAATCACCAAGTTCAGTCTTTAGTTTATGATTTATTTCTTCTGCCTTTGAAATTTAATTTTTCTTCCATTATTTGGTTTTCTTATTTACAATGTGCTAATTGAGCTGTTGGATCTGCATTGTTTGTATCTTTTCTCAAGTCTACTTGTTTTTGTTTCTTTATGCTTACTTGCATACTGGATGATTTTTGTCCTGTTCGTTTTTACCCCTTGCAGATTGTTTGCTGTAGTGTCTTCATTCCTCATTATTGCTTTTCATGACATTTAAAATATTGCAATGATATTTTTTCTCTGAAATATCTTTTTTTAAAAGCTCTGTTGATACTTTTTATATTCTGGTTTCTTTTCATCCCTGTTTCACAAATTAGGTTTTTTAAAATTTTCTTATATGTAAGTTGTCACCTAGTTTTCTAAGGTAAATCTTTTAGACTGTGACATCATGTTCTTGAGTACTTTTTTAGTTACTTTTTTATTTCAGAATTTTTGTATGGGTTCTATAAATTTTTTTCTGCTTTTTTACTTAAAGGGTGGCAGTTTTCTCTGTTGTTTGCCCAAAAATAACTAGCTACTCCTTGCCTGTTCTGTCATTATACTAGGATACCATTACCTCTTTCCCCCTTGGAATTTAACAGGCTGAATTATATTAAATTATTTTAGTTATCATATTTCATTATTTTTGAGAGAAATGATAGGGATTTTGTCCTATTAACCTGTTACAGGTAAGAAACTTTGTCTTTCTTGATTTTTCTCGATGCTTGTTGAAATTACTGATTATTTTAGTTATCATATTTCATTATTTTTGAGAGAAATGATAGGGATTTTGTCCTATTAACCTGTTACAGGTAAGAAACTTTGTCTTTCTTGATTTGTCTCTTGATGCTTGTTGAAATTACTGCACATTTTCATCTTTACAAGTTTGGCAGATTTTCTTTCCCAACAGAAGAACTTGACTATTGGGCATTCTGCTAATTTCCATGGCTGCTATAACAAATTATCACGAACTTGGTGGCTTAAAACAATACAGATTTATTCTCACAGTTCTGGAGGCCACAAGTTCAATATCATTTTCACGGGGACAAAATCACGGTGTCACCAAGAATGTGCTCACTCCCGAGGCTTTAAGGAGGAATCTGTTTCTTGCTTTTTTTCACCTTCCAGTGGCTGTCAGCCTCATCACTTGCCTGGTAGCCACATCACTCGAATCTTTAAGACCAGCGTCTTCAAATCTGTGTCTGCTCTGTCTTCACATCACCTTCTCTGTGTGTGTCAGATCTTCCCCTGACTCTCTATTCTAAGGACATGTGGGTTCACTTAGAGGTCTCTGGATAATCCAGGATCCTCTCTCCATCTCAAGATTCTTAATCACATCTGCAAAGACCTTTTTTTCCAAATAAGGTAACATTTATAGGATTAGGACTGGTATCTTTGGGAGTCATTATTCAGCCTACTAGGTATCATTTTGTTTTGCTACTTTAGAGTGAGGCAGACATATTAGTCAAAAATTGGATTAGAGTAAAGCCTCATAGATTGTGCTGTTTGTTAGAATCACAGATACTGTCCTCTTTACCGAATGATGCAAACTCTGATGCCATGGTGGAAAAGTATATGAATTGAATTGGATGTGGTCAATAAGGATTGCTAGGGACTCGAGAATGCATGTTGTTCTAGGGAGAGGAAATACGTGAAGGTCAAATTCAGGTTATCAGGTTATCAGTTTGTAACCTAGTTTGTAGCTGCTTTTTTCTTTTCATTTCTTACAAGCTGGTCTTGCTGTAGTAAAATAATTTTGTGTGTCTCTTATAATCTTGATATTGAGAATAAGAGGTTTTTTTTTTAATGGGAATTCCATCCACATGATTTTAAAGTATTACTTTACTAATGATATTTACCTAGGTATTCCTAGAACTTTAGTCTTCTCATGTAACATTTTATACATTTCTCAGAACAAGGTAATTGACAAATAATCAAGGTTGCTTATTTATTGATGAGGAAAGTTAGACATTAAGCCAAAGGACTTGTCCAGTATCGCATATTGGATAGACCTATAATTTTTAACTTTAATCTTGTGGTGACAGGTATTTCCATTTTTTTTTTTTTTTGATGTTTCATATGTGCTTTGATGTTGATGTGTCATGTGACATGAAGTGTCTCCCTATTGTTGGATAATTGGGCAAGTCTAAGTTCTTTTTACTTTATATTCCTGATTTTGTTTTTCTAGATGTGTTATTTTTACAGATTCAGGTTACTTCTTTTTTTAAATCATGTTATTAGAGTTAAACTAATGAAAAATCATATAGAGATGAACTTGGTTTTGAAATATAATGAGTAGATACTTGCTTGGCTGGAATTTTTTCTCACAAGTTTTTTATAAAGATGGTATGAGTGTATACTTTGTATCCAGGAATGTGTGTACACTAGGGGGAGTGTTGGGGGGATGAGGGTGGAAGACATTTTAAGACACACAGGAGGCTGGTGTGGTGGCTCATGCCTGTAATTTCAGCACTTTGAGAGGCCAAGGCAGGGGAATCACTTGAGGTCAGGAGTTTGAGACCAGCGTAGCCAACATGATGAATCCCCATCTCTACTAAAAATAACAAAAAATTAACTGGGCGTGGTGGCACATGCCTGTAATCCCAGGTACTTGGGAGGCTGAGGCACAGAATCACTTGAAGCCGGGAGCCAAGATCATGCCGCCACATCCCAGCCTGGGCGACAGAGTGAGACTCTGTCTCAAAAAAAAAAAAAAAAAAAAAAAAAGACACAGAAGACCCTAAGTGTACACTCAGATGCTCTTTATATCCATATCCATTATCAGTTTGGTGATACGTTATTCTAGTTTCATGAACCTTTACTCTTAGAACTTGGTTTATTCTCTAATATCTTTTGGATTCAGTTTTGCAGTTGAGATGGCTAATATCAATTTGATACTCTTTCCTTTTATGATTGCTCATGTTTTTGTCTAGAACCTTGCATTATAGTATTTTTTTTTCTTTTCCTTGCATTTCTATAGTTGTGAACAACTAGGAGTGGGTTTTTAGCAATTAATTCAGTGAGCTTGTTAATTTTGAAAAGGCTTCAACTGAGGAACACTTTCTTCTCATTTCTTTGATGATAGCTTCTCTGTTTCTCCTTCAGAAAGTCTTGTTTTTTATATGCATATTTACTTTTTGGGTGCACTCTCCTTGTTAATGAGTTATTTGCATCTGATTTTGAGTTTATTCAGCAAATATTTATTAATGATTTACTGTATACTCTGTGCTTGGGGAGTTGACCTAGGGAACTCAAAGGAGGCTCCTTTGAAGAATTGATGCTTGAGCTGAGATCTCAGGAATGAGTAGGAATTATCTAAGACATGAGAGAACAGCTGTTAAGGTAGGGAAAGTAGCATTTGTTTATATATTTGGAGGAAGGAAGTATGATGAGTACTAGGTACTGTAAGAAAACCCTTGTGGTTGGAGTAGAGAATGTAGGAGAAGGGACAGTATGAAGTGAGATGCGGCTAGAGAAGGTACGTAGGGGCTTGACTTCCCAGGGCCTTCATGTGAGCCATATTAAGCAGTTATTTATCCACCTCCTACCCCCAGCAGTGGAAAGCCATTGAGAAACTTTTAGTACAGAAGTGATATGGTGAAATTTGTATTTTGAAAGATTTACTTAGGCTGCAGTTTGGAGAATGAATTAGAGGGATGCCAGGATCCACGTGAAGAGACTAAAGACGCTAGTATTCTGCAGTGAGAATGATGGTAACTTGAGACCAGGGCATTGGTAGAAAAAAGTGGACAGATTTGAGAATGCTTAGGAAGCATATAACCCATGGGATTTGATGATGGACTGATGGGAGATGAGGTAGAGAGAGGTATCAAAGATATCCTTAGTTTCTGTTTCTTTTTCTGAGTTGGGGTCTTGCTATATTGCCTAGGCTGGTCTTGAACTCCTGGATTCAAGCAATCTTACCGCCCCAGCCTCCAAGCAGTTGGGACTACAAGTATGCAACACCGCACCCAGTGAATGTTCTTGGTTTGTATTCACCTTGGTGGGTGATGGTGCCATTCACTGGTAAAAGCTGCAGATATGTGAGGGTGCTCAGGGAGGCAGCATAGAATGGGAAAAGGGCCTACATGTAACCCTTGAGGAATGCCAATGTTTAATGGCTTGGGAGATGAAAATGAGCCTGCAAAGGAGACGACGGAAAAGCTTAGGGGTAGGAAGAAAGCTGGGAGTGTGTGTGTAGCATCTTGAAAGGCCAATGGGAAGAGTGTTTCTGGAGGGAGTGTTATAGTTGAATGCTTCTGTGAGCAGTCAATTAGAGGAGGGCTAAAAATGTCCCTTAGATTAAGTGACTTGGAGGAACTTGATTTAGTAAAATGGCCAGACAGCCTTTTGGAGCATCAACATTTTTTTTAAGAAGTTTAACTGTAAAGAGAAGAGAGGCACATGGGTAGCTCGAGGGGAATAAGTCACATGAAAAGTTATTTTTAATGGGTAACATGGGTGACACTTGTGGCTTTAAAAGTCACACTCCAACTGAGAAATGTTGATAAAAAGGAGAAAAAGGAAAATAGTGTAACATTCCTGAAAAAACTGTCATTTAAGACTCCTTTGAAACATGGGCACCAAAGCTAGTCTAGTAGAGGATTTATTATCAGTGAGAGGACAGAGTCCTATTACAGCAGAAAAGTAGGAGGGGAGGGTTATGAAAGAATTCATTGAAATGGTTCACTCATTTATTGATCTTTTTTTTCTGTAGTATCCAATCTGCCATTCATTGTCTCTATTGCAATTTTCAGTTCAGTAAATTGCTTCTCATTTCCATGAAACTATTTTCAGAGTACCTCTTTTTTAATTGACAGTCTGCAATTGTTTTATTCATTCAATGTCATTTCATATCTTGGTTAGTTTCTAATTTTGAGCTAATGAATACTGAGTCTCCCTCTTTTCAACTTCTGAATTAAAAAAAAAGTCATCTTATTTTTCTCTGTTCATTTTTACACTTTATTTAGCCTAAGTATCTGAAATTGGCTTTGCTAGAAATTACAATTAGTTCACTGTTGTTTTCTTTCAGTCCCAGACAAAAAAGAAAAATTTTAGATTTCTTTCTTTTCTCTTCTTCCTTTTTTTTTTTTTTAAGGTCATTTATCTTTGGCAGTTTTAGAGATTTAGAAAAGAAAATATATAGACTTGTAGGCAGAAGAAGATATGGCACTGAGGGAAGTTTTAGTTTTGTTCTGTGACAGTCTTCCTTATCTTGTATGTTGTCTTTAAAAAGCCTACACATTTAGATTTTCATTACCTCATTTGCAAGGATACAGGATAGCACATGTAGGAGAATTGGAGTGTAAGTCCAGAAACCTAAGTCTTATTCTTAGCCTTACTGATGAACCAGCTTTGTAACCTTGGGCAAGTTATTCTGTTTCTCTGCACCTTCTCATTTGTAAAATAGGTTTACACAAATCATTTCTGCATTTTGGCTCTGATTCATTATGCAAGTTATCAAAATCAAATTTGTAACTATAAATGAGTAATATTTTATTATTTTTATTTTTTTAGAGACAGAGTCTTACTCTATTGCCCAGGCTGGAGTGCAGTGGCACCATTATAGGTCACTGCAGCTTCAAATTCGTGGGCCCAAGCAGTCCTCCTTCCTCAGCCTCCTGAGTAGCTAGGACTACAGGCATGCACCACTATGCCCCGCTAATCATTTTTACAGAGTCACGCTATTTTGCCCAGGCTGGTCTTGAACTGCCCTCAAGTGGTCCTCCCACCTCAGTCTCCCAAAGCACTGGGATTACAGGCATGTGCCACCATGTGTGGCTCTAATCATTTTTAAAGCAACAATCAGTGGGAAATTTCAGCTCCAAATGGGAGAAAAATTTCCAAAGATTAGCCTTTTTTTTTTTTTTTTTTTTACAGATTTGCTACAGTTTTGTTAATGTGCTTATTTCTCATTACCATAGATAACTTTGAGATGGCTGCCTTGGATTACAAACTAGAATTTATTACTATTTCACATAGCTTGGGAAATTAAGTGTAGTTTGTGTAGCCTAAATTATCCTTTATAGAGATGTAGCTGCAAGGGTTAGCATTTCTTCTTTGAACCCCAGGTATGCAGTATATTGCTTAATACTCTATTGTTCCATAAATATGCATTCCAGAAGTCAGCTGACCATTTGTCCTTATCTTTGAGGACAAAGCCCGTACATATGTAAGCATTAGTGAGCAATGTAGAATATAAAGATTTGGTAGCAGTAGAGAGTTTACGCTCTACATCCCACTGCAAGTAATTTGAATATTGCCATATTATCCACTGTGACCTGTGCTGTTTGTTAACGTTCCTTTTCCCCACCTTCCCCGAGGAGCTTGTAGTCTCTCACTATATATTTTTTTCTCTTTGGATTTCCCTTCAGCCTTTAGATTTCTTATCTCTAATGCAAGTCTACTCTAGATTTTTCTCCCAAATGTTTAAAACCAAACCTATTATCTCAGTGGTCATCAAAGGTCCTCTAGTTACCAGTATCCACCCTTCTTGGAATGCCTGTTTAGCAATGTTCTTTTGTTATATGAGTAAGAATAACTCTGGTATTTGCTAAGAGAATATAATTTTCTCCACATTGTATGTATCTATGTCCTTTGTTTATAAAGCCTGGGGGGCGTTCCCTATTAGGTTAAGTGTCCCTACGTAAATAGAAAAATATGTAGGGTTTTATTACTCAACTTTTTAAGGTTTCTGCTCAAATTGTCAGTTGAATAACTCTTGTTACTTTGGGGCTAACATGTTGCATAGGGATTTTAACAATAAAATATATAGAGCATTTTAAAAATTATTCACTATAATTCTGAGTGGATTAAACCAAATGACCGGGTTCAAGACTCTACTATGAGTTCACCTTTGCTTAATAAAAGGCAAGACTGAACATTAATTAATGACTTCTTGGCCCAGCCTTAGAATTTTTCAGTTTAGGGATTAGTTTGGTTTTTAAAAGGTACAAAATGTTCATGAAATTTTCTGATTATATCAAATATTAATTCAGTCTTGTTTTTTGTCATAGTACTTTGTTTTGAAAAGTTCAGATCAACTGATAATACTAGTGCTGTGATGAGACTCAGCTTGTACTCAAGAACAGATTTATGACTAGGTGAGAACTAAAATTTCTCTCAGAAACTAACTAAAAACTTTCATGGACAAATTGAATCCCCTTGGGATTTACTATTTATGGATATACGCCAATTTAATTATTGGACTAAATAAAATACTCTTTATTAGTCCACTTATGGAAGATGACTGTGTAAACATAGTATTTGCAAGTAAGTACTTTTTGGTATTATATTTATATAATCAGCTCTTGTATCCATGTAGCTTATAGTTGGCTGCTTCACCAGGACTCTACAAATTGCTCAGAACCCAAGGAGGTAAGATTTTTATATTGCCTGTTTTCAGTATGTAAAAGTCCAGCCACAAAACTATTAATTTACCCTTGACTATATTTTTACAGTTGCTGTGGAGCTGAACCTAAAATTTTGTTAGATGGTTACTTGGTTTGTTACATTTTTATATACTAATTTATATACTATAATAATATACTGTATATATTTTTTAAAGTCTGGGGTTTGTTTTTAGAAAGTATATTCTATCTTCAAAGAATTATTTGGTAGTTTCATGTGTGTATCTGGAAAATAACTACTGTACTTCTTTATAAAAGTGAGAGTGAGGTCCCTGCTAGTTGAGGCTGGAATCTAGACGTGGCTGTTTATGTAGGAGTTAGTAATTAAACAGTGCCTGTTTGCTGACTGCCTCATTTTTGCCAGGCTCTGTATGGGTGCCTTGCAAGGCATTGCCTCATTTAAACCTTGCAGCAGCATTCAGAGGAAAGTATTAATATGCCCACTGTACAGATGAGGAAGTTGAGGAATGCTTTATTAGTAGGTGTGAAGTGTCTTAAGCATAATACCTCCCTCCTCAACCTTGCTCCCTCATCCTAGTTAAGGGAATTGAGACACAGAGATAAGGCAATTTGCTATTGACCTTCAGCAGATGACTTAACCTCACCGTGGCTTAGTTTCTTCATGAGTAAAACAGGGTACCTATCTTTTAGGATTGGTGTGAAGATTAAAGAAGTTAATACATATACAAAACTTTAGAACAGTGCTTGGCTAGTAGTAATCTCTCCATAAATGTTAGATGTTATTATTAAGCCTGTGACTACCTGTTATCTCATGTAGTTGTTCAGAGATAAAAATGTAGGCTATAGGAAAGAATAAGGAGGAAAGCCAGGCTCCTAATCTGTCTAAGATAGAAGTGAATCTTAGTTAAGTTTTAAGATAATCCTATGTGCTTTTAAAAGATTTCATGGTTTGCGGTTTGCTTTTCTTTGGCTCCCAGTTTCTTTTTTTTTTTTTTTGACTTCTTAGTACAGGTAACTTTTGAAGGAATTCAGCTTACCTTAGATGAACCAAAGGAAAGCTAAAAGCCGAGATAATTTAGAAAAACTAAAGCAGAGATTATGTTCCTAAATTCCCTCTTTCTGCTTCAAAGTCCAGGAAACACCACCTGCAGATACAGTTGTATCCCATTGTTAGACCCTTTCCTGAAGCCATCCTCTTTTCTTTGTCTTCCCAGAGAGAAACTAGTCATTCGACAAAGATTGAACTTCTTCTGTGTGTTAGGCTGTGCTCCAAGTGCTGGGAAGACACCAGTGAATAAAACAAAAAGTCCCTGCTCTCATGGAGTTTACAGCCACTATTCTAAAGTTTGTCTGTATTCTGCCTGTCCTTGTTTTTATACTTTTAGCAAATATGTGTATAGAATTGTTTTGCAGCCTTGTTCAGCATATTGTCTTCTTTTGTTTTTTAGGAATATCTGTTTATGTAATTAGATCTGTTTTTGATAAATTGTATTCTGTTATTTATCCTTCCTACCTTCTAATGAGCAGTTAGGTTATTTCCAACATTGACTATTATGGTTCTCCAAAAAGATCATTGAATATGTCACCTTGGATGGATGGATGGGAGAGTTTCTTCAAGACAGCATGTTTCAGACTTTTTGTTGTGACCACAGTAAGAATTATGTGCACCTCAGCTTAGTAAATACAAATATACACTTGGGACAAAAACTTCAAGAAACAGTATTTACTTACTTTTATCACCTGGGATGCACTCTATTTTGTTCTGTTTTGTTTTCTTGAGACGTTGTTTCGCTCTTGCTGCCCGGGCTAGAGTGCAATGGCATGATCTTGGCTCACTGCAACCTCCACCTCCCAGGTTCAAACAATTCTCCTGCCTCAGCCTCCTGAGTAGTTGGGATTACAGGCGCCAGCCACCACACCCGGCTAATTTTTTGTATTAATAGAGACAGGGTTTCACCATGTTGGCCAGTCTGGTCTCGAACTCCTGACCTCAATTAATCCACCCACCTCAGCCTCCCAAAGTGCTGAGATTACAGGCGTGAGCCACTGCGCTCGGCCTATTTTATCTTTTTCAAATGCAGTTTACACACAACCCAGCTGATTGGGTTGTGTGTAACCCATACTGATTAAACTGATTTATCACCCGTGTTCATTATTTTTAAAACGTTGTTTTGAGATCTATAATTAGAAGTGGAATTGCTGAGTAGTTGCTTAAGTGTATCTTCAACTTCTTCAACTAGCTGTTGCCAGTTGCAATTCAGAGTGGTTGAACCAATTTAAACTCCTATCGGCACTCTAGGGGAGTTCCTGTTTCTCCACATTCTGACCAACTCTTGATATTGCCAGATGGATGAGAAATGGCATTTGTTTTAAATGTGCCTTCCCCTATTTACTAATGAAGTGTTTAAAGTGTCTTTTAAAATATATCACATAGAAGTTTAATTTAATGGTAATCAGAGCTGGCGGCAAGGAGGAAATATTATTGTGATTGACTGCCTCCTCTGGCAGAAAAAATGGTGTAAAAATTATATAATAATATCTATATTATATTGAGTATTTATAATTTGCTAGACACTATACTTTGTGCACTGTATACATTATTTTATTTAATCGTCATAAGAATCTTGTAAGGTTAGTGCCTTCTTATATACTTTTTTTTTTGAGACGGAGTCTCGCTCTATCGCCCAGGCTGGAGTGCAGTGATGTGATCTCAGCTTGGCTCAGTGCAACCTCTGCCTCCAGGTTCAAGCCATTCTTCTGCCTCAGCCTCCCAAGTAGCCGGGATTACGGGCATGCGCCACCATGCCTGGCTAATTTTTGTATTTTTAGTAGAGACGGGGTTTCACCATATTGGCCAGGCTGGTCTAGAACTCCTGACCTCATGATCCACCCACCTCGGCCTCCTAAAGTGCTGGGATTACAGGCGTGAGCCACCACACCTGGCTGCCTTCTTATATGCTTATACAGGAACAGATGGAGAAAGAGATTCGGAAAGGTTCAGTAGTCACACTATTACTAAGTAGTAGAGCCAGAATTTAAACCCACATTGGTCTAATTTCATAACTTATTTTCTTTAGTACTTCATGCTATTGGTGAATTCGTAGAGGAAGGAAGTTTGTCATTACTATTCTTTTCTGTTGGTTTGTCTCTTAAATGTGTTTAATTTTTTGAGTTTCACTCACGTCTCTTTTTTTCTTTCCTTTTCTCAAGGTAGTGGAGTCTTTCCTCTGTAAAACTTCACCTTGTTGTTTCTAGTCTAGGATAGTGGTCTTGTAACCTAGGATAGTGGTCTTGGTTACTGCAATTTTGGTTGATTATTTCTTGTTGGCCCTTAATGTGCCCCCATCTTCTGCCTTAGGCATTCCATCTAATCTTTTCCAGCAGTTTGCAACCTTACTGTGCCTCAGAATCACATATGAAAATTTAAAAATCATAGATACCTAGGTTCCAACCCTACCCTGGAAATTCTGATTTGGAAATATTTATTTTTCAAAAAGTCCACAGATAATTCTGTTGCACAGCCATGGTAGAGACCCATTTTCTTAGGGGTTAATGATGCTTTAGAGTCACGCAGACTTGAATCAGAGCCCTGATTCCTTTAAACTTATTAGTTGAGTGATCTTGGCCAAGTTCTTTAATCTTGGCTAAGGTTCTTCATCTATAAATTGGAGATAATATTATTATCTACCTTAGAGAGTTGTTGAAGAGATTAAATGAAGTAATGCTTGTAAAACACTTACCAGAGGGACTTAGAATACTTCTTAAACATTGCCTGCTAATAAGGTGTCATTATTACGTTATCCTTTATCCAATCAAAATACTCACCTTTGCAGTGTGTATCAACTTGATGTCAGAAAAATAATCTGATAAATATCACCATAAGGGATGGATGATAGCTAGTTTTCATTACTTACCTTTCGTTAGTTGAACTGTACTAGGAGGCAGAGGAGTAGGCAGATGGTTTTATCACGCCAATCAGCCAGTCTTTTCTGCCTATGTATCAGTTTGGACCTATAAGGAAAATGAAGGGGAAAACAAATGTTTTTCTTTCCTTCCTAGGAGGATTTTCTTCTTGCCCTTTTTCTCCCAGTTTCCTCTCTGAGCTGAGTATCATTAGCATCATCAATACCCTAGTTTCAGAGCTGCGTAGTGATTTACCTAGATACTTTTCTCCACCATTATTCCCTACTACCTAACTCCTCTTCACCTCCATTAAATCTCTGTTCATCATGCTATCCTTCTTTTGGATTGCCTTTAGTTCAGTTGTGACTTACTTGATTACTTGAACCCAGGTGTCTACATTTCTAAGCTATTGTTCAAGTAAGGGCCAAGGTAAATTCTAACCAGCTGTCTCTTTGCCTTGTGTGGGCCCATTCTAGACCAGCGGGTGTTAACTTTTGAGTATTGGAAAAGGATTAGATTAGCTGAGCCTTCAGGCTTGTCAGCAGGGCTGTCACTAGACCCTTTGATCTTCTTTATATACCTAATGGTCATAGAGTATAATAATAATGGTACATGTTATTACTATATGATTAATAGATTACTAGTAGTAATTTTGTTATATATGTATACAGTACACTTCGTTATGTATATATATAATTGCTTGCAACTTGAAATTTGAGGCTACAACATTTACAGTAATTTAATAACTTAACTGACTTTATCAAAAACTGAAAAACCTCATGGAAAAGGTAGAATGTAAGGTAGACTTAAAAGGATAGGTATACTTTTTTCTATAAATAGGATGAGGCAAGAGTTTCCAGTTAAGGAAACTGACATGAGCAAAGGCTTGAAGGAGCATGCAAATTTGGAGCATTGTGAGTAGATTATTTTTTAGTTTTTCAGAGTTCATGCAGTGGGAATAAAACTAGGGAGTTTGGAATCAAGCTTGAAAATTCCTGAATGTTCAACCAAGATATATTTGAGTTAGTAGATTTTTTGGGTATGTCATGAATTCGTTTGGCTTTTCTTAATTGATATACATACAACTTAGTCCTGAGCTTACACATGTTCATTGTATCATTAAACATTTAGCCTGGTTGGTTTAAGTTGATGGCCACTGCCAGGTCTCCTTTCTGCCTTCTCCCCTTTATCCCAATGCTTTAGTTTTTTTCTGCCTTTTTGTCTGTTGTGATCTGTGCTTCATCAGGCTTTCCCCCAGTTCCTCCTTGTTAATCTCCAGATTCCAAGTCAGCAACACAATGAATGTCTGCTTATCGCGAGTTGTGAATTCCCGCATATCTCTTTCACTTATTAAAAAGATTGTTTGGTACATATTTTGTTTATAAGACAGTTATTGACTTTCCTGTTTCTCTTCCTTTGCAGACCTAGAGGATCAAGACATAATGGGAGCATTTTTAGACAAGCCAAAGATGGAAAAGCATAATGCCCAGGGGCAGGGTAATGGGTTGCGATATGGGCTAAGCAGCATGCAAGGCTGGCGTGTTGAAATGGAGGATGCACATACGGCTGTGATCGGTTTGCCAAGTGGACTTGAATCGTGGTCATTCTTTGCTGTGTATGATGGGCATGCTGGTTCTCAGGTTGCCAAATACTGCTGTGAGCATTTGTTAGATCACATCACCAATAACCAGGATTTTAAAGGGTCTGCAGGAGCACCTTCTGTGGAAAATGTAAAGAATGGAATCAGAACAGGTTTTCTGGAGATTGATGAACACATGAGAGTTATGTCAGAGAAGAAACATGGTGCAGATAGAAGTGGGTCAACAGCTGTAGGTGTCTTAATTTCTCCCCAACATACTTATTTCATTAACTGTGGAGACTCAAGAGGTTTACTTTGTAGGAACAGGAAAGTTCATTTCTTCACACAAGATCACAAACCAAGTAATCCGCTGGAGAAAGAACGAATTCAGAATGCAGGTGGCTCTGTAATGATTCAGCGTGTGAATGGCTCTCTGGCTGTATCGAGGGCCCTTGGGGATTTTGATTACAAATGTGTCCATGGAAAAGGTCCTACTGAGCAGCTTGTCTCACCAGAGCCTGAAGTCCATGATATTGAAAGATCTGAAGAAGATGATCAGTTCATTATCCTTGCATGTGATGGTATCTGGGATGTTATGGGAAATGAAGAGCTCTGTGATTTTGTAAGATCCAGACTTGAAGTCACTGATGACCTTGAGAAAGTTTGCAATGAAGTAGTCGACACCTGTTTGTATAAGGTAGCTAGACTTTTTTTAAAAACATAAAATGATTTTATGCCATATTAATCACTACTCTAGTATTTAATCATCTTAGAATCTGTAATTCTGAAACCAGTTTTTGGCACAACTGTAGGATACTGTTCACCAATTATGAAAATATATCATAGGACCACTATGTAGAAATAAATTACCCAATTACCATCTCTGCAAGAGTTATAAGCTGAATGTTTAGTCTTACTACTTGAGCTTTGTAATAATGTGGAAGATTATCAAAGGTAAAAAGATTTTATCAGAGTGCATGTTTTGAAAGAAAGAGGGTGGGGAGGGTTAGGCCTCAGTGTCTATAAATGAAAAGCATTTTAGAGTTTTAATATTTGACCATGTGATATCTCAGTACATTTATGATATCCTAATCCTTTGAAACTAAGGTTTAATGGTCTGTAGCACTTGAAAGAGGAATGTAGTGATCATTAGACGTGATGTAATAGAAATAGCCTTGTACATGGAGTCAGAAGAACTTGCTCTGAGACTGTGTATGGTTTTAGGTAAGCTATTTAAACTCTAATCAGTTTTTTTCATCATAAAAAGGATAAGACATTATTATCTTGTCTCATGGCGTTGTCAGGAGGATCAAATGGGATAATATACACAGGTGAGCTAGCTCAGCCCCTTTATTTTACAGATGAGGAAGCTGAAGCCAGAGAAGGTTCTACAAACTTAAGAGTCAGACAGACCTGAGACCAAGGCTTACCTCTATTAGTTTTGTACTCTACATTCCTGAACGAATTGTTCAACCTCTCTCAGCTTTAAAATGGAGATAATAGTATCTTATAAGACTGTTGCCGGGCGCGGTGGCTCACGCCTGTAATCCCAGCACTTTGGGAGGCCGAGGTGGGCGGATCACGAGGTCAGGAGATCGAGACCATCCTGGCTAACACAGTGAAACCCCGTCTCTACTAAAAAACACAAAAAATTAGCCGGGTGTGGTGGCGGGCGCCTGTAGTCCCAGCTACGCGGGAGGCTGAGGCAGGAGAATGGCGTGAACCCGGGAGGCGGAGCTTGCAGTGAGCCGAGATCGCGCCACTGCACTCCAGCCTGGGCGACAGAGCGAGACTCCGTCTCAAAAAAAAAAAAAAAGACTGTTGAGGAATTAATGAGCGTATGTATATATATATATATGTGTGTGTGTATATATATATATACATATATATATATATAATGCCTAGTTTAGCATATAATACATGCTACACCCTTTCCTACAGATATTATAAATGACGTGTACAGGGTTTTATACATTGCTAACAGCATTAAGACTAGAAAATCAAGGCCCTTGACTTGGGTTCAGTGTTCTTTCTGCCACACTCTGTTCTGTTTTGTCAATAATGCTTATTAACTTATTCTTTGATGTTTTTTTAAACAAATGTTGACTTTTTAAAATTCTTCTGAGGGTATATATTTGATACTCAAATATTTAATTATAGCATTTGAATACTTAGATGTCTTTAAAAATGAATGTAGTTCCTAAAAGTTGTCAGTTTTTAAAATTAATACAAGTTAAAAGCTGGTTTATAAACCTTAGGTAGTTTTACCTCTTATTTCATATTTCTACTTATGAAGCGAATGTATTAGCCCCACAATTTATAATTTATTTTAAAGGTAATTTTATCAGGTACATATAACTACAGGTCAAATCCTATTGTAAACAATGCCACTAAAATTTTCTGTCATGTTGTATGGAAGGAGTGTGTGTACACATGTATATTTGTATTAGGTATCACTTCAAATTAAGTCACCAGTAAATGTTTAGAAATAGTATTGTTTTATAGAATTATAAAAAATTATTATTACAGTGAGATTAACCTGTAATGTTTCTCTCCTGTCTTTTGGAGTATTGGTTATACTGTATTCTCTCTATACTGTTCGGGGGAGGGGGAGTCATTGCACACACACACGCACGCATGCGTGCACATATGTATTTTTTTCTCCCTGAAAGTAACATTTTCACTAGAACAAGTATAACTGTAATTGGCACAGCTGTAAAGGTTCTCAAGGCTTTGAAGAGCAAAAAGAAAACTAAAATATTCTCAAATTTTTTTCTTCCCAGGGAAGTCGAGACAACATGAGTGTGATTTTGATCTGTTTTCCAAATGCACCCAAAGTATCGCCAGAAGCAGTGAAGAAGGAGGCAGAGTTGGACAAGTACCTGGAATGCAGAGTAGAAGGTGGATCATTTAACAAAAAATAAGTAGCTTTATTAAAGAAAAATCTTCAACACAATCAAACTTTAACATTTTAGCTTTTAGATTTTTATGTGTCTTTGACAGCTAGTGTCTAGTGTATGAAAGTGGAAAAGGACATTTCTGTAGTAGCTGTTAAGATGTATGCAGTTGTCCTATCACAGTTATATTAGAAATAACAACTAGTGTGGAAAGTAACCCACATTCTGTTCAGGATACTTTTGTTTTAAAAGGCTAAAATGTTTGTGTGCTTTAAAATTCTTAATGAATTCACTGGCATGAGTAATTTTATGCCGGGAAAATCTGATTTGTGGTCTATTTAATTACAAAGAGATTGTGATGGTGATAATTTGAATACCATCTTTCTATGAAAAGCTGTGTATATTAATTTTAATCTCTAGGGCCTTTTTTCAATAACTTGAAAATCACAGCCTCATCATTAGCAACTTTATATACACAGCTTTAAAAAATTTGCTTTAAACTGTTTCAGAGCTTCTTCCCTAAGCCATAAACTGTCTCACCTAAACAAGATAGACCTCAATAAAAGACATAATATTTCTCCACCTGGCAGAAAAGTAACTGCCAAGTAAGATTAAGAAATAAGTTGAGCATTTCTGGAGTATATTTCTCATAATTCTGCAGAGACTTCCAGTTTATTGCATATATGCAGTAAAGTGTATATATTATGCAGTTTCTCTAAGTGGAAAAACTTGACATGACTTTAATAGTGTTAAAACATGAAAATGCTGGTGAGCTGAGGTAGAAAAAAAACAAGAAAAAAATTTTAAAAATAGCGTTAAAATGCATTTTAGGCTCCTAATGTCGTTAATTTGCACGTTAAAGACCTCTAATCGCATGCAAGCATTGACCTACCACACCTACATCCCACTGTGCCTGCATTATTGAAATTACTACTCACTTTAATTTTTTTTCCCCTTTTTACTGTTTGATACCAATCATAATCAGTCTGATACTAGAATCATGATTGGTTTTGTTCTTTAGTACTGTCTAGAGCTACTATTTTGTTTTTATTGCTGTCCGCCACTTGATAGTCATACATCTAGTATGTGTTTGTACTATTTAGTATTGCATTCATTGGACGTACTATTCAACGAATTTGTCTCCTTACTGTTACCAAGGGTCTTGGAATTTTTATATTTTAAATTAATCATTCAATATAAGTTATTTATAGGTATAGTACAATTTTAAAATATTTAGAATGCTACAATCATTGGTTCAAACTATTGATTCATGGGAAAATTTAAATTCATAAGAATAATATGTATAGGGATAAGTTGATATTTAATGTATTGGCACTTTAACTTGGGCAGACATGTTTTCTTATTGGTTTAAAGAAGTAATAAGTATTTTAATATTTTTACTATGAAATGGGATCCAATTTTAGAAATGAATTGCTACTTTTCTCTTTAGTGTGTACACTTTAAGTTTTAGATGGAATTATGAAATATTCACTTTACGTTATTTTGTTACAATAATAAGTTTTATATTTCTTATTATCAAGCAAGAGTTGCCACCTGGACAGAGTTTACATTGATACTCAATATTTTTGATATGTTAAAGTGTTATTATACTTGTACCATTCAATTGGAGATTGTCATAAATTAAATATGGTATTTTTTACTCAGATTTGATGAGACTGCAACTAGAGAATAAATATTACATTAAAATTGCTGCTATTTTAAAACATAGAATGTAACTGTTTGTATTGTAAAAGTTGTGTGTCCTCAGTGAAAAATACTGCCTTCAGCTTCCAAAGCAGGCACCTGAATGCCTTTTTCTTTTCTCTCTCTCTTCTTTCTTTAAATACATGCCTTCACTAGATTGCTGTGACCTACTAAACCTCATTTTATTTGCTTGGAACATTTTTGGCTTCTCTGTCCACACCATAGAAAAGGACAAAGGCCTTCCAGCTCTCCTTTTCTCTTATTTGTTCCCTTCTAAATACTTGACTCTCTGGGGGTGTGAAAAGATTCAGCTCATAATTTATACTACTATTAATTTTGTGGTCCTTCTAAGCCAATTTAAAATTATACTTTTGTGTATATATTTTCAAAATCTTTGCTACTGACTACCTTAGCTTTAAAGTTGCTAATTTGGAGATGACTGATAGAATCCCTGAAACTTGGTGGAGGGGAGTGGAAAGGAGCAGAATGTGTTTGTGTATATGTATGTGAAACATGGATCTTCTATATATAAATATTCTTTAGAAAAAGCGTTCAGTCTTTTTACAATTCTAAGTAAAACGTATAGGTCAACAGAAATTAAAGGAATATTTCTTAAAATTCATTTATTTTTCTTTTTTGAAAGCAGACAGAAGCAAGGCTAGTATAGTATGAATGGTCAGGTAGTTTAAATGCGTTGTCCCACGTGGAACAGGAGATATTAACTGTTTTTAAAGCTTTACATTATTTTTTTACAAGAATTTGTTTTCCTGTAATTTTCTTCACAGTTAAAATATCCTAATTTATATTTTAACAAAAGAGATGTAAGATACATCAAATATAGATGATTCAAGGTAATGTTTTTTAGACCTGAAACTATTGATTCAATTTATCATCAGTGTTTATTTCTATTGTATCTAGTTATCTATCCAAATAATTGTATTGGCTTAGCGGAGACTGTATGTTAAGTGTATTAGTTTTAGATTGTGAAATTGTGCAGTTTAGGTAAACATCAAATCCCTTTATTTTTGTACAGCAGATTTCCAGCATTAGAACCATGTAGAACAAATATACTAGATGTTAAAGATTACACAATAAAGGAACTTGGCAAACCAAATCTGAGATCCTTGCTTTTTGTTCAGATTTAAGACTGTTTTTTTTTTTAAGGCAAAAAATAATAGATGGTAAAAATTTGGCCTTTATTCTAAAAGGACAGTTTGAACCATTTAAAGAAATATTATGGGTAGCCATGTCTTTAAAAATTTTGAGGCCTGATCAAAGGACGAATCTTTATACACATTGTTATTTTCAAAGGTATTTACAAATTGAGAAGCAGAATGATGATTTCTTGCCCCACTAATGACAAATAAAATACCATTTCTTACCATAAACATTGAAAAACAAACTGAACAAAACTTGACCATATAACTTACAAATACTTTTGACTTGAATTTGCATGTGGAGTATGTGTGCTAAAACTGCAAGTGAAGACTTTTTATACTTAGAGGAATAGTTGTAGAGTTCTTTGTAAGGTTCTTTGTTCATAATTTTTTATATTTTGTGATGTGAATAATAGTATGCATCTGCATGACAACACTGCAGATCATATTGCTGTGCCCTTTTAATAACTGGATATTTTAAAATTATTTTAAATGCAGTTGTATGGTTTATCAAATGGTTCTCTTTTTAAACATTTTATAAGGAAATTTAGACCTTTTCTATTCAAGGCTTTGTTGAAGTAATCAGTGAAGGAAATGGTATTATATATCTATACAGTATATTGTTTAAAGGTACTTTAGAGAAGAATTAAACTGAGACAGTGATGTTCAAGTACATAATCTGTGCATGCTATTTAAGTATCATTTTGCAAATATAAATATATACATAAAAATAATTGAGTTAGTATATAATCTATAAATTCCCCTATAATTAAGGGTTGTTATTTTCAAATCTTGAAATTGTTTATTTTTTAAAATTCCACGCAGTGTATTATATAGGGCAAAGTTCAGGAAACATGTTTCCAGTCTAAAGAGAGGAGTGATGTAAGAAGAAACTAGTTGACATCTTAAGAAAGGGTATTCTCACTTGTGCACACATATCCTTGATTATATAATATGCTGATTTAACATGAAATATTTTTTCACATTTTAATTTTGATTTGAAGTTAATCTTATATGTCATTTTGTGCATTTTTTGTCATAAATCTTCAAAGGTCAACCTGATTTTTTTTTTTTTTAAATGATACCAGATTAGAAAAATCTCAGATGTGGTAAATGCCATCTTTAAAAAGCTAGGTTATCTTTGTTTCGGTTTTCTTTTCAATTAAATTTGGATAACACTTACAAAAAAAGTACTTCTGATTCCCAGAAATCATAAAGAAGCAGGGGGAAGGCGTCCCCGACTTAGTCCATGTGATGCGCACATTAGCGAGTGAGAACATCCCCAGCCTCCCACCAGGGGGTGAATTGGCAAGCAAGTAAGTTACATTCTGTACACTCTTATGCTTTATGTCAGTGTATGAAAATGTTAGGTATTCATTGATAAAATGTTTGTTTGCCTAATTTCTGAACTGATGCAGTTATCTGTGTTTTAACCTGTGATTTCAATTTTTTTTTAGTATTAGAATATCTAGAGTTTGTTTAGACATAGGTATCAGTATCATTGTAACTAATTGCAGTGAGGGTTGTCTTTATTGGAAGCTTGGTTGGCATTGATTTCCTCATAGAGCATAAACGAGATAATATACTGAAAGAACTTTTTAAACTAAATTACATAGCACTACATAAAAATTTACAAAATTCTAAGTGTCGTTGTTAGTAGTAGTATAATTTGATTTGGTCAATCCCTGAGTAACTTAACACCCTGAAAATTCCCCTTCCTCATATGGACCATGTTTCTATGCCTGATTTTCCCAGTATTTTTGGTTGTTGATTGCTGGTTAGTTGGTTTTAGGTGTCAGGGAAGAAGATAGAATATATTTCTTGTCTTTTCCCTTTCCACTTTAGTTCATAGAATTGGACTACTTTGTGTTAAATATTAAGCTTACACCTTTACATAATAAAGTGGAAAATTCAAGCAATTCCAAGGGTTAAAACATTTTTACCTCAAATATCCATATAATTGACTTACAAACATAAAACTTGCAAATACCTTTAGCTTGAATTTGGATATAGAGTAAATGTGCTAAAACTACAAGTGAAGACTTCTTGTACTTACAGTGAAGATATATTATTGACTAATTTTCTCGATTCTCTACTGTGTTTTGCAAGTGTGACCATGTTCTTTGTAATCACTAAATAGTGATTGTAAAAGCTCCTGTTTGAAGCTTTTATTTTTTGGAAACTTTTTTTTTCCATATGACTTTCTATGAAACGATCTATAAAATTGCTTCAAGTCAATTTTGGAAGTAGGGAGACTATAACTTATAAATATACTACAGATTTTTAATAAAGTGTTACTCAAAACTAATTCCTAGACTTGTCATGGAAATGTCTTATTTGACATTTCAGTTTTAATAGAACTTTTGAAAAGGGCATTAAGAAAAGTAGAAGCTTAAATATAAAGTATAATCTGAGACTTCAAAACTACGATGCAACTCAACTAGCTTATGTTAGTATTATATCTTAAGAATGGCATTGCCATTGATGACTCATAACCATTTAAACCAATTCAAATGGAAGTAGACTATATAGACTTTTTTTTTAATCTGTAATTTTTAGCCTTCTATTAACTGGGTTGGTAGAGTGTTATAACACATTTTAGAGTAGACTCACCTCTGCTTTAACATAGGAGCCCAAATATCTTAAAAGTGAGGCTCACTATTGACAGCAAGAAATAGAACTAAAATAATATCTGAGTATAAGATTATCTTAGAAATTTTAATAAACACCTGGCTATGAGTTACTAAGCAATGTTTTGCTTTCTGAAGAATTAATTTTCTGCATTTTTTTACACTTAGGAGGAATGTTATTGAAGCCGTTTACAATAGACTGAATCCTTACAAAAATGACGACACTGTAAGTAGCATTTTAGCTCCCTCTGCTTTCCCTTCCCCTCCACTCTAAATGCATATCCTTCCTACCTGTTTTTGCAGAGCTGTTCACTGTACCCATTCTCTTACACACACCCCTGATTGATTGCTCTGAACTCTGCTTGCTCTGATCTCTGCCTGCACCACAGTTCTAGTGATTGAGGACATAATCATGGTGAGTGGCCACCTCTCTCAAAAAAGAAGAAAGTCCTTTTGAATTATTCTAGATTTTTTAAGTCTTTACAAACAATCAACTTCAGAAGGTTTGCCTCCACTACATGGTTTTTTTTTTTTTTTTTTCCCGAAGTTGGGACTATCTCTACTCAGAATATTGTCTTATTCTGAGTTTTGTAAGCAGCTGCAGCAGAACTTCGGAATGTCTGTCTCAACTAAATAGTTCTTATGGTTGGAAATACCTTTGTCAGGAATCCTGAAGTATATACTTCACTTAAATATTAGAGAATTGTTTGCATAAATAGACATTAGAATGCCATACTCTCCAGTTAAGTGTTCTGTTGCAATTCTGTTGTATGATGTTTATAGAAAAGTGATAACTTAAAGATCATGTGGGCACAGCTCTGAAATATTTTATGTATTGCATTATGAAGCTTCCTCACATATTGAGTTCTTAATCTTTTCTGATGCATTAAAGGTTTATAAAAGTGGTATTCTAAAACTGTATTGGATTTCATTAAAAAATTCTTTTTAGTAGATTTATTGATTGAGTAATACATTTGGACAGCCTCATCATAAAACCGCATTTCAAATATTTTCCAAAACAAAACAAAGGATTAACAATTCTTTGAACAGATTAAACATTGCTATTTCATATGTACACATATATACTTATATACTTTAAAAAACATTTATATTCTAAAAGTCATCTTTACAGAACATTATCTTTCTCCATTATCCAGAAAGTATGGTGTATTTTGGCACCGCTAAATTTTAACGTTGTTCCTTATTTTGCTTCCTTTTACAAAGGACTCTACATCAACAGATGATATGTGGTAAAACTGCTCATCTAGCCATGGAGTTTACCTTCACCTCCAAAGGAGAGTACAGCTCAACTTTGTTGAAACTTTTAACATCCATCCTCAACTTTAAGGAAGGGGATATGACATGGGTGAGAATGATTACATCAGAGAACTTCAGCAGTACAACAGCTAGCCCAGAACTGATTTTTTTTTTTTTTTTTGTAAATTTGAGACTTATGTAAGCGTGATTTCAAACCATAATTCGTGTTGTAAATCAGACTCCAGCAATTTTTGTTGTATGATTTTGTTTTTTTGTAAAGTGTAATTGTCCTTGTACAAAATGCTCATATTTAATTATGAACTGCTTTAAATCACTATCAAAGTTACAAGAAATGTTTGGCTTATTGTGTGATGCAACAGATATATAGCCCTTTCAAGTCATGTTGTGTTTGGACTTGGGGTTGGAACAGGGAGAGCAGCAGCCATGTCAGCTACACGCTCAAATGTGCAGATGATTATGGAAAATAACCTCAAAATCTTACAAAGCTGAACATCCAAGGAGTTATTGAAAACTATCTTAAATGTTCTTGGTAGGGGAGTTGGCATTGTTGATAAAGCCAGTCCCTTCATTTAACTGTCTTTCAGGATGTTCCTTCGTTGTTTCCATGAGTATTGCAGGTAATAATACAGTGTATTCATAAGAATCTCAATCTTGGGGCTAAATGCCTTGTTTCTTTGCACCTCTTTTCAAGTCCTTACATTTAATTACTAATTGATAAGCAGCAGCTTCCTACATATAGTAGGAAACTGCCACATTTTTGCTATCATGATTGGCTGGGCCTGCTGCTGTTCCTAGTAAGATATTCTGAATTCCATTTTATCAATAAAGCTTGATTTAACAAACAAGAAACTTAATCATGTATGTGTAATTCCTCTTTTACCCTGGCCTTTTAAAACACTGTGCCGTTGTAATGAGACGTTTCTCATAGGGAAAGATGTTAGTCTCTTTTAATTGGACAACACTGTCACTCAAGGCATAGATGAAACTTTCCTTCCATTAGAAAGACTAAAAGATTTAATTCTTGGTTGTACCTTAATCTATTTTTTAAATAGGTTTCTTTCAGGCTGCTTATTTTTCATTAAGATGTGTATCAGCTTGGATTTGCCTACTGTTTAATTAAAATATTTATTGTCAAAGTTTGACAATCTAACACTCTATGGTAGGGGTGTGTGTGTGTGTGTTTGTGAGTGTGTGTTTGCCTGTGATTTTTAATTGGCCCATGTCTTTAGAATCCAAGTGGTTAAGATGTATTTGTGATTTGAAATATAGCATGTTGATAATATTTAGCTGTTGGCCTTTACAAATAACTTTCAAAGCTTAAGGAATTGTAGATATAAAAATAACCTAATTTAATTTAGGCTTAAATTCCTCTGATTAAGCATGTGAAAGTAAGTTTTAAAATCTGTCGCATTGAAAAGATTACTGTTCCGTGCCCTTCTGTATTTTTGTCTCTTTAGGTTGAATATTGTATTTATCACCATGTAATCATTCAGTAGGCAGATTCCCACTAGAAAACTGTTGAAATGTAAGACTAAAATACAACATTGAATACAAAATCAAAATTTTGTGTATAAAAACCAGTATAGTCCATTTTGTTATATTTGTTTTTTCCCTAACTTGGAAATATACATATTTGTATATATAGCCTTAAAATTAATGTAAAGTTAGGGGAGTAGTGGGGAAAGTAATGTGAAATGTCTCAGATTTAAGTAGTTAAATACCAGCAAAATCTTTTCATTATCCCTCTTATTTTGTGAGGTGATTAAATGTAACTTAATTGTATTTAATTTATATCTTATTCCAGCATGAATGAGGAAAAACTGAAGTACTATTTATATTTAGAAATTCATATCAGTTGAAATTACAGAACCAATTCCATACTTACAATAAATACTTAATGTCTAAATCTGTGGTAGAGTGCGAAGTATGATAATGTTCTAAGTTATGGCTTTGCAAGCATCTAAATGTGCATTTAATGAATACCAGTGCTTCTAGTATAGACTAATTACCAGACATACTGGTACTGAAAGCTAAATCCCTATTATAACAAACCAGTTCCTTAATATTTTAAGTAGACTGACAACTTTAGTTCCAGAAATTGCAAAACTTTGAACTGGACTGTGTAATCTTTTGAGATGCAAAACTTAAGTCACAAGTAGAGTATGTGATGGAAAGCTGTATTTCAAACCATAACAGCATATTTAGAGCCTTTTTTTTTTGAGTCTTTAAACAAGAGAAAATTAAAATATTCCTGTCAAAATTATTAGTATTGAAATTAGGCTTGGACACGAGAGAGAACCGTATTTGAGTGATGTGAGAAGACTAAATCTTTTCCACATGAGTCAGCACTGCCATACTAATAATTTTTTTACTATAAAAATACAGGAAGGAAGTATACATTATAACAGCAGACTGTGTGTGTTCCTGATTCCTGGAGGTAATAGTGGGGGGAAACCAACCATACTTTTTAAAGGCACTTTTGCACCTCTATTGTGCACTTCATTCTTGTACCACTTAAATTCTTCACCCCCATCCCCTTTTTTTGTGCTAATTAGCATCTCAGGGCAATGCCTCAAAAATGTTTGATGTGTTCTGTTCTTTGGAGGGAAAAAGTTCTTATGTGATGATAATATAGTACTCAAAATATACTTTTATCATTTAAATGTCTTATTTGCTGCTATGAATAGGAAATAACATTTTGTATAGCAGGCTCTGTTTTACCCTAACATTAAAAAATTTCACTGATCTTTCTTTCATTAACAGGGTAGAATCTCCTAATTTCCACTTTCTTGGGAATATACTTTTATAGACAATAGAAGCAGTTCTCAATATTAGCATATACTTTAAAAAATCAAAGTGATAACTTAATTCAGCTTTGGAAGTATCTCAAACATATTTTTACTTTATAGTGCATTAACTTGCTTCTAGAGTACTTAATGCAACTGCTCTAGCCACTTAATTTTTTATACTAATCTCAACATTAAGAAATTTGGATTAAGTAATAAATTAGTTATGTAATTCAAGTAATCTGAATTACAGCAGTACTTTTAGTGATCATTCATAGGACTATATATTAACCCAGCTAATAACTCAGTTTTTTTACAAAATGTTTCGAGTATTATTGGTAAAACACTGTTCTAGGCTAAGCACATTGGGACTGTAAAGAAATGAGTAGATCCTTGGCTTCAAGTTTACATCTGGACAATTTATAATCTAGTGTATGTTAGTATTATAACTGGATCACTCATCAAAAAATATATATATATATCTATTGCCCACCTGCTATCTACCAGGTACTTAGCTGATCAAGGCAGGCCCCTGCCCTAAAGACCTTGTTTATACTTCCTTTACTCACCTGAAAACTGTTCTCCAGTTTATTTTCTTCTCTCTAAAGTTAAAGAGTAATTCAGAAGAAAATTTTGCTTAGCATAAGAATAAAATTGGACTGAAGAGGCTTAAGCCCATTCAGTATCCTTGATTGCATTTATCCAACGGCCTTTATTCTTCCTGCTGACAGCAGTAACTCAGAGGAATAGGTAGTAGATTTCTGAAAATTATCCAGCCATGGAAATGTAGGTGGGGTTTGAGTTTAAGGCATTTAAAAATGTAAATATCTCTAGCTAAATTTATCTTAAGTAGAACTCTGTGTTTTTGTAACACACTGCCAGTGTTAATATCAAATTTTAGCCAAATTATTACTATGTGTTTTAATATTTTAAAATAATTTCACTGCCCATCTTTACTGGACAAACTCATTTGGAGTTCAACTTGTGATTTCTGAAAGAACTGATGAAATTGGGTACTGCTTTTTTTCTCCATTTTTCGTTTTGTTTTAATTTTGAATTTCATGGTATATACTTTTAGTTCAAACTCAGCTGTTTGTACAGTATTGTATTAGGATTTGGTATTAGAAAAGATGTGTAAATATCTTAGTATATAATTGTTTCTCATTTGAGGTTTTTCTTCTAAGGGACCTTAAAGAGTTTTATATACTTTTGCTCACAGAAACTGCTGGTGAGATTACCATTTTTTGAGTATCTAGTCTTCTAGTTTTTCTTTTAGGCATTAGGAAGCCTTCTTTAGAGTTCAAAATTTTAGAAGCCTAATTTGCTCTTACTTCCTTCAATTATGTGCCATGTGTTTTGGTTTGTATATGTTTTAAATTGTATATTTCCTTGGAATATGCTTGAAATATTTAAGAATACATTTTCAAAATGTATAATACTGTATTGTTTTGTTGATCAGAATAATAAGTCTCAGTTAAATGTTTGTTATTACTGATAGTCAAAATGCTCAATAGAAATGATGAGAGGCATTGGTTCCAATTCATTGTCAAATGAACGTTTTCTAATTTTGTTCACAGATTCTTTCCCTTTCGATTGTTCTGTATGTTAAGATAGTGGCTTCTGCTCTCACTGTTTTCCTATTTATATTACTAGCAGGTAGGAGTGCTAATTAGAAAAACTTAGATGGTATTGAAATTACAGTTGACAACTTATATTTTTATGAGATGGAGAAAAAAGATTAAGTTGATATAACAACAAAGTGGACTTTTTTTCTTCCTTATCCTGCACGAAATATTGCCCTTGTTTCCTCTACTTTCCTCTTGGTGTTTTCTCTTTTTTTCAAACAGAAACAGGCCAATTCCATTTTCTTGAGCAAGAAAGCTTAGTGTGTTACTTCATCAAGGCCAGCTAATACTGTGTTAAACCGGGCTGAAAATGAGAAAACTTGGGAGATGGAGGAATGGGGAAATGGCAGTGGGATAGGTAGGGAAGGATTACTCTTAATTGTTTTAAAAGCCATAGGAAAGTCTTCCTTGTACGTGGCTGTAAATTTATAAGAACTATTGTGTCACATAAACCAACAAGAATGAACCTTTGCTGCTTCAGATAATTTGATTTTTCCAGCAAGGAAATTAATAAGTTACTGATTCTTCAGCATAGAAACAACTGAGAAGAATTAATGCAATGTTTCTTCACTAGAAAACCCAACCCTTCATTTCTTTTCATTGCTCCAAAACCCAGTTTTCAACTAATGGTTTTCTCATTAAACTAAATGTTTAGAAAAGTTGTTTAGAGTTTTTCTTTTTCTTTTACATAGTCCTCCTGATCCAGTATAAGACTATTTAGTAACGTGCATTTGTATGGTACTATCTAAAGTAAGTTAGATTGATGTAAGAGATCGGGTAGCTGCGGAACAAAATTAGTTATATCCTAATTAGGTACAGTGAATGACACAAAATCATTTTAGCAATGCTTCTTAACCTTTTGGGGTCACAGGCGTTTTGAGACTGATGAATCCTAGGGACTTATTTACCCAGGAAAATGCGTATATAACATACATATCTCCCTAAAGTTTACAATATTGTAGTGGTTCATGGGCCCCCTGGTTAAGAGCCCATTCTAAAGTACAATAGGGCATCATCCCTTTTCCTGCAAAGCCCAAAAGTATATTTCTAGGGCATGAAAATAACTTGAGTCTATTTTAAGGAATTGTTTCACTCTAGAGGTAGATAGGGGACCTGGCTAGAATCTGACATTAAAATATACTTTTTAAAAAATATTATATTTGGGGTGGGGAAAGTGATTAAAAGGTGAAAAAAAAACATAGTATTCAGAAGTTTTGGAGGTTAATGTCTTTCTCTAAGATTTGCCACTTTAGAAATTCAACAGAAAAGAGGTAAAACAGAAATGGAATGTATCTGGAACATTTTTGGCCTCCATAGTGCAGATATACTATATTAACAAGTAATACATTTATTTACCTGTCAGATCTCCAGGTTTTAAGATTTTGAGCTTTCTAGTATTAGGATTCATTAAATGTTCAATTCATTTCATATTCTAAGGAATTAGGTTATTTACTTACTAATTCAGGATGTTAAAATAACATCCAAGTCGGACAACCACCACCAATGCACACAGTTAATGAGATTTCTAAAATATAATAAGTACAATGTAACAAACGTATAGAATTTTGCATTTGTTGCCAAAATTAGATGTTTAATGACAGCTTATTTAATTCCCATTTGTGGGACTTCTGGAACATAGAAACCATTATCTTACCTGGTTATCCCTTGACTAAATAGCATATCTGCAGGAAAATATCTTGTTTGTAGTGATATGCCCCAATAGTGATTGATTTCACTCTTGAAATGAGTTATATCACTTAATTTGTATAAATGTTATGAGTGGAGAGACATGTACATGTTAAAAGCATGTTGCATTATATATTCATTTTTTAAACTCTATAAATGTTAAGAATAATATAATTGCAGAAATATTTTTCTTAAATACAATGTGTAACAAAATTCTCCGTAGCAACTCACCCACTTTGCAGTTTATGTGATCCACACTTTTAAAGAAATTCCATAAATGTATATTTTGTATTATGTATTATTTCCTGGTCCAAAGAAAATATGTGAATTCAGTTCTAACTTTAAGAATGTACTGTTTGTTTTCAAGTTCATTGAAAAATTGCATTCAGCCTGCGAATGGTTGCAGATTGTATGTTAGATGAAAAGTAGAAATAATTTCTAGTTTGGAAAACTGGTGCCACTAAATAAACAGGCAATTACATAATGTGTGTGTATTTATGATTGTTTAATATTGCAAGCAGCATTTTTATTCCAAGAAACGTGGAGAATTTGAAATTAGCTGTTGGAAGACCTTAAAAGAATTGTTTTTTTCAGCTGAGAAATAAATCTGATAGGATTTGAACTAGATTTGTTCCTTCCTAATTTTAGGAAGTTTACTGAAAGCCAAGAAGTTTGAGTTGATGGTTATTGTCATGAAACATTCCAGAAATAAAGAAGCCAGAGTAGTTTCTCTTTGGTAAGAA
The DNA here is from genome assembly GCF_000001405.40 of Homo sapiens. Lineage (NCBI taxonomy): Eukaryota > Metazoa > Chordata > Mammalia > Primates > Hominidae > Homo > Homo sapiens. The sequence goes on from NC_000014.9 coordinate 60,299,347, forward strand.
CATTCCCATTTGTCTGTCTTCTAGTAGATGATTACTCCCTTGAAGAGTTGAAATTGGGAATTGGGAGTGGTCTGGGAAAGGACTTCCTCACCTGGTATCTGTGGTATAGTGCCTGCTTCAAAATGGCACTTAAATGTGTGTGTTTCTAGGATGCAGAAAGGAGGTGTTTATTTCCTCTGCCAATTCTGATCATTGGCTATATTATATCCTGTGTTCATTCATGTCTGAAAGTGACTTAAACAGGTTTAATTGATTCTAGTCATGGCTTCCATAATTAGAGAATTTTTAGAGTTGAACTGTTAATAAAAGTGAAATTCTGTGAGCCGCAAGAGCTCATTTTGTTTATTGTAAAATGTGTAATAAAACAGTAATGAAGCTTCATAACCAAAGGTAAAATATCTTAGAACTGAGTAAGGTAAAGTAAGGCAAATAAGGTTTTATTTTATTTATATGTAAGTGGAACCTCTTCACTCATCAAATTGTATCATGCAGTTTTGTTCATGGGTTTTTTTGGGTTTGGGTTCCCCCTCCACCCCGCTTTGGAGCTTTTCTTTTGAATGTTGAAGCTACTTTAAGTTGTTTTATTTCTTTTTTCTTAATTTATTACTGAGAAACTTACATTGGAGTGCCCTTCTCTTTTTCCTTTTTTATCAATTAATAGTTCAAATTAAATTTCCCATCACTTAATAGCTCAGATTAAACTTCTCATCAAGTCAAATTTTATTCTAGTTGAAAAGTGCTATATTTTTTGATAAATTACCCTGGGAAATTGGTTTGCATGCCCTCTATAGAACTTTGCTTACTTGCCACAAAACCAACAACTTACCAGATGTTGGTAAAAGATTTTGCTCTGATGGCTGCCTGTTGTTTACATGAGCATTATATGTATTTCTTCTGATATGCTATCTAAGGTGATTCAGAGTGCCTAAATAGTGAATTAGCTAAACATTCAACATGTTTCTGTGATAGTTTAGATACAGGCTTGTGTCTTCCAGACCAAAGCACTTCTCTATAGCTGTACAAAAGTTTTTCTGGAAATCAATTTGAACTAGCAAAATTTACAATATTTAGATTTTTGATCTACAAAAATGGCAGTTTTATCTAGCTTAATTTGTTTCTGAAATTAGTTGTTATTCTTGAATGATCAGATTGCAAGTCAGTATTTGGTATTTCTCTCATTATTTATATTTTAAGTCTTTTAAGAACTGGATGAGAGGTTTAAAGAAAAGCTATACATATTTGGACAAATTTCCAAATGTGAGGCTGGATAATATACAAATGTATACAGATGCTCTAGCATTAGGTCAACATCAGTATGAGAAATGTTATTCCAGCAGTGACTGGGAAAGGAAAGGATGCCGAATTTAAGTGTTCAGGGAGGAATATAATAGAGACTAAAGATGGGGGAAATGATTTTAAGGATTTATTTTGAATTACATAATTGAGGTGAGTAGAGAGCTCCTTTCTAATATTTTATTGGGATGTTGACGTGGATCCAATTTAGTCTGTGACTTAGAGACATCAGTGAGTAATTCTCTGAAAACAATTGTTCTTTAAAGTGCAGTCTTTGTTAAAGGTGGCTGAGGGCTCTAACTTTGTTCTAGGTGTCAACTCAAACTCTGACTTAGGCTACGGCCATGCTGCACCTTTTCTAAATATATTTTTTGTATTTTATTTTACTATTTGTGTCTGCCTTGGTAACAGCTAAAAATTACCTAGTATTTTAAAGGCAAAGCATTTGCTAGAAGAGTGTAACTGTTCTGGGTCAACGGGATTAGATGTGTACCTTACATTAGCATACTGAAACCATTCAGGGATTGTTCTTCTAATTCTCAGTGTGACAGTCTTGAATGTATATTTGATTCTATTAATATTTAATGAAAATATTTTTGTGAAGAGCCACTGTATATCATAAGAGCAGAGCTATTCTCAATTATTTTAGCCATTGAACTTTTAACTGCTTACTAACAATGCTGAAAGGGTTTTTTTTAACTTAAAGTTTCCAGAACAGTCCTAACAAAAAAATTTTCTAGTGATTGGATACAGTGGAGGCATATAAGTGACTTTTTAAACTTATTAGGCATAGCAAATAAGTCTTTATGTACTTGGTATAAATTTGACTTTTATAACTGTTCACCTTTCCTGATGTATTTTAACAGACATATCCTGTTGCAATGATCCTTAATAAAATGAAAGAGATCTTAGCATTTGGTAAGACCAATGAAACTGCTTTTGTGCCCAGATCACAGAAAAGAAGCTCCCTGGGTATCCTTCCTTAGAATTTACTTTTATGTCTGAAATCAGGATGCTTCCTTTTTTTTGTTGTCTTCTTTGTTTTTGTTTTAAATGTGTAGGTCCCCAGACCACATTCTGTTTTAGGGCTTCTGTAAATACTCTTAGGAAAGTAAGTCATGAAATTCTGCCTCCTCGAATTTCATAAAGGATTTGTTTGCCATGTGCTCTGTCCTGATTTTTGCAACATATCAAATAAGCCAGACTGTTGAATGACAATCTGGTTTTAAGTGTATTACATACGCATGTATAAATATCCTTGTTCGGGGTCAACTCTACAGTGACTGTCAGTAGTGTTATTGGTTCAACTTGACCTTCAGAGGTTTCCCTGCTTCACGACCAAATGGATTTGGCATCTGACAGGACCGCAGTGTCAGTAAAAGCTTCATCCCAAGAGGAGCAGGGTTCCAAGAAGGAAACTTCCTGGAGGGCAAATCTCCATAATTTGAGATAAGGAAGAATACAGTAGCAATTTTTGAAGATCATGTGGTCAGTTCTCTGAATCTCTTGGAACTATCTTTGATATTTTAGTTTCTTGGACTGAATGTCACTTTTGTTCAAAAATCCTTTGGGTATAAAAATTTGGATATGTGAAAATGTACTTTTTAATCTTAGAATGTGATTTTCTTGGACTTAAAGTCATTTAATGAAGTTGGCATTTTTCTGTTTGGCAAGGGAGGAAGAGGAAAAGGGAAGGTGGAAGAGGGGAAGAAAAGGAGATAAATACTAAGGGCAAGAAAGGAGGGTTGTTTAAAGTGAAAAACAAGGTGTGTTTTTTAAAAGGAAAATCATATTTTTATGAAATTAGGCACCTTATAAATCATCCTTATGTTTTATAGCAGTCTCTAATGCATTACTGGTTGGAAAATTAGTCATGTCTCTTCCCCACCCCCCATCCCCCCATTATGTTTTTAACTCTCCCTTCCAGAGGGGTGAGTTAGGGGGAGGAGGGAATAATGCAGCTTTGATTGTCACCTGTCATAGGTTTGATTAGGAAAGCGATTAAAACGAGGTTTAAAATAAAGGATTGCAGATTTCCCTTCTGTTATCAGTTCCCTGGCTTCTCTGAAGCAGTGGTTTTCAACCTGCCAGCAAGGTAGAGTGACCTGGGAAGCTTTAAAAATCCTTTAGCAGTGAAGGTTAAGTTGGAAGGTTCAACTGAAAGTTACCCCTCCCCTCATCCTCAGTGAATCCCTGCATCCTCCCTGTCCCTGCTCAGATCATTGTCATTCCTCTCTTCAAATCCCTGCCACTCAGAGAAAGCCAGTGTCCTTATAGTGGCCTGCAAAGCCCCGTATCTTATGTGGTCCTTGTGACCTCTTGAACTCACCTTCTTCAGTCTGCTTTAGATGTTCTGGTCTTATAGCTGACCTCAGAACATGCCTGTCCCACTCAAGCCCTAGGGTCTTACAGGCACTTGCTCTAGCTGTTCCCCCTACCTGAATTATTTCACTGGCCAAAGCAAGTCACATTGCCAGTTCAGGAGGGCCTGAAAGAACAAATCAGAATATTTGTGAACAAGCCTAGTCTCTACTGTGGTGTCTAATGTGTATTTGATGACTGAAGAAGATTGTGCATCTGTGTGCATCTGTAGAAGATGAGATAGGCATTCTGTTTTTGCCAGGAGACATAGTCTTATTTGAACTGGACTATTTGAGATAAGTGCTGGTGGTAGAGAGGCTGGGACCACATGAAATGGTCTCATTATAAATACTGATAATTAGGAGGAGGTCCATGTTCCTGCATTTGTGGGGGAGTGGGAACACCCAGCTTTGAAGGTAAGGTTAAATTTGCATATGCAGAGCTAAGTACAAAGAGTTTTCCAGCAGAGGAAACAGGTGTGCATTACGTAGAGAAGGCAGCAGAGGCCAGTGATGATAGTGTTCTTGCCAGGAACTTTCTGCACTCAGGTTCCCTAAGGGGGTCAAGAGAGAAGTTTAGATAAAGTACGTCCCTAAGAAAAAGCCTGCTTTTTATCTCCTTTGCTTTTTTGAAAAGAGCTGTCACTGTTTGTAGGCATCCCAGTTATGAATAGATGCTGCTTATCTCAAATCAGCTTTACTCTCCAGTGGCATTTTAATAATACATGGAAAAGTTGTTCTCTAACCCAGTACAGTGATGCCCCAAACCTAGCAGCCTTTAAATGATTTTGGCTGATTGTCCAGTCAGGAAGATTCACCTGAGTGGAGTGTTCTGGGCTGCAGAGAGACTTGGCAGTGGTTCTGACGGACCTGTGAGTCCACAATAGGAAACGGTCTTCATGACCATAGCTAAGTACCATGTAGCTGGCCTGGCTAGCATCTGGCCAGCACGTGCCAGGAGAAGTGGTCTAATTTTAACTGCACTTTGAGAGCGTGCGTGGGGGCAGAGAGACTGGGGCCACATAAGGCTGTTTGAGGCTTCCCGTTTGCTTTTGCTTCAGTGCTGCTGTTGGACGCTACCATCATCCTCTCATCCTCCAATCAAAGCAAAATAACATTAATGTTCAGAAGGTGGAATTAGAGCAAAAACCATTCAGGAACTTGGTAGTTTGTCATATTCCACATTTTTCAAGTTTTTCACAATGGACAAACATACATTTTATAATTTTTAAAACATTATAAAGCAATGCCTCCAATTTATCAGTAATTTATTTCTGACGAAACTATTGTAAGATGTTTATGTGCCTATTTTTGAGCCACTTCTGAAGCTATTACACAAAGTCCATTCATTCAGAATACGGTAATTTGGACAAAAACATTGCCAAACCCTTAGTTTTATCAGAAAGCTTCCCTCCACCCCATGTGCTCTCCTTCCTTCCATTCTAAAACAGTAACCTACACCAGTTGTGGCTAGGACGTGAGGTAAAACAGTGATGTCTTCTTGGTGACTGTAAGTCTGGAGTAGAAATTCTCTGAATATAAGTGGTAAGCACCAAAAACCAAACCCATCCCAGCGGGCTCTGTTCCCTACTAGATACTTTGTCTTGCTACCGCTGCAGCTCCGACCCAAAGCTGCTGGGGAGAATTATTAACCAATCTTAAATAAACCCCTGCTGTCACTAACCCTGAAGCTGCTCCTGTCAAGGCCTCGTTGCCACCCACACCTGCAGTTCGGAGTTTCTGCCTTTAGACTTGGCAGGCAGTTCAACTGGGGAACTTGGCTGTATCTACTGCATTCTGCTGTGCATCAGCCGAGGCACAAGCCGTGGGTTCATCTCTAGGTAATGACTCCTTATCTCTGAAGTGCTTCTGGTACTGCCACAGTAGACTGGATTTTATGTTTGCCACAGAGCCTATATTTTAAGTTTGACTACCTTAAACCTCCAAATTTGGTGACAGTATTTCCAGTCATTTTCTTGTGATACATGGGAAAGACAAAATCAGTAAGTGGGCCAAGCGCAGTGCTCACGCCTCTAATCCCAGCACTTTGGGAGGCTGCGGCGGGCAGACGGCTTGAGCCCAGGCTTTTGAGACCAGCCTGGGAAACATGGCGAAACTCTGTCTCTACAAAAAATGCAAAAATGAGCCAGGCTGGTGGCACACTCCTGTAGTCCCAGTTACTTGGGAAGCTGAGGTTGGTAGATTGCTTGCACCCGGAATGTTGACGCTGCAGCGAACCGTGTTCACACCACTGCACTCCAGTCTGGGTGATAAAGTGAGCCTCTGTCTCAAAATGAAAAAGTCAGTGATATGGATTGTTGTATAAAATGAAGATTAATTTAAATTTACTAGATTTATCTCCCACCATAATTGAAAATAACCTGTACAAAATGTATATATATATAAAAGCTGGCGGTGGGGGGGGGACCTTTTTTCCAAACTGTGATCAGCATTAGCCACCTGAATTAACTTCTCAAGGAAGATCGCACCAGCTTTATTTTTTTTTTTACATAATTTTTTATTGTGGTAAAGAATGCATAACAAAATTTACCATTTTAACCATGTTTAAATGTACAATTAAGTGCCATTCATTACATTCACAATGTGTGTAACCATCACCACTATCTATAAAGAGAGCTTTTTCATCCTAAACAGAAACTGTACCCATGAAGCAACTCCCTGTTCTCCCCTATCCTCAGAACTTGGTAACCTCTATTCTGCTTTCTGTCCCAAGGAATTTCCCTAGTCTGCATATCCCCTGCAAATGGAATAATACAGCAAGTCCTCTTAACATCATCGACGGGTTCTTGGAAACTGCGACTTTAAGCAAAACAACATATAAAGAAACCAGTTATACCACAGGCTAATTGACATAAATAACAGTTAAGTTCCTATGGCATATTTCTGGTCACAAAAACATCATCAAACTTGTAAATAAAGGCCCCAAACAGTAATACTATTGCAAATTGAAATAAATGTGAGCTATTGTATTAGTCTGTTCTCACGCTGCTCATAAAGATACCTGAGACTGGGTAATTTATAAAGGAAATAGTTTTAATTGACTCGCAGTTCCACATGGCTGGGGAGGCCTCACAATCATGGCGGAAGGCAAATGAGTAGCAAAGTCATGTCCTACATGGTGGCAGGCAAGAGAACATGTGCAGGGGAACTCCCCTTTATAAAACCATCAGCTCTCATGAGACTTATTCACTGTTATGAGAACAACATGGAAAAGACCTGCCCCCATGATTCAGTTACTTCCCACCTGGTCCCTCCCATAACGTGGGAATTATGGAAGCTACAATTCAAGATGAGATTTGGGTGGGGACAGAGCCAAACCATATCAGCTATACATACATTTAAGATTAATAAAAACAAGTAGGGTCATGATATCCTTAGTGACTCCAGTTCAGGGCTGCAGTGGCCACAGCCTCTCCTGGCAGCTCAGGGCTCAAGGTAGGAACTGACCCTGGACAGGATGCCATCCCATCTCAGGGCACACACACCTGCACTCACCCAGACTGAGACCATGTAGACACGCCCATTCACCTAATGTGTGCATCTTTGGGAGGTAGGAGTAAACTGGAGCACCTGGAGACAATCCCCACAGGCAGTGGCCCCAGCCAAGGAATCAATTTTTTTCTTACCATTATAACAAAATGACATTGAAAAAGACAGTGTTATTCAAGGACCTGCTGTATACTATTTGGTCTTTTTTGTCTAGCTTATTTCACTTAGCATAATGTTTTCAAAGTTTATCCATGTTGTAGCATGTATAAGAATTTCATTACTTTTTATGGCAGAATAATATTCCATCCTATGTACCTGTTCCATCCTATGTACATCTGTTTATCTATTTGTACATTGATGAACTCTTGAATTTCTTCTACCTTTTGGCTATTGTGAATAATAGTGCCGTGAACATTGGTGTATAAGTTTGAGTATGTTTTCAGTTTTTTGAGGTATCTATCTAGCAGTGGAATTACCAAGTCATATGGTAATTCTATGTCCAACTTATTGAGAAACTGCCTAACTCTTTTCCACAGTGGCTGCACTGGTTTACATTTCCACCAGCAATACATGAGGATTCCAGTTTCTCTCCACATTCTTGACAACACTTATTTTTTGTTTGTTTAATAATAGCCATTCTATTTCATTGGTATTTCATTGTGGTTTTGATTTGCATTTCCCAGATGACTAATGATATTGAGCATCTTTTCATTATCGGCCATTTGTATATCTTCTTTGGGGGAAATGTCTATTTAAGTTCTTTGCACATTTTTTAATTGAATTGGGGTTTTGTGTGTGTGTGTGTGTGTTATGAGTTCTTCATATATATATTCTGAATATTAATCCCTTATCAGTTATGTGATGTGCAAATATTTTCTTTCATTCTGTGGATTGCCTTTGTACTCTTTTTTTTTTTCTTCAGACAAGGTCTTGCTCTGTTGTCCAAGCTGGAGTACAGTGGTGTAATCACAGCTCACTGTAGCCTCAACCTCCTGGGCTCAAGCCATCTTCCTGCCTCAACCTCCCAAGGAGCAGGGACTACTGGCACGTGCTACCATGCCTGGCTAATTTTTGTATTTTTTGTAGAGATGGGGTTTCACCATGTTGCCCTGGCTGGTCTCAAACTCCTGAGCTCAAGCAGTCTGCCTGCCTCTGCCTCCCAAAGTGCTAGGATTACAGGCATGAACCACCATGCCTGGCCTCCACTGTATTCTTGGTAGTATCAGTTTATGCACAAAGTTTTTAATTTTGGCAAAGTCCAATTTATCTGTTTTTTTTTCTTGCCTGTGCTTTTAGTGTCATAGTTAGGAAATCATTGCCTAATCTAAGGTCATGAAGATTTTTCAGCTATACTTTATTCTAAGAGTGATACAATTTTAGCTCTTAAATTTAGGGCTTTGATCCATTTTTTCTGATTCATTTTTTAGTTAATTTTTGTATGTGGTGAAATGTAAGGTATCAACTTTAGACTTTCACATGTGGATGCTCGGTTTTCCGAGAACCATTTATTGAAAAGATCTCCAGCTTTACTTATGATGATAGATTGAGTTGTTGGTTTTCTCTTTCTGCCTCACAACACTGGGCAAAGGTTTGAGGCAGCTTGCAAACTGCTTCGTTCCCCTCCCTGTTACCTGGCTGGTGAGGATCAACCCTGATTCCTACAGTAATAATGGTTCTTGCACTCCCCATTTAAAATAAGTAGCCAAGACAAAGAAGTTCTGTGGTTCTTGTTTACCAGCAATTGGCCTTTCGCATGCCTGTCTTCCCCATAAGGCTGGTAGATAGTGAGAAATGTTGAGACAAAGTATACAAGACACCTAGCACAGTGCCTACCACACAGTGGATGGATCAGTTAGGGCACTGTGTTTCCAGGCAATAGATACGGACTCTAACTAAATTAAGCAAAAAGTGAAATTTATAGCAAGCCCATTAGGAGCTCACAGATGTATAAAAAATCTTGAAAACCAGGTTGAAAATGGGAAGGAGCCAAGGTAATTAGAGGAAGAAGCTATCTTCTTAGCTTCTGTGGTGTGGCAGACACCAAAATTTAGTGATGCACCAAACACCAAGACAATACTTAATGCTGTATAAGAGACTTCCCAAAGAAAATAGAGTGCAATTAGGAAGAGGGGATGAATGCTAGGTAATGATTTCTGGCAAGTTGTCTGCTATAACTCAACTCGTTGGTTTCCCAGTATCCATATCCACATCCTTTTCACTCGTGTACTTTCCCAATTGCCCCTGCCTCACATAACATAGTTTTCGAAAATGCATTAGCCCATCCCCAGGGGAAGACAACACAAAATGTTGTCAGTTACTGTTCCCAGTCCAGTATATCTCTGTGATGTCTACTCTATTCCTGTCACAGTCCCATCTTGCCATTCAGCAACTTATATACTAAATGGTGAATTTAATCGACAACCTGCTGTAGCTTGTGGGCAAGTGGGGGTTGGGGAGGGGGATAAGGTAAATTCTCTGAAAATTTAGATGTGTGCACACCCCTATTTGTATCAGCAATATGATTTCCCCTTAATGGTCTGGGTCAATCATCCTAGCTATGGTATTTTGTTCAAAATAGTCCTTGGCTGTCCCCAAAGGACACTTCTATGGGACAGTTCCTTGGGAAGATTATACATCTCCATCCCACTGCTATCAGGCTGGCCATGTGGTTTGCTCTAGCCAATTGAATGTGAGTGACTTTTATGAGGCAGCTTTAATCATATGGTTCTGCCATGAGCTTGGCACTGCTCTATATTCCATTGTCCTGGGTCCCAGAAAGAAGAGTACATGGGCAGAGCTGCACCTATTGATTCATGATTGACAAATAGTGTGAATGAAAAATAAACCTTTGTTAACCACTGAAAGTTGGGAGGCACTTGTCAAAGCACAATTAAGTCTTTACTGACTAATACATCAGCCAATAATAACACACACCCCCACCCCAGCCTTTCATTTTGCACACTGGAAGAAGGTGCTCCAAATAGGTGGCAGTGTCAACTTCCAACCTAGTGGGACTATGATATATTTACCTTGGTGTAAGCATTCCTCTTTTGATTACTAAAGCTTCTAAACCAGCAGTCATGAGAATGGAAAGCAAAATTTTTACAAGTGATCAACCACTTTGATTCTAGACCAATACTGTCCAACAGAAATTTCTGTAATACTATCCAATATGGTAACCATTAGCCACATGTGGCTACTGAGCACTTAAAAGTGTAGCTAATGTGAGGAGCTGTATTTTTAACTTTTAGTTTTCAAATAGGTACATGTGGCTAGTGGCTACCATATTGGACAGCACAGTTCTAGACCCTCATATCCTTCTTTGGAAAAAAGAGCACTATATTCAGTCACTGGTTCAGAACACAAATAGAATCCTGCAAGATAGCATCCTATATTCTTAAGGTACTTCTGATGCAGGCCAGGTAAGCCGTAAAATTGGGTCTTCACCCAAGAAATAATTCAAGGGTGAGCTGGTGTTAGATAGCAATGCAGTGTACAGCAGCAGAGGCACTGCTCCTTATGAAGCAGGGCTACCCCATAGACAGTGTGCCCAGAGTAGCAGTTCAAAGGCAGTTCTATTTATACCCACTTTTAATTATATGCAAATTAAGGGGCAGATTATGCATAAATTTCTAGAAAAGGTGTGGTAACTTCTGGGTCATCAGGTTGTTGCCATGAAACAGGGCAGTAATGTCGATGTTGCCATGGCAATGGTAACTGATATGACATGCTGGTGGGTGTGTCTTATGGAAAGCTGCTTTTGCCCTGTCCCTGTTTTAGCTTGTTCTCAATTTGGCCTTGTGTCCGAGTCCCACCTCCTGAGTCAATTACTACCTCCTACCTCACTACCTCACAGGTGCTCCTGGGACTGGTCTTCAATAAGCCAATCAACTTTTCTGTAAGGCTAGATGCTTCTGGCTGTTGGATGTGTGTTAAAGCCAGTGAATCCAAGAGCATTAGCTCATCTTTATGCTGTAACATGAGAGCAGATGCTTGTCAAAGAGGCCTTGGTTTTGCTGCAAACCCCTGCAGATCTCAGATACTCCAAACCCATTAGTTCTGCTGAGTTCTGAGACCAGCTAGCAAAGTTATCTTTCTCTTAACCTAGGCCCCACTCAAAGCTAGGTGTTCTGGGGAGGGGGTTCTTGGTAAATGACTTGTATAAAAACATCCAAGTCAGGTAGATAAGGCTGTGTCTCTGATCTTAATTCTTCAGCTCTATTGAATCTTGGGGCCCCGCAAAGCCTTCTGTTGTACCTCTACCGAAGTTCATTCACCCCTTCTTGCCTCTGTTTCTCTCTGTAAAAGCGTCACTGGCATAGCAGAACACACAAATCATTAACTCAGTATAGCGCATGTAGTTTTCCTCAAGGAAACTGAAAACAGCTTGGTCAAGAGATAGGGCTCTGGAGATTCCTAAAAGGCACATGAGCTTTGGTGTTGCCATCTTGACACTAAACTCTCTTATTTTTACAATTATTTTGTGCCCCCCCCCCAAAAAAAATTCAACTTAACTTGGGTAATGTTTTCTTATACCTCCCTCCAAAAAAGGTGAAAGAATAGTACAGTGAATTCCCAATACCATTTGCCTAGATTTACCAATTTTTTAAATTTTGCCTCATTTTAAAAATTTTTCTCCCATACTCTCTCTCTCTCTCACACACACACACACACATACACACACACGTACAATTTTCTGAACCATTGGAGAAGTTGGAAACATTATGCTTCTTTATCCCTAAATACTTCATTTATATTTCCTGAGAACAAAGGTGTTTTCTTACATAAAAATCACAGTGTAATTACCACAACCAGTAAATATTACATTGATAAAATACTGTTACCTTATCCATAATCTGTTCAAATTTCATCAATTGCCTCAAAATGTTTATTGTAGCTATTTTTTTCCACTCCACGGTTCAATCTGGGATTATGCAAATGTATTCTGTTGTAATATCTCTATGGCTTCCTTACTCTGGAACAGTTCCTCAGCCTGCCTTTGTCTTTATTACATTTAACATTTTTGAGGCACAGAAGCCAGTTAGTCTGAGCATATCTCTCAGTTGGGGTTTGTCTAGTGCTTTCTCTGATTAGTTTCAGATTATGCAGCATTGGCAGGAACCCAATAGAACTGACGTCACATCCTTAATACATTACATCGGGAGGCACATGTTATCTATTTGTCCCATTACTGGTGATGTTATCTTTGCTCCCTCAGTTAAGGTGATGCCTACCGGTTCTCTCCACTGTGAAGTCAATGTTTTTCTCTTTACAATTAACATGTAATTAATGGGGAGATTATTCAAGACTGTGTAAATAGCCTTCTTCATTAAACTCTTACCCACCAGTTTTAGCATCAGTTTATTTTCTGACTCCATTCTTTCCATATTCTACTATAAAGAAGGGCTTTCCCTTTTCTCTCCAAAGTTTAGATTTTTGGGTTTTTTATTTTGTTTTGTTTTTCGAGACAAGGTCTTGCTGTGTCAACCAGGCTGGAGTGCAGTGGCATGGTCTCTGCCCACTGCAGCCTCGACCTCCTGGGCTCAAATGATCCTCCCACCTCAGTCTCCCAGGTAGCTAGCACTACAGGCATGTGCCACCACCGCTGGCTAATTTTTGTTATTTTTTGTAGAGATGGGGTCAATGTTGCCTAGGCTGATGTCAAACTCCTGAGCCCGAGTGATCCCCCTGCCTCAGCCTCAGCCTCCCAAAGTGCTGGAATTACAGATGTGAGCCACCATGCCCTGCCCACTTTTAGCTTTTTGAAAATTAACAAATGTGCCTAACATATTTTCACTCATCCCGGGCTTCCCCTATCCTGAACCTCAACCTGATGTTGGTCCTCATTCCAGATAATTTTGTTTATCACTAATAATGTTTATCACTGCCTTCCCATTCTGACTCCTACTCCATCTCTGAGCTTCACCCATCCTAATTTCCTGTCTCCGTCTACCCCACTCTGTCTTTGGCTTTGAGTCTGGGCAATGAGCCCTGGAGAATAGCGCGGATGTTGGTAATGTACTACTGAAAGCATTTTATCTCCGAGAGAACATTAATCTTCCTCTCCTGGTAGGCATTTTATCCTATTTTTTACATCTTGTAGATTTTTACTATTTTTCATCAATTCTGAGAGGTTTAGACAAATTTCCATTCCTAATCTTTATCTCATTGGCTTTTCCAAAGTCAAAACTGGAATTTCTCTTCCTAAAACGAGTCCTGATTTTACTCTTTGTTTACACCTTATTCTAGAAAGTACTTTTCAAATATATACAATCTAGTAATTTTGTTAAGAGAGAGGACTAGAATTAAGGGAAGCAAGGATAGCAAAAGTAAGATTAAGCCTGAAATAAGGGTGGAATAGAAAATGCATGTCACGCGAGCTTCGTTTGGCTTCAGTCTTTCTAGCAGCCAGTGCAAAAGAGAGTTTTATCATTAACTGGTCTTCTTTCCTCACCAAATAGAGAGTGATACTGTTTAAATTCCCCCAGTTAAACCGAAGTCACTTGAAGCATGTTTCCATCATTACCCGGCATTGGGTGGTTCTATCCCAGGCTTAAGTAGTTTCCTGTGATACTGATCGGAACTCAGCTGAAGACTTGGAGGAACCTCTGCAGATTTCCACAGCTCTTTCCCTCTTCAGCTTTCTCAGGGACTCTGTTTTGAGAACTTGAGTGGCCTTGCCTTCCCTGGACCCACAAGTCTCTCTGTTCAACAAACCACTAGGCTTTATCTGTTTCCCTCCCGCTGTGCCGTTGTCGCCTGGAACATCTCCCCAGGCAGGAAAGCAAAGCGCTCATCAGGCTTACACTTCCTTTCTCAAAGGCATCCCTGTGCCTCGCTGCCTGATTGTGCAATGTCTTGAAAACCTGTGTTTCATAGAATTTGTGTGTTTCCTTAGTTGCTTCATGTGGAAGAGTTAATCTGGTCCCTGATACTCCATCCCGAGTGGCATCAAAAGTCCCTTGTTTCTCAACAACACCACACCTTTAAGTCCTAGCCCACCTGGGACCACCAGGGATTTCTGAAGGCTGCCCTCCAGAAGGCACCAATCTGTGATCAGAAACTTTTAGGAACCACTGTGTCTTCCAGGCAACATTTATATAAACATATAATTTTAGAAGCTCAATGACATTTTATTTTTTCTAACTGCACCCTGGATGGATGTCCTCAAATCTGCAATGATTTGGAAAAGGAAAATTTTATACAGGCTGTTCATGTTATAAGCTGAACCTAAGACTTATTTTTTAGAATATAGTCATTATTGTTCATTGTCATGTCACATTTGTTGACAATGCCTGTCAGGTAAACACGTTTCCATCTTACATAGCTATATATGAATATATGTGGATTCACTGAGTATACTCAACTTCCCATTAACTTGGGATAAGTAAACTATAGTGAGAATAGAAAAAGATATTTTGGAAAAAAATTAGTAGGAGTAAAAAAAAAATACTTACATATTGGAACGTATCTATCGTTTGGCACTGCATAGTAGTAGACAGACCACATGCTCCTCTCCAAGCAACTAGAGATACAACTTCTCCAAAAAGACCTTGATTTCTCAGCCAACAGCCCATCTAGAAAACAAAACAGGGGATTACAGTCTAGACATTGTGGGCCAGGCACAGTGGCTCATGCCTGTAATCCCAGCACTCTGGGAGACCAAGGTGGGAGGATCACTTGAGGCCAAGAGTTTGAGGCCAGCCTAGGCAACATAGTGATCCCCATCTCTACAAAAATGATAATTTAAAAAATTAGCCAGGCATGGTGATGCACACCTGTAGCCACAGCTATTCAGGAGGCTAAGGCAGGAGGATCACTTGAGCCCAGGAAGTCAAGGTTATAGTGAGCTATGATTGTGCCACCGCACTCCAGCCTGGGTGACAAAGCATGACCCTGTCTTAAGAAACAATAAGAATAAAAATAAAAAGATATAGTCATCAGAGATCCCATTCCACACTCAGCAATGGGGACCATGGAGGATGGAGGTAGATAAGGAAGAGGGGTTGGGGAGAAGGAGGATTCAGGCCATGGAGAGTGCTTGGTCTTATCCTGAATTTCAAAACAATGGGCTCAACTAAGAACTAGCAGTTTGGCTGTTTTTCATTTTGGTTTTGTTCTCAAACTATTTTACAGTACTTATACATTCGGATGATGGTTAGAAGAATAAATGTGTTTCTGAATATTGTATGTAATTTTAGCTAGACAAAGAAAGCCTTGGGGTTATATCATTCAAGGATATAACAGCCTAGTCTCTTACACGTGGGCATCTGTTGCTGCTCACTTTCAAGATTCCACTGTGTTTGTGACTTAATTCTACTATTTTGCTGCCACCAACTGATGGATTCCCTCCATGGATCTTTAACCAAATTCCCCAAGAGATGAGATCTGATCAGCTGGCTAGTCAACATCCATTAGCAAGTGTGCTTGTTGGGCCAGCCAGTGAGACGGCTACCTTAGACTCAGGTGCCAACCTGTGACATAGGGCAGCAAGGTCATGTGGGATAAAGCAAGATCATCCATCCAGGCCACCAAAAGAGGCTGTGAGTGTGGCAGGTGCTCGGTATCCCACATCCAGTACAAAAGTGGAAGATTTTACTTAACATTTTCAACAGTACACACGAGTCCCTGAGCTAATCTTTTTAGGAGATAAAGATATGGGAAAGACTTGATTTCTGTCATGTCATTGAGGAATGGTGATAGATGCTGTACAGCTAGGAGACAAGCCAGAGAATGAACGGCAGGGTGGAAGAATGGCAGAGCAAGCAGATGTGGAATGTTAGTTCCCACCTGAGTTAAACATGCAGGTCAATTGCTTAACTCAGGGCCTGTTACACAGTGAGTGCGCAGTAAGTGATAGTTGTTACTATGGAGACAGAAGATAAACCCCCATCCCAGAGCCTCCCAGGCATATTCTTGAGTCCCACCCAGTTATGCTGAATCAAGAAGCGTTGGCAAATGGCACAGCCAGTCTGTAGTGATTCAAATGCTTTTGTAAAGTTAGGGAGAGCAAGGCAGGGGAAAGGTCCAGAGGGGCTGCTGTCATTCCAAACAGTTCTTAACTATTCCCCGAAGGCTGCCCTGAGCAGCCTTGGGAAGCGCAACGTGGGACTCCTCCTCTCTTCCTGGGAACAAGAACTTGGGGAAGCTTTGAGTGGTTTCACATCTCCAGTGCCCTCAGTCCTTTGGTGTGTCAGCAAAACCAGCTGGCACCATACTTTAACAGGGCCCGATTCACATGGCAGTCTTGGGATTTGTGGATTCAGATGAACTCTTGCTGGCTTCTTTCTGGCACCTTCAACTTCTTCAAAGCCATAAACCACAGTGGTTGCTTGAGCTTTTTCCTGAACAGCAAATGGCTTTGTTTTCTTTGTCCCCAGCCCCTATAGAGCTGGCCTTGTGATTACTGTGAGCAGCAGGGGGGCTCATGTTGAGGCCCCCGCCCACTGCTTTGCAGGCAGGGTGACCCTCTGTTCTTAGACATTGTGATTCCCCCCAGATACGTGTGAGTCAAGTTGAATGAATAGCAAGGAATATTTCATGCAGCACACCAGACACTGCTCCTAAAGTTCATTTGGGTCTCAACGTCCAATTGGCCAGTTAATCTTTTCACTGCAAAAAAGATCACCATGACTTTTGAAAAATCACCTTTGAAATATATCCAGGCAGGTTCTCAGCCTTTAAGGAGCACAGAAGCCAGCCCACCAGCCCACCAGGCCCACCAGCAATGCTGCTTAGAGCCCTGATGGAGGCAGGAGCTAGACAGAGGTGGCCGTCCTCAGGAATTGCTTCCTACTGGCCAGGAGAGTTCACTTCAAAGGATGTGAATATGAATTGTATCCTTGTGACTAAATTTGGTTTAACTTCTAACTTGCAAACCATGGCTGATTGTTTATTTTGTTAATGGAGGAGGGGTGCTGTTTTCAGCCACTGCAGAGGCTGGTCAGGGAAGGGGCTTGTGGCTGAGCATCATACTCCTTATCTGAGGGAAGGCATCTGATCCTCCTTCACGGCCCCTCTCCTTCCCAGGGGCCCCACATTGCCACTCCACTTTATTCCTAATTCTTGGCTTGAGCCCCTTCTCTGAGAGAGAAAGGAACATGGCCAGGGAACTAGCATTCCCACCAAATCTTCAAAGCCAGTGGAGGCCACAGAAGAGCTGGTGGGGAGGGGTGGCAGGGAAACTTGATTTCTAAAACAGGGTTGCTAAATACTCCAGACTTGGCTGCTTAGAAAATGCATTGACCTCAAAAGGACAGGACACCCTCCCCTGCCAGGGGAACTTGGGATTTGTTGCTGCTCTGGCTGACTTCTGTGCCCACCTGAACACACAGAGCTTAGGGCTCCCTGTGTTAGAGTCACCACGTAATTTGTTCATCTCTCTGTCATCCAAGATGAAAGTTATTTACTAATGACTCCCTTTTCGTCCCTTTTAATTCACCGGAGGGGCCCTTCTAACCTCTCAATTCAGGCCAGTAGGTTTCCTGAGCTTGGTAAGGATGAGAAAGGAGGAAGCAGTCTTTTTCAGTGCATGTTCTGAAGGCTAGAGACTTGCATGGAGGCCCGTAGACACAAGAGACATGTAAAACCAGCCTCAGGTGCATCATTCTTTTCAAGACTTAGAACATAACAGGCTTAGAGGAATATGCCCAGAAGAACGTGGCTACTCTCTCCCACAGCCACTTTGCATAGGGCTAAGCAAAGGAAATAAAACTAATACTACCACATGGCTGGCACTCTGTGTTTACCCCATGCTAGGTACCACACTAAGTGCTTCCCGTGTAGCATCTCATTTAAATCTTCAAAATAACACCATGATGTAGGCATCATCATTGTCATCAGCATTACTTAGATGAAAAACTGAGGCTCAGAGAAGGTGCATGACCTGCCCAAGGGTGTGCCATCACTAACTGGTTAAGGCAGGATTTGAACCCAGAAAGTCTGCCTTAACCACTCCATGGTCCCCAGTTACAATCTGTTGAATGGATGAATTACAGTCTTTTGCTTCCTTACCCTAATCTCTATTTGGCATATAATATATAAGCCCCACTTATGGCTACTAAACACCTACCCCATGGGCTGCTTCTGCAGGAAGCCCCTTCCCTGTTCTGGGCACGGCCTCTGTTCCCCCAGAGCCCTGCAACCAATTCTACACTGTAATCTAGGGCTGCAGAGAAGTGAGCTGCAGACACTTTTGTTCCTTAGGTAAATTCCATTTCCTTTTCTATTGTCTCAGGCTTCTTAGTGATGTAACATTACACCAAGCATATCCTGCTTTTAAAAAGAAACTTCGATGGAGGTTGGCAAATTACCATTCACAGCTTGGTGAATGATAAAGTCACAAGAGAAGAGTGGAAGCAATGCACCTGGTGTCCGTAATTATAGGCTTGAATGAGGGAGGAAAGAAGGGATGAAGGCAGGCCAAATACAGCTGGGTGTGGGAGACTGGCTCAGAGGGGATTTGAGAGGACTAGGAAACGGAAGGATGTTATAGAGCAAGTACTTTTAATCTCCCTCTATCCCACCCCAGTCTTGCACTCCCACCTTCTGCTCCTTACCTTGGTTTTCTTTTTTTGATCTGTGTTTTTCCTGATCTCAAAGATCTCTTTGTCCATCTTCCCATAACAGCACCAGATGAACTGTGATGATCAAAATAAAAGCTCTTGAGGCATCCTCAAGTCAATCTGTGTTTTGCTTCTTCAGTTGGGTCCTCTGATCTGTATTATGTCTGAAAACATACCAGAACACTCCAAGAATTTACTCCAGAGACAATAACTGAGGGCACTAGAAAACAGAAGTCATGATGTCCACTATCCCTTAAACTAGACTTCTTCAGTTACTCCTTTTAATTTTGAAGTGAAATTAGTATATTTTGTACTTGGAAAATAATCTGATCTCTCAGGACTGCACTGTGGCTATTTAAATTATAATTAAAATGAATGAACATCAGATAAAATTAGAAGTTTAGGCCGGGCACGGTGGCTCATGCCTGTAATCCCAGCACTTTGGGAGGCCAAGGCGGACAGATCACGAGGTCAGGAAATCGAGATCATCCTGGCTAACAAGGTGAAACCCTGTCTCTACTAAAAATACAAAAATTAGCCAGTTGTGGTGGCGGGCGCCTGTAGCCCCAGCTACTTGGGAGGCTGATGCAGGAGAATGGCGTGAACCTGGGAGGCAGAGCTTGCAGTGAGCCGAGATTGTGCTACTGCACTCCAGCCTGGGCAACAGAGCGAGACTCTGTCTCAAAAAAAATAAAGTTTAATTCCTCAGTTGCACTACTTGTACTTCAGGTGCTCAGTAGCCACATGTGGCTTGCAGCTCTCATACTGAACAGTGCAGATATAGACATGGTATGGTTTGGATCTGTGTCCTAGCCCAAATCTCATGTTGATCCCTTGTAATCCCCAGTGTTGGAGGTGGGACCTGGTGGGAGGTGATTGGATCTCGGAGCAGATTTCCCTCTTGGTGCTAATTTCCCTCTTGCTTCTCCTGACAATGAGTAAGTTCTCATGAGATCTGGTTGTTTAAAACTGTGTAGCACCTCCCTGGCCCCCCTACTTGTCTGGCCATGTTAAGACGTGCCTGCTTCCCCTCCACTTTCTGCCATGATTGTAAGCTTCCTGAGGCTTCCCAGAAGCAGAAGCTGCTATGCTTCCTGTAGAGCCTGCAGGAGCATGAGCCAATTAAACCTCTTATCTTTATAAATTACCCAGTCTCAGGTATTTCTTTATAGTGATGCAAGAACAGACTAATGCAGAAAATTGGTACTGAGAGTGGGGTACTGCTATAAAGATACCCAAAAATGCAGAAGGGATTTTGGAACTGGGGAGTGGGCAGAGATTGGAAGAGTGTGGAGGGCTCAGAAGAAGACAGGAAGATGATGAAAAGTTTGGAAATTCCTAGAGACTTGTTGAATTGTTATGACTGAAATGCTGGTAGTGATATGGACAATGAAGCCCAGGCTGAGGAGGCTTCAGATGCAGATGAAGAACTTATTGGGAACTACAGTAAAGATCACTTTTGTTATGCATTAGCAAAGAACTTGGAGGCATTGTGCCCCTGGCCTAAGGATCTGTGGAACTTTGGACTTGTGAGTCGTGATTTAGGGTACCTGGCTAAAGAAATGTCTAACCAGCAAAGCATTCAAGATGTAGCCTTGCTGCTTTTAACAGCCTATGCTGTCATATGTGTGAGGAAATAAATGACCTAAAACTGGAACTTATATTTAAAGATGAAACAGAGCCTAAAAGTTTAAAAAAAAAATTTGCAGCCCAGCCATGTGGTAGAAAAGAAAAGCCCATTTTCAGGGGAAGAATTCAAGCAGGCTGCAGAAATTTGTGTAAGTAATGAGGATCCAAGTGATGATAGCCAAGACTATGGGGGAAAGGCCTTGAAGGCATTTCAAATAACTTCTCAACAGCCTCTCCCATCACAAGCCCTGGCCACAACCAGGACTCTGCTGCTCTGCACAGCCTCAGTACACTGCTCCCTGCATCCCAGCCACTTCAGCTGTAGCCATGGCTAAAAGGGGCCCAGGTACAGCTCAGGCCACTGCTTCAGAGGGTGCAAGCCATAAGCCTTGGTGGCTTCCACATGGTGTTAACCCTGCAGGTGCACAGAATGCAAGAGTTGAGGCTTGAGAGCCTCCACCTAGATTTCAGAGGATGTATGGGAAAGCCTTGATGTCCAGATAGAAGCCTGCTGCAGGGGTGGAGTCCTCATGGAGAACCTCAACTAGGGCAGTGTGGAGGGGAAATGTGGGGTTCATGCCCCCACACAGAGTCTCCACTGAGGGCACTGCCTAGTGGAACTTTGAGAAGAGGGCCACCCTCCTCCAGACCCCACAATGATAGAGCCACTGACAACTTGCACCCTCAGCCTAAAAAGTCTCTGGCAGTCAACACCAGCCTGTGAGAGCAGCCATGGGGGCTGAACCCTGCAAAGCCCAAAGCTTTGGGAGCCCACCCCCTGTACCAGTGTGTCCTGGATATGGGACATGGAGTCAAAGGAGATTATTTTGTTGCTTTAAGGTTTAATGACTGCCCTGCTGGGTTTTATACTTGCATGGGGCCTTGTTTTGGCCAATTTCTCCCTTTTTGAATGGGAGTATTTACCCAATACCTATACCCCATTGTATTCTGGAAGTAACTAACTTGTTTTTGATTTTATAGGCTCATAGGCAGAAGGGCTAGCCTTGTCTTAGGTGAGACTTTGGACTTTGGAAATTTTAGTTAATGCTAGAATGAGTTAAGACTTTGGGGACTGTCGGGAAGGGATGATTGTATTTTGCAATGTGAGAATGACATGAGATTTGGGAGGGGCTGGGGCAGAATGATATCATTTGGATCGGTGTCCCTGCCCAAATCTCATGTTGAATTGTAATCCTCAGTGTTGGAGGTAGGGCCTGGTGGGAGGTGATTGGATTATGGGGGCAGATTTCCCCCTTGGTGCTGTTCTTCTGATAGTGAGTGAATTCTCATTAGATCTGATCACTTAAAAGTGTATAGCAGCTCCCCTTCCACTTCTCCAGCCATGTAAGACGTGCCCACTTCCCCTTTGCTTTCTGCCATGATTGTAAGTTTCCCAAGGTCTCCCAGAAGCAGAAGCCACTATGTTTCCTATACAGCCTGCAGAACCATGAGCCAATTAAACCTCTTTTCTTTATAAATCACCCAGTCTCAGGTATTTCTTTAGAGCAATGCGGGAACAGACTAATACAAAACATTTCCATTATAGCTGAAAGTTCTACTGGACAGTGCTGTCTCAGACACCAGTATTATAGTCTTAATGCTGATGACACTTCATTGGGGCAGAACTTCTAAGGGATATTTAAAACACACAGTTAACAGTAAGATAGATATAAACCCTCCAAGCAGCTCACTCAACACTTTTTGGAAACCACTTAGTGAATGATCCTGTCTTCTATTTCCTTCTCTCTAAGGTAATCTAAGTTCTGAGGGTGAAATACGGGCTCCAAGAATTGCCCTGGCATTAAGGGTTTAGCTTCTGGGACATGTGACATCCTCTGTTCTTGTAGGCATTTGGATGCTGGTTCTATCTCTGCTGATGTCCTTGGGCCAGCTGGGATCTCTGACATGTATGGTCTAGCCTATTTGTTGATGGCATTGACATGTCATATAACTAAGAGACTTCATTCAGTCTGCTGGCCCTTTTAGTCACCTTTGGCACTTTGCAGGGAACAAAAAAAGCTTCTGGATACTCCTGCAGACTACTCTGTATTGAAGTTTCAGACTACTCTGCATTGAGGTCTCAGACCCTTCTGTCTGGTTGCCTCCAAGCTAAAGTTCCCTCACTCTCTAATTCCCTTCAAATTAATCTGTGGTTTCTATTTCCCACTCCCTCTCTTTGACTTAGCTCAGTATGGTGGTCTCTGCACCCATTCTCTAGAGCCCAGAAAACTCTAAGCTCTAGTCACCCATTCTTACATTTCTCTCTATCTGCTGCAGGTCAAATGCTTATTTCCTTTAGGGAGACAAAACATCTCCCTTCTCTTCTTGTGTTCTTCATCCCTATGCAGAGGTCACAAATTCTGAAAAGTGCCAAACAGCAAATATTTTAGGCTTTGCAGGCTATATGGTCTCTGTTGCAACTACTCAGCCCACTGTTCTAAGTGCAAAAGTAACTATAGACAATGGGTAACCAAATGGATATGGCTGTGCTTCAGTAAAACTTAATTACAAAAAAACTTTACCTCCAAAGATTGTAGTTTGCTGACCTCTGGTTTATATTAATAGTATAAAGTTGGGATCCAGGTTCTCTTTGCCCTTAGTATTTAGAAACAAGTTTTCAGAATTTAAAAAAAAGCTCCTGTCTGTGAAAATCAGCTTAATCTACTATAGATTTTTAAAGTCTACTGTTGAACTCAAACACCAAGAATTTTCTTCTTTCTTCTAGGCATATTAGTGGTGCCCTAAAGAGAGGGCACGTAGAAACTCTCCATGGATGTTTGAATGGTAGCAGAAAGGATACAAATAAAAGAATTAGAAAATAGTTAAAATCATAGTATTTCTCAACTACATTCTTATCAAACTGTGATTGTGAAAATTAATGAAAATCAGTATTTTGGAAACTGTGCCTCACACATTGTCAGGCACACAACGAACGTTCAATAAATGCCCACTCTTTCATTCCTGTACCTCTAGGATCAACACTGATGTCATTCAAGCAACAGCTAGAAGACCAACTCTGTCTCCGACTTATTGAGTTGAAATGCATTTATTTTTCCACTGTTATGAAAAAATGCAGATTTTCCCCGAAGAAGCATTTTTTTAATTCATCGCTTTTTCTTAAAGCCACGTGACAGAAAGCCAGGGCCCAGATCCTAAGGAGAGGGACCATCATGGGTCAGTTTTTAAAATGGGAGAAAAGTGTCCCCTGTAAAAAAGTACTACTTGTCCACTTTAGAGGAGAGAATACTAAATATGAAGTGGGAGGGGCTAAAATAAAATTACACCCACTTCCTCTGTACGACTTTCTTGGTTACAAGTGATAGAAATTTAATTCAAACTAGGTTAGGTAAAGGGGGAATTTATTAGTTTGGAGTATCTAAGGCTGAACAACTAAATTGTGGCTGGTCAGGAATGTGGCTGGGCCTCAGAAACAACTGGAGCCGGGCATCTGAATGCTCTCCCTACTCTCCCTGTCCTTCCTTTCTGCAGCACTGTCCAGATCAGCTTCTTCCACATGGGAGGGAAAATGGCTGCTGACGGCTCCCAAGCCTCAATCCCTTCACCCTTGCCACTGGTAAGACAGATTCCTTTTTTCACTTCCAGTTTTTAAAATTCCAGGGAAGGGCTCTGACTGGCTCTGCTGTAGTCATGTGTATACCCAGCCAATGGGAGCCAGGCTGAGGGGTGGGGTCATGGCTGTTACTGCCGTAGCCCCTTGGACAGGAGGCGGCAGGCACAGACATCAATCACTGAGTGTCCTTCGCCTCAGCATTTCCCCTGAGGTTGGTTCTGCACACCTTCATCTTTGTCTCAGCACAGGCCCTGGGCGGCAATGCCTTTTTGTGTTTTTTATGTATAAAGCTATTTGTTACAGTGTTGACTCAAAGCTGATACATTTCTGTTCTCAGGCAAACTGCGGTTTAGGTTGCTGCCTTGGCAGTCCTGGCTGTCCTCACGGAAGAGCATGTGAACCACGGACCTGGCTGTCTTTTTCATTGGGTTGGCTCTGCGGTGCAGGCTGGCAGATGAGCATGTGATGAGCCCGCCCTTGCTGGCCGTGCAATTCGGCTCCTGTCATGCTCTTGGCCATTGAATCGGCCTAATGCAGCCCCTCAGCAGCCAGCCTGGTGTTCCCTGGGGCTGAGGATCTAATGTCAGCAGGGCATGATTCGATTCACATTAAAGATGGATATTAAGTCTTTTTACTCGGGGTCTTGTCAAGAAAAACAAATCTGCCTGCTATCAAAGGCATAGAAAATGCCCCTTACCATGACAGCAGTTAACTATGTTCACTGATATCAAAGAGACTGTCTGTCCCCAAGCCTTGGAGGCAGTTTTGTCAAGGTCAATTCGGCTGATCTTTTTCAACGATAACCCAAAGAGGATTAAGTTAACATCTGACCTTTAAAGAGCTTTATTGTTGGGGAACCAAGCTAATTAAAAAATTAAAAGACTGCTTTTGAAAAATATTTAGACCAAACACTAAGGAAAACATGAACACACTGCTTATAGCAGCAGGAATATTGACAGAAAATCCCCAATGGCAAACTAGCTTTGTTATCACACTGTTGAGCTTAATGTGGGGACTCTGGAATCAAACGAATGGGTTCCAATCCTGGCTCTGCCACTTTCTAGTTTCTAGAAAGTGTTTCTAGAAACACTAGTTTCTAGTTTAGTTTCAAAGTAGGGCAAGTGTCTTGCCTTCTCTGAGCTCTGTTGTCTTATTTGTAAAATCGGGATAATAATAGTAATTATCTATAAGATTATTGCAAGGATTAAATGAGATAGTACATGTAAAGCCTTTTCATTTAGGCTAACTATAAATATTACTGTGGACATTTTCAAGTTTAAACATTTTTAAATTTTGCTTTACCGACTTGTGCCATCATGTTGACAGCTGAATGGAATCTCTTGACAAAGTGGCTGGTTCTCACTATCTCCAGAATTCAGAGAAACATCTAGGTTCTGAGCTGGCTCAGCTTTGGACCAAATGTTACTAGCATAGATATAGCAGCTCTTACACCCCAGCTGCCACTGCACTTGATCATCTGCCCCATTACACATATGACAACTCTGTTTACTACTAAAGCTATCTTGAAGAAATGGAATTGTGAGAATAGGGATGGTAATGTTGTCCAGAAAAAGTTCTCTCTTTTAAGTTCTCCTATAAATACTTTCCAATTCAAGGAGATACTGTTCATTGTTAAATGTTTTCATCCAAAGCAGTGTTCCTCACCCTGGCTTCCGGTTTGCTTTTTCTTTTTCTTTTCTTTTCTCTCTTTTCTTTTCTTCTGTCTCTTTTCTTTTCTGTCCTTTCTTTCTTTTTTCTTTTCTTTTCCTTTCTTTCTTTCTTTTATTCTTTCTTTCCTTCTTTCTTTCTTTTTTCTTTCTTCCTGCCTTCCTGCCTGCCTTCTTTCCTTCCTTCCTTTCCTTCTTTTCTTTTCTTTTTTGACAGCATCTAACTCTGTTACCCAGGCTGGAGCGCAGTGGTGCATAGCTCACTGCAGCTGCAGTCTCAAACTGCTGGGCTCAAGTGATCCTCCTGGCTCAGCCTCCCAAGTAGCTGGGACTACAGGTGCACACCACCACACCTGGCTAATTTAAACTTTTTTTTTTTTTTTTTTTTAAAGACATGAGGTCTTGCTATGATTCCCAGGCTGGTCTCAAATGCCTGTCCTCAAGAATCCTCCCACTTTGGCCTCCCAAAGTGCTGAGATTATAAGCATGAGCCACTGCACCCGCACTTGGCTTGGTTTTCTTTTCATTGGCTTATGTGGTGGTTGGAGTTATCTCTTTTGCATGTTGACAGGTGTCATAAAGCCATAGGAGACTTTGAGATGGCCTGAAAATAAGATCATGGATTTTTCCTGGCAGAGAGTTTAGTTTACTTTCAAACCCCGCTAGCCTTTGCTACTCAAAGCCTGGTTCATAAAACCAGGGCTTTGACTTCACTTAGATGCTTCTTAGAATTGCAGAATCTCTTGCCCCACAGTCTTGCTCTCTCAGGCTGGAGTACAGTAGCACAATCTCAGCTCACTGCAACTTCCACCTCCTGAATTCAGGTGATTCTGGTGTCTCAGCCTCCCAAGTAGCTGGGATTATAGGCATGCACCATCATACCCAGCTACTTTTTGTATTTTTAGTAGAGACAGGTTTTTGCCATGTTGTCCAGGCTGATCTCAGACTCCTGGCCTCAAGTGATCTGCCCATCTTGGCCTCCCAGAATGCTTGGATTACAGGTGTGAGCCACTGCACCGGCCACAATCTGCATTTTAACAAACTTCCCAGGTGGTGCCAATGACATTAAAGTTGCAGCAGCACTGCTCAGGAGCTGTGCATTGGAATCACCTGGAGTACTTGAAAAACTATTGATGCTCAGGTCCCAACCACAAAGACTCCCCCAACTTAACTGGCATTGGGGTTTTAAAAAATTTCTCCAGGTCATTGTAACTAATGCACAAGGTGAGAACTTGTGCTCAAGAGACATTCTTTCTTCTTCCTCCACTTATTTCTACAATTGCTTTTCTCTTAAAGTAAAAATCTCAAGCTACAGTCAAAGTTCATTTCATGTCCATTTTATAGATAATGCCACACAATGTGAAGATTCATTCTGAATTTAAAAAATAACCTTTACAAATATCTTCTGAACCTTTGCCAAGGTCCCCACATCCCTCTTTTATTGTGAGGTCCAGAACTAGACACAGTCCTCCAGTACAGCCCTCAACATCACTGAACAGCAGCACAAGGGATGTTTGTATTCTTCTGAATGAAAGGTACTGTTATAAAGAAAGTCAGAACATTCGAAGGGGGTGGGGGCGGCTTTGATGGCCAAGCAAAAGATTTCCTCATGCCTACACTCAGTCTGGGAGTGAATGAGCCAGTTACATAAGGAGAAAATCCTCCTTCCTAGTGTTGAGCTTTCCTAATTGGAGGACTAAATGTGTCATTATTTAACTAAATAATTAATAAGCTTTCTTGTAATTCATGGATGACTAAACAGATAAACTCACCTGTACCAAACTTTCAGAGAGAGTTCCACTGATTTAATAAATTTGGTTCATGTCATCAGCATAAAAGTCATCTGAACCTTGAGCCTCAAAGACCAGTGACCTCCAAACTTGACAACTCAACTTATAAGAATCAACTCGGCTGCTTACTAAACATATATAGATGTCTGAGCAAAGGTATTTGTGGTTTTTAAAAAACTACATCAATTCTTCTCAAACTTTAATGGGGGTGGTGATGTGGTGAGGGCAGGTCTTGTAAAAAATTTAGACTCCCATCAACAGGTCTGAGTAGGGCCTGAGATTCTGCATTCCTAACGATCTCAAAAGTGATACCGTGCCGCTACTTCATGGACCACACTTTTAGTGGCAAGGCCCTAGACAATTTTGATAATCAGCCAGTTTGGGAACCAGAACTTGAGGCATCATAAATGTTACCTGAAATATGAAAAAGCTAATCTCCGCCTCAATGTTTATCAGCAGCTCAGGGTGCATCAGTGAGTGTTACACAGACGGATACAAAATGTGGGTGGGCAAATTTAATTTCAAACGGTGGAAGAAACCTTATTGAGAATGTTTAATTATGTTCATGCTCCGCTAATACGAGAATAGAGTGGACTCTTAAGTTCCTTTATTTCTCTAGTGATCTATTCTTTAGAGTTCACCAGCAAACACAAAGGCGGGAGGAACCGTTACTTTAAATTCATATTATTTTAGCTGATGTATCTGGAGCACAGTGATAAATTAATCATGACGTCTGGTCTGATTCACAATCATGTTCTAGCCTAATTTACACTTTGCATTTGCAGAACTGAAATGCGATGCATTAAAATGGTCACACACCACGGATTTTTCTCCTCGCTGCACCCATGGAGGGAGGCGCTGTCTCCGCCTTTTCCTGTAAGCACCTGCCCGGGGCCCAAGCCCACAGTGGATGGCTCGTCCAGCTCAGAGAGCGCCCAGGACGCAGTGAGGAAGCAGAATTGGGCGCTCAAGACTCAGACCCGGACTGATGAGCTAAGACTGCTTGCAAGAGGGAGTGGGAGTCGTTAAAAAAATATCCTCGTGGCTTAATGACCAAGGCGGGTTTATTCTCAAGGAAGGGGGAGCGGCGTGGTGGTGTTACTAAACATAACAGATGGCAGCTGTCTGCGGCTATATAGGGCGCGCTGACAAATCCCTCTGGATGGCCACGCGGCGCTGGGCTGCGGGGCCTGGGTGCACTTCGCGCCTGGCTCGGAGGGCGCCGCCTGCGGGAGGACCTCCGGGAGCCGAGCTGCCTCCCCGCAAACCCGGCCCGGGCCCACGCGGGCTCAGGGCGCCAGGCGGGGTGCGCCGAGGTGCAGCTCCCCGGCCCTAGGCTTCGCTGGGGTGGGGGTCGAGGCCTCTCCGCGGGTGGCTCCCTCCACCCTGCCGCCCCGCCTCGCGGCTGGGAGTTGCCCGGGAGCTGTGAATTC
Source organism: Homo sapiens (assembly GCF_000001405.40). Lineage (NCBI taxonomy): Eukaryota > Metazoa > Chordata > Mammalia > Primates > Hominidae > Homo > Homo sapiens. Next base: position 60,328,164 of record NC_000014.9, read on the forward strand.
ACTAGACCAGCATTCACCCAGGGCCTGCGGGGGCTGTGAAAGGATGGGAGGACTCGGCTCCCCAACCCACCTTTACAAAGCCGAAGTGTGGCTGGTGAGGTACCCGACACGCACACACTGCACCGTGATACTGAACCATGCCTGAGTGTGCATTTTGTGCGAAATGGGTCTTAGCCATGATTTCCATGTGGTGAACATCTTTTCCAAACCCCGGATTGAAACACGATTATCAGGTCAATAACATTTTTTCTATGATTTGGAGATTGATTCAGATGGGCAAAATCTTACAAAGTTAATAATCTTATAAAAATCTTACATAATAATCTTAAGTCGCTTTTAGAGAGACATTTAAAAAATATGTCTATTGAAAATAATAAAATTCAGTGAAATTGGACAGGACTGTGGCAGTTGGGGAAGCTTCCTGGAAGATCGGGCAGAAAGAGAGCTTGCCAGTTTGGGCTTGGGATGGGCAAAAACAGAGGGGATTGAGAGTTCTGGGGACTCAATAACGTACATCACTGTGATTTTCAAGCGGCAAATTTCTTTAGAAAGGTAAGGCCAGACAGACTAATGGGAACTGTCCAAGGAGAGGGAACAGAGGAACCCTCTGCACTTTTGGGGCTATGGTCTCTGAAATCGGCTGCAAGGACCACCACCTAGGGGTCGTGTGGTGCATGTCATGTGCTTGGCTTTCTGCAGCAGTGTTGGAGAGTTCCATGGGAAAAGCCTCCTCTCCCCACCCCTCATCATCTCCTCGACCCCTTTCTCAACAAATGTCAGGGACTAAGGCTTCCTTATTTTCTCCTCAATCACCTTGCAGTGCTTTTCACTGAAGGTGAGAAAGGTTGAGGTTCATTCATTCATTTAACAAATGTTTAAGAGCCTTCTATGTGCTAAGCCCAGGTGCTTGGAACCTGAACAAAACAGGTAAGAATCCCTGCCTGCGTGGAGTTTGCAAGAAGCAAGCTACATGGATAAAATCTGTGGACAGTGTCAGCCTGACAATGGGCTGCCTTTGTTTCCTGTAAATAGAATTATTCCTTTTGACTTAACAAGAATTCTGACACACTGAGGGTCCTCCATACATGTGAAGCTATCATTGTGATTATTCAGTAATTGCCAAGAAAAAGGCATACCTGATGGAGGAACCCTTATGTTTGAAAGAATAGAATAAAGTTTTAATTCCTTTTTTATGCATTTATCTGGTGGAGGGTGCTTTGGCCACATGCGAACCTTTCCCCAGTAACGTGGGTTTGTGTAAAGTAGGAGTTTGACTGTGAGGCATTAAGAAACATGGACTTCCTGTCTCCATTTCTGGGAACCCTTAGGTCACATGGAAAATGCAGGGCCTCTGGTACTCAACTTCCCTGGGACCATGTTCTGTTAACCCTACCACCTTTTAAATTCTCCCTCACCCTCATCATGTCCTCACTTCCCTCCTTACACAGCTTCAATTCTGTGGCCAGGTTTTGGAATGATTCCCTTATCTCTGCCACAGGATCCAAGAGCTATGTTTCAATGATTTCCAAAGCCTGAAAGTCATTGTATATCCACCTTAGATAAGCCAGAAGAAACTAACCTACCTTTCAAATTTATTTGCTTTTGGCTACAGCAATAGTAATTTATTATGGTACAGTGGGTAAGTATTTTACCAATTGCTTATTAAGGCTGGAGTGCAATGTCGTGATTACTGCAAACTCCACCTCCTGGGCTCAAGCAATTCTCCTGCCTCAGTCTCCTGAGTAGCTGGGATTACAGGCCTCTGCTACCACGCCTGGCTAATTTTTGTATTTTTAGTAGAGACAGCGTTTCACCATGTTGGCCAGGCTGGTCTGGAACTCCTGACCTCAAGTGATCTGCCCCCTCTCAGGCTCCCAAAGTGCTGGGATTACAGGTGTGAGCCACCACACCCAACTACATTAAGGAGTATTTGGAAGTTCATACAAGAATGCCACATAAGGCCACAATGAATAGTAGGTGTAGTTGACTGTTCTGTCTCTCACATAGACATACAAGCTCACAAATTGACACTCGTGCTTAAGTCAATGAACTCTATTATAAACTCATGTGCACTCATTTTACAAACATGGATTTTTGCATTCTCTTTTAAGCCATCTGTTGCCTATGTAGGATCCTGGTTTTTAAAAATCTCTCATATCATTTTTACAGTGTACAGTTATGGTTGTGTTTACACTTACTCAAGATGATTTAGGGTAGTAAGCATATGGATGAACTTTAAAACTTTTAAATTGTTATGCATATATTTTAAAACATATTTGAAAAAATATGTAGTTTATCAGACTATCATTTCACAGAAAGTAGGATGCAAGCAAGTTTTTAAAAATGGGTTAATAAAAACATGAAGTCACATTGTACTGAGATACAACAAAAATAACACAAGGAATAACAATAATAAATAATAAAATTAATAATAAAAATTAAAAATATCCTAAGTGGTAAGGGATGACCACAATTTAAGTTGCAGATTCATCTATGATTCAGGGGGACCAAAAAAGTCCACTGCGGTTGGCCCTAGAGAAAGGCTCCTTCACGAAGTATGCTCCAGTCTGCCTTTGCCCAACGTTCCATTAGCGCTCACTAGCAGACATATCAAAACAGGTACCAATGACTTAAAAAATTATTTTTCTACAACTCAGGAAAATTCTACCAAACAATTTTATCAGCGGGACACCCTCTGTCCACTCTCTGGACATCTGTGTCTAATGTGATCATGGCTTTAGATCTTCAGAGCTTACAAGCATTAGAAACATGCCAGAAATCTACTCACAGCAAAACTGTTTTTTTAGAAAATCACACAGAATTGAAAACCCGGTTTAAAAAGCTCCATACAAATCATGAGCTATTTATCACTTTCCTTTAATACACTACCATTTTACTCCAAGAGCCCCATTTAACAGAACTTCAAAACTGAAAGTGGATTTATTTACATTTTTTATGAAGAAACAATGGTATATACTCTTAATCACCCAGTGTTTCTCCACGGGGTTGCTAATGGCATTGGCAGAATGTTTAGCATCGCTGGTTCTTGGGTGCTAAATGCCAGTGGCACCCTCCTCCAAGTCTTTGTGACAACCAACGTTGCTCCCTGACATGCACGTGCGCGCGCTAGCGCACACACACACACACACACTCTCTCTCTCTCTCTCTCTCTCTCTACCTGCCCTCAGTGGGGCAGTACTGCCCTCGCTTGAGAACCCAAACTGCCTTATGCTGAAAAGAAACCTGAGACCCAGGGAAGAGAAGGGCAGTAGGGATTTGCCCAAGACCTACACCAAACTGGTATTGTGTTCGGCTTTCAGGCTGCAAAGAAGAAAGCGTTCAGACCATCTCAGATGTGGGGGGATTATAGAAAGTTTACACGGTGCAGGCTGGCGGGTGTGTGGTGAGGAGACCCAGAAAACCATTTCAGGGATCTCCCAGCCAGGCCTAATGGAGAAGAAGAAGACTTTTTCTCACTGTTGCAAGTTCAACAGCAGATGTGAGGTCTCAGGGGCTGCTCTGGGGACTTGGCCGCTTTGTCACCCGTGCCGGAAGCTCACAGGCCCCGGAGATCCCGCCTTCTGACTGCATCGCCCTCTGCCTTATTTTTTCTGCTTTGCTTCCCCTCAAACTGTTTCCTTACTGCCTCTGTCCCTACTCCTTTCTTTCTGGTTGTTTTACGTTCACAGTTTCCTCAAGAAAATACAAACAGAATCATTAAATATCACCAATACACAGAATCCCTTTGGAACGGAGTTTTTTTTGCCAGGCTACCCGAGAAGCCGCTGGTACCATCCAAGGCTGCTTTGGGCTAGAGCCAACAGCTTATTTTCTCCAGCAGGGGGCAGCATCGCTCGTTGGCATCTTGAGGTTCACTACTCAAGGTGGGCTTTGAAGTCAGATTGCCTGGGTTTGAAAGCCAGCTCCATAAGCCCCTGTGTAACTTCAGCTGCCTGTGCCTCCGTTTCTCATTTGTAAATTGACACATTAATAATAAAATGACTTCAAAAGATTTGTGTTTATGTGTGCTGGCAGGGGAAGGAAGTTTAAATGAGAAGGCATTAAAAATAACTCAAAATACAATGACAATCTTCATACAAGTAGAAAAAACAAATTATTTTGTCGTTCTTAAAATTTATGTAGAACCACTGTACTGGCATAACAACAGACACATAGATCAATGGAACAGAATAGAGAACTCAGATACCACCCATGCATTTACAGACAGCTCATTTCAGAATTACCATATGATTGAGCAATTCCACTAGTGGGTATGTATCCAAAAGAAAAAAAAAATTAAGGCCTGGTGCAGTGGCTCACACCTGTAATCCCAGCAATTTGGGAGGCCGAGGTGGGCAGATCACTTGAGCCCAGGAGTTCACGACCAGGCTGGGCAACATAGTGAAACCCCATCTCTACAAAAAAAATACAAAAATTAGTCAGGTGTAGTGGCGTCCATCTGTAGTTCCAGCTACTCGGGAGGCTGAGGTGAGAGACTCGCTTGAGCCCAGGAGGTGAGGCTGCAGTGAGCTGAGATCATGCCACTGCACTCCAGCCTGGGTGACAGGGTGAGACTCTGTCTTAAAAAAATAAAAAAAGAAAAAGAAAGAAAGAAAGAGAGAGAGAGAAAGAAAGAAAAAGAAAGAAAGAAAGAGAGACGGAAAAAGAAAGAGAGAGAGAAAGAAAGAAAAAAAAAAGATAGATCAGTATATCAAAGAAATATCTGCACTCCCACCTTTAGACAAAGGTGCCGAGAACATACAATGAGGAAAGAACAATCTCTTCAATAAATGGTGCTGGGAAAACTGGATAACCACATGCAGAAGAATGAAACCAGATCCCTATCTCTCACCATATACAAAAATGAAAGCAAAATGGATCAAAGCCTTAAATCTAAAACCTGAAACTATGAAACGACTAGTAAAAAACGTTGGGGAAATGCTCCAGGACGTCGGTCTGGGTGAAGACTTTTTTGTATAAGACTTCAAAGGCAGAAAAGAAAAAAAAATAGACAAATGGGATTACATCAGGCTAAAAAACTTCTGCACAGCAAAAGAAACTATCAACACAGAGACAACCAACAGAATGGGAGAAAATATTTGCAAACTATCCATCTGATAAGGAATTAGTAACCAGAATATATAAAGAGCTCAAACAACTCAATAGGAAAAAAACCCCAATAATTCTATTTAAAAATGAGCAAAAGATTTGAATAGACATTTCTCAAAAGAAGATATATAAATGGCCAAAAGGTATATGAAAAAGTGTTCAACCTCACTAATCAGGAAAATGCAAATCAACACCACAATGAGATGTCTCACACAGAATGGCTATCACGAAAAAAATATCAGGGAATAATAGATGCTGGCAAGGATGTAGTTAAAAGGGAATACTCATACATTGTTAGTTCAAATGAAAATTAGTACAGCCACTATGGAAAACAGCATGGAGGTTCCTGAAAAAACTAAAAATAGAACTACCATATGATTTAGCAATTCCAATAGTGGGTCTACATCCAAAATAAAGGAAATAAATATATCAAAGAGATATCTGCACTACCATGTTTACTGCAGCACTACTCACAATAGCCAAGATATGAAATCAACCTAAGTATCCATCAGTGGATGAATGGATAAAGAAAATGTGGTTTATGCACACAGTAGAATAGTACTCAGCCATAAAGAAGAATGCAATCCTGTCATTTGCAGCAACATGGACGGAACTGGAGACCATTATGTTAAGCAAAATAAGCCAAGCACAGAAACACAAATACTGCATGCCCTTACTCATATGTGAAGCTAAAAAAGTGGGTCTCATGAAGATAAACAGATTGGGGTCAGGCATGCAGTGGCTCATGCCTGTAATCCCAGCACTTGGGAGGCCAAGGCAGGCAGATCACCTGAGGTCAGGAGTTCGAGACCAGCCTGGCCAATGTGGTGAAACCCCGTCTCTACTAAAAATACAAAAATTAGCCAGGTGTGGTGGCGTGCACCTGTAGTCCCAGGTACTTGGGAGGCTGAGGCAGGAGAATTGCTTGTACCCGGGAAGGCAGAGGTTACAGTGAACCAAAATCATGCCACTGCATTCCAGCATGGGCAACAGAGAGAGACTCCAACTCAGAAAAAAAAAAAAAGAGTAGATTGGTGGTTACCAGATGCCAGGACAGTGAGAGTGGAAGAGGAGTTGAAGAGAGGTTGATTAATGGGTAGAAATATACACTTGGATAGAAGAAATAAGACCTAGTGTTTGATAGATCAGTAGGTTGACCACAGTTAACATTAATTGATTGTACATTTCAAAATAGCTAGAAGAGAATAATTCAAATGCTTCTAGCATAAAGAAAAGATCAATATTTAAAATGATGGATATCCCAATTACCCTGACTTGATTATATGAATCAAATTATCACATGTACCCTCAAAATACATACATCTAATATGTATCAATAAAAACAATTATTTTTTAAAAGTACTTAGCATTTAGTATTTGATGAACATTAGCTGTTGTTTTTGTTGCTGCTATTGTTATTATTAAAGAGAAAGTGGTTGTTGTTAATACTGTTATTAAGTAGAACGTTTAGAGCTTCTATTTCCTGACTACCCTCACCCCCACTCTGAGTGCTTTTCAGACTTTTCCATTCAAGTTCCTCTGCTGGCTGAAGGCAGTAAAGATGCAGACTCCAGAAGGATCAAGGGGAGGGGAGGTTCCAGGTGTCCTTGTGCAATCCTGAAATTTCTTTGAAACCACTTGCTTTCCTCTGTTTTATATTATGTCACAAATCATTTATACACTATAGATTAGATGTGCTTTTTAATATGCTATTCCTTAATATAGTCATGTCTCCTTCCATGTAAAATGCTTTAAATTATATAGCAGGTCAAATGTTTAAATTTTGTCCAAAAAAATCTTTAAGGAAAATTGGTATCCAGGGAGAGTCACCATATTTCTCTCCAAGCGCATACCTGGAGGTCATAACCCATTCCAGGTCACCACAATTCTCATGCCTTCATGGTTGGAGGTTTTCTTCCAGGAACATCAAATAGAAAGACATAGAGTCAGTCATTAAATTGTCAAATATTTATTAAACTTTATTTTGGGGAAGACATATAGTAAACAGTACAGAGGATTCAACCACACACCACCTTTGTGCTCCAAGAGTTTATCATATTTAAGCATACTAGTGATGTCTTCTGTATGTAACCCACATTTCTCAGCTTTCCCCAGTTGGTGAGGAGGTGATCAATTTTCTTGGGCGCTCCCACCACATTTCCTGCAATTTGGTTTTGATTATAGCTGTATACTTCCAAACCCAAGTTGGACAAGGATAAAATCTTTTTCACAGGAGGATCCCCAGCCCTTATGTAAATCAGTGAATACAAACAACTTGGCTACCTCTTCCAGTTCTATGCATGTACCATACTGTCTCATCTCTGAGCCTTGCCATGTTGTCTCCTCTGCCTGTCTTATCTCTTCCCTCTCCCTTCCTCAGGCCATTTACTGAGTAATTCTTATTGTTCCTTCAGGTCTCCCTGCTGCCCCCCAGTTATGAACTGGGTGCTCCTCGTCTGTTCTCACAGAAACCTCTCAACTGTCCCTTCTCACTGTTATACTTTGTTGCGCTTACTTGTTTGATGGTCTCTCTCCCCTGGAAGATTTCATCCCATAAGCGTGGAAACTATAACTGTGAAAAGCCAGCACTTGCCTAATGTCCAACAGAAACTTCACTGCCATTTGTTGAATGAATGGTGGATGTGGCTTAGCTCCACTTTCCAGAAATCTTCCGTGTCATAGAGGAAAGAAATAGCTGTGTGAGCAGGACATCTTCTTCTAATCTAAGTCATGTTCATGTGAGCAAAATGGCCAAATTGTGGTACAGCCAATCTGGGAAGCTTTGGACCATCTTAGCAAACAATTCAATTCCTCTTCCAACCAATATCAGTGAAAGAGAGACTGGTTGATAATGCAGTCTTACTCTTCAAAACAGAAGGTCTGTGATTTACTTAGTCATGGTGTGATAACGCTGCCTTTGATAACTAATGCTTGACCTAGGAGGATTTGAACTTAGGAAGCCCTTAGTTTGCAACATATATATATAGAGATTATAAATCATTCTATTATATATATATAAATATATATATATAGCAACATATATCTATCTATCTATCTATCTATCTATCTATCTATCTATCTATCTATCTGTCTATCCTCTAAGTTCTGGGGTACATGTGCAGAATGTGCAGGTTTGTTACATAGGTATACACGTGCCATGGTGGTTTGCTGCACCCATCAACCTGTCATCTACATTAGGTATTTCTCCTAATGTTATCCCTCCCCTAGCCCCCCACCCCCTGACAGGCCCCAGTGTGTAATGTTCTCCTCCCTATATCCATGTGTTCTCATAGTTCAACTCCCACTTATGAGTGAGAACATGCAGTGTTTGGTTTTCTGTTCTTGTGAGAGTGTGCTGAGAATGATGGTTTCCAGCTTCATCCATGTCCCTGCAAATGACATGAACCTATCCCTTTTTATGGCTGCATAGTATTCCATGGTGTATATGTGCCACATTTTCTTAATCCAGGCTATTATTGATGGACATCTGGGTTGGTTCCAAGTCTTTGCTATTGTGAATAGTGCCACACTGTGCATGTGTCTTTATAGTAGAATGATTTATAATCCTTTGGGTATATACCCAGTAATGGGATCGCTGGGTCAAATGGTATTTCTAGTTCTAGATCCTTGAGGAATCGCCACACTGTCTTCCACAATGGTTGAACTAGTTTACAGTCCCACCAACAGTGTAAAAGCGTCCCTATTTCTCCACATCCTCTCCAGCATCTGTTGTCTCCTGACTTTTTAATGATCGCCATTCTAACTGGTGTGAGATGGTATCTCATTGTGGTTTTGATTTGCATTTCTCTGATGGCCAGTGATGATGAGCATTTTTTCATATGTCTGTTGGCTGCATAAATGTCTTCTTTTGAGAAGTGTCTGTTCACATCCTTTGCCCAGTTTTTGATGGGGTTGTTTGTTATTTTCTTGTAAATTTGTTTAGGTTCTTTGTAGATTCTAGATATTAGCCCTTTGTCAGACGGGTAGATTGCAAAATTATTCTCCCATTCTGTAGGTTGCCTGTTCACTCTGATGATAGTTTCTTTTGCTGTGCAGAAGCTCTTTAGTTTCATTAGATCCCAATTGTCAATTTTGGCTTTTGTTGCCATTGCTTTTGGTGTCTTAGACATGACGTCTTTGCCCATGCCTATGTCCTGAATGGTATTGCCCAGGTTTTCTTCTAGGATTTTTGTGGTCCTGGATCTTACATTTAAGTCTTTGATTCATCCTGAGTTGATTTTTGTATAAGGTGTATGGAAGGGATCCAGTTTCAGTTTTCTTCTGCATATGGCTAGCCAGTTTTCCCAACACCATTTATTAAATAGGGAATCTTTTTCCCATTGCTTGTTTGTGTCAGGTTTGTCAAAGATCAGAAGGTTGTAGATGTGTGGTGTTATTTCTGAGGCCTCTATTCTGTTCCATTGGTCTATGTATCTGTTTTGGTACCAGTACCATGCTGTTTTGGTTACTGTGTAGCCTTGTAGTGTAGTTTGAAGTCAGAGAGTGTGATGCCTCCGGCTTTGTTCTTCTTGCCCAGGATTGTCTTGGCTATGAGGGCTCTTTTTTGGTTCCATATGAAATTTAAAGTAGTTTTTTCCAATTCTGTGAAGAAAATCATTGGTAGCTTAATGGGGATAGCATTGAATCTATAAATTACTTTGGGCAGTATGGCCATTTTCACAATATTGATTCTTCCTATCCATGAGCATGGAATGTTTTTCCATTTGTTTGTGCCTTCTCTTATTTCCTTGAGCAGTGGTTTGTAGTTCTCTTGGAAGAGGTCCTTCACATCCCTTGTAAGTTGGATTCCTAGATATTTTATTTTTTGTAGCAATTGTGAATGGGAGTTCACTCATGATTTGGCTGTCTGTTATTGGTGTGTAGAATGCTTGTGATTTTTACACATTGATTGTATCCTGAGACTTTGCTCAAGTTGCTTATCGGCTTAAGGAGATTTTGGGCTGAGACCTCTAATAGTAAAGCTCCCCTTCTGATAGATTTGCCAGTGTAAAGCTGTTAGAGTAGCTGTCAATAAACTCAGCAAGTTTGTAAATGGCCCAGAGAAGCATAGTATTGGGCAAACAGCAGCAGAGAGAAAAGAAGGAGATGTAGTTCCAACTCCATCACCTCACCTTTCTGCACCCCACTTCTCTAGAAAGAGGAGCAGGATGGAATGAGCTCTGCTTATGCTGAAATCTTATTACCATGCCAAGTAAAGGTGCATTCCAGGCCAGCATTTGGCAGTAACAAAGATGACTGCACCTGAGCTTTCAGGGACGTGGGGCCTCACAATAGTTCGGAGTCTAGGTATCAGAGAAGCAAACTTGGGTTTGATGCCCTGAGTGAGCCTCTTACTCACCTGTCACCCATAGACAATTCTTTTGCATAAGCCTTAGTTTCCTCATTTGTAAAATGCAGATGATAATATTACCTGCCTCATTGGATTGTTATGCTTAAATGAGAGAAATTCTTATAGATAAAGCACTCAGAACACTGGCAGGTCATGGTGCAGTCTCAATAAATGTTTGCTGTTTTAGTTAAGTGAATGTACACAGACTGTAATACTTCTATATTCTCATAATATATATGTGCTTCTTAAGTTAGAGTGACAAACAGGGCTATCACCATTAGTAATAAAGCCTTTCTCACAGGGCAGCATGTTTCTGTGCCCAGATTGTCTATGGTTTTGACCAGCACCCACTTCTCAAACACACATGAAAGCTGCTGTCAGTGGTATTGAGAATCCTGCCTCGATAGGAAATATTAACTCCCATTATTTCCATTTTAAGGAAGCATTTTTGGAAGTCAAGTAATTGCACAGCATTTTGAACTATCTCATAAGCTGTGGCATTTGACGGCAAAAATTGGAATACCTAGAAATTATTTCTTTTAAAGAAAGGAAACCATGGCGATTATTTATTTATTTTTATAGCATCACAGTGTATTGTAAAAGTAAGAACTCTTTTTGAAACTTATTTTTAGGAAGGGATTTTTTCTTTGTCAATGAAGCTATATACCTTACATTATTGCAGAATTCCTGGCAATATATTCTAGCTAGAATTGTTACTTTTTGGCAGAGTCACATAGGGACTCAAGGCCAAAAGTAAAGAACATGTGATGGAAGGAAATCCATTTCCACGTCTTTGACCGATAAGACCCAGAAGATCTTTAAGGGATTTTCTCATCTAGTTTAGGTACACAAGTGGATTGGAAGCATGTTTGGGTTTTCAGATACTGCAAAGACTAGGAGGCACTTAGCTTACCCTTTAAATCAATTTGCCTATGTTTTTGTTAGATGATAACTATAATTTGTTACATGATTAACTATTTGCTATGATAATTTAAAAATGAAAGCAAGAAACCATTTTCAATTCCAAGTGGCATTTCAAGTCCTTCTTTTAAACATCCCCCTTTTCCCTGCCCACCTCCCGGAATAGAGATGAGAGTCAGTAAATGCTACCCAGGTTTGTCACTGATAGCAGTGAGTCACTCACACAGCTTCCTTGGTGATGAAATTCCTTCTTATATTGGTATTGAATGGTTTTAGCAGTAAAAATGGTTGTTGCCAACTTTATTGGAAATTGTGACTACTAATGGAATTGTTATGGATTGTTATGCTTAAATGAGAGTAATACTTATAGATAAAGCACTCGGAACAGTGGCAGCTCATGGTGCAGTCTCAATAAAGGTTTGTTGTTTTACATGCCAGAATCTCTGGGACACATTCAAAGCAGTGTGTAGAGGGAAATTTATAGCACTAAATGCCCAAAAGAGAAAGCAGGAAAGATCTAAAACTGACATCCTAACATCACAATTAAAAGAACTAGAGAAGCAAGAGCAAACACATTCAAAAGCTAGTAGAAGGCAAGAAATAACTAAGATCAGAGCAGAACTGAAGGAAATAGAGACACAAAAAAACCGTTCAAAAAAATCAATGAATCCAGGAGCTGGTTTTTTGAAAAGATCAACAAAATTGATAGACCGCCAGCAAGATAATAAAGAAGAAAAGAGAGAATAATCAAATAGATGCAATAAAAAATGATAAAGGGGATATCACCACCAATCCCACAGAAATACAAACTACCATCAGAGAATACTATAAACACCTCTACGCAAATAAACTAGAAAATCTAGAAGAAATGGATAAATTCCTCAACACATACACCCTCCCAAGACTAAACCAGAAAGAAGTGGAATCTCTGAATAGACCAATAACAAGCTCTGAAATTGAGGCAATAATTAATAGCTTACCAACCAAAAAAAGTCCAGGACCAGATGGATTCACAGCCGAATTCTACCAGAGGTATGAGGAGGAGCTGGTACCATTCCTTCTGAAACTATTCCAATCAATAGAAAAAGAGGGAATCCTCCCTAACTCATTTTATGAGGCCAGCATCATCCTGATACCAAAGCCTGGCAGAGACACAACAAAAAAAGAGAATTTTAGAACAATATCTCTGATGAACATCCATGCAAAAATCCTCAATAAAATACTGGCAAACTGAATCCAGCAGCACATTAAGAAACTTATCCACCATGATCAAGTGGGCTTCATCCCTGGGATGCAAGGCTGGTTCAACATACGCAAATCAATAAACATAATCCAGCATATAAACAGAACCAACGACAAAAACCATATGATTATCTCAATAGATGCAGAAAAGGCCTTTGATAAAATTCAACAACCCTTCATGCTAAAAACTCTTAATATGTTAGGTATTGATGGGACATATCTCAAAATAACAAGAGCTATTTATGACAAACCCACAGCCAATATCATACTGAATGGGCAAAAACTGGAAGCATTCCCTTTGAAAACTGGCACAAGACAGGGATGCCCTCTCTCACCACTCCTATTCAACATAGTGTTGGAATTTCTGGCCAGGGCAATCAGGCAGGAGAAAGAAATAAAGGGTATTCAATTAGGAAAAGAGGAAGTCAAATTGTCCCTGTTTGCAGATGACATGATTGTATATCTAGAAAACCCCATCGTCTCAGCCCAAAATCTCCTGAAGCTGATAGGCGACTTCAGTAAAGTCTCAGGATACAAAATCAATGGCAAAAATCACAAGCATCCTATACACCAATAATAGACAAACAGAGAGCCAAATCATGAGTGAACTCCCATTCACAATTACTACAAAGAAAATAAAACACCTAGGGATCCAACTTACAAAGGATGTGAAGGACCTCTTCAAGGAGAACTACAAACCACTGCTCAATGAAATAAAGGAGGACACAAACAAATGGAAGAACATTCCATGCTCATGGATAGGAAGAATCAATATCATGAAAATGGCCATACTGCCCAAAGTAATTCACAGAGTCAATGCTATCCCCATCAAGCTACCAATGACTTTCTTCACAGGATTGGAAAAAACTACTTTAAAGTTCATATGGAACCAAAAAAGAGCCCACATTGCCAAGTCAATCCTAAGCCAAAAGAACAAAGCTGGAGGCATCACACTACCTGACTTCAAACTATACTACAAGGCTACAGTAACCAAAACAGCATGGTACTGGTACCAAAACAGAGATATAGACCAATGGAACAGAACAGAGCCCTCAGAAATAATGCCGCATATCTACAACCATCTGATCTTTGACAAACCTGACAAAAACAAGCAATGGGGAAAGGATTCCCTATTTAATAAATGATGCTGGGAAAACTGGCTAGCCATAGGTAGAAAGCTGAAACTGGATCCCTTCCTTACACCTTATACAAAAATTAATTCAAGATGGATCAGAGACTTAAATGTTGGACCTAAAACCATAAAAACCCTAGAAGAAAACCTAGGCAATACCATTCAGGACATAGGCATGGGCAAGGACTTCATGTCTAAAACACCAAAAGCAATGGCAACAAAAGCAAAAATTGACAATTGGGATCTAATGAAACTAAAGAGCTTTTGCACAGCAAAAGAAACTACCAGCAGTGTAAACAGGCAACCTACAGAATGGAAGAAAATTTTTGCAATCTACTCATCTGACAAAGGGCTAATATCCAGAATCTACAATGAACTCAAACAAATGTACAAGAAAAAAACAGCCCCATCAAAAAGTGGGTGAAGGATATGAACAGACAGTTCTCAAAAGAAGACATTTATGCAGCCAACAGACACATGAAAAAATGCTCATCATCACTGGCCATCAGAGAAATGCAAATCAAAACCACAATGAGATACCATCTCACACCAGTTAGAATGGCGATCATTAAAAAGTCAGGAAACAACAGGTGCTGGAGAGGATGTGGAGATTTAGGAACACTTTTACACTGTTGGTGGGACTGTAAACTAGTTCAACCATTGTGGAAGTCAGTGTGGCGATTCCTCAGGGTTCTTGACTAGAAATGCCATTTGACCCAGCAATCCTATTACTGGGTATATACCCAAAGGATTATAAATCATGCTGCTATAAAGACACATGCACACGTATGTTTATTGCGGCACTATTCACAATAGCAAAGACTTGGAACCAAGCCAAATGTCCAACAATGATAGACTGGATTAAGAAAATGTGGCACACATACACCATGGAATACTATGCAGCCATAAAAAATGAGTTCATGTCCTTTGTAGGGACATGGATGAAGCTGGAAACCATCATTCTCAGCAAACTATCGTAAGGACAAAAAACCAAACACCGCATGTTCTCACTCATAGGTGGGAACTGAACAATGAGAACACATGGACACAGGAAGGGGAACATCACACACCGGGGCCTGTTGTGGGATGGGGGGAGCAGGGAGGGATAGCATTAGGAGATATACCTAATGTTAAATGACGAGTTGATGGGTGCAGCACACCAACATGGCACATGTATACATATGTAACAAACCTGCACATTATGCACATGTACCCTAAAACTTGAAGTATAATAAAAAAAAGTTTGTTGTTTTAGTTAAGTGAATATTTAAGCTACAGATTTCCAATAGGCCTGTGTCCATTTTTATTCTTTTTTATGCTTTCATAGAAGCAAAATGTAAACTTAATATTTTTACAAGTTTTGACCATTAATGGCATTATTATTTTTGTACCACAGCCCAAACCGTAAAATTTTACATGATTTCAATCAGTTTCCCCGGCTCTTCTCACTTCTCAGGGCCTTCTTAGGGGCAAGCATGGTTCTATTTGTCAACCTGCCCCATACACTTACCCACAGAATTAAGCATACACTTCTCAGACCCAGTCTCTTTCTGTGCGACATATCTTGAACCACCCCCCTTACCTGGACTCCTTTTGTCTCAGCTCTGTACCACAGCAAAGTGGACTGTGAACAGGAGGCAACTTCCCCTGCTACAAGCTCTGCCTCCTCTCTAAATCTTGAATACCTTGCCCCCATCTCCATCTGTGAAGATCCGAGCCACCTTCCTTGTTAAGAGCCACGATTTTTCTCTGCTTACTCTGTGTCAGGTGTTGTCCTTAGCACATCATAGTGCATCATCTTGTGTAATCCCCACCACAACCTAGGAAGTGGGAAATACCACGATGTATTTTACAGATGGGAATCTAAAGCAGAGAAAAGTAAATTTGCACCAGGTCACGCTGCTGGTGTGTGGGTTGGAGTCAGGACTGAAACCCAGATCTGTGGATTCCATGCCCAAACCACTGTGCTGCTTTAGACCTTTCTCAAGAGCTATCTTAGCCATACAGCTTTGCTTCATTCCCCAACCGGTTTTTACAGATCACACTTTAGAACCGGAGAGTGGAGACTATTTTCTGTTTAATTTCAATGCCCTCTTGCAGCACCTCACACTAGCCCTTTCACATAATGGGAGTTCAGTACATACTTGTTAAATTAAATTTACCTAGAAAACAATTAGTCACAAAACTTCATGGTCTTGACAGTAAACTCAGAAGTTCAGAGACCATGGGCAGTTACAGAAGGCTTATGTGGACGTGGAACTCGGTTAGGCTTTGATTACCTGGGTGGATTTGGTGAGTGAGAAGGAAAGGAGGGTCTACTCCACATGTGGAGATCACCTAAAGGAAGTCAAGGGAGGAGGAAAGATCATGGCATACCAGAGGAACCGTGAAAAAAGCAGTGCCTAGTAGACACAATGACTTAATGTGCTTTGGGGAAGGATATGAGATTGGGCAGATTAAATAGGCTTTATGGATTATGGAACGATTCGAGTGCCAGGCAAAGAACTGTGGGCCTAATGCTTGCTGATGATTTAGATATTCTTCTGTGACATTGTGTTCCTGACATTCATCTATGTGGTGTGTAATTTTAGTTCATTCATTTTTAATACTATATAATATTCCATTGTGTGACTATATCGCAATTTATCTATACTAATATGGTTGAACATTTGGGCTTTTTTCCTAGTTTTTTTACTATTATGAATGTTGCTGCTGTGAATATTCTTTTATGTGTTTCCTAGTGCATATATACCATTTCCCCTTGTGTATATATATATATCTAATGGCTAGGTCGTGTGACATGCATGTCTTCAACTTTTTTGATAAGGGCAAATCATTTTCCCAAGTGGTTGTGACAATTTACACCCCACCAGCAGTGCATGAGTTTCTGTTTTTCCATATTCTTGCCAATGCTTGGTTTGGTCATACTTTAAAATTTTTGCCTACTTGGGGGATGTGAAATGTTATCTCACATTTTCATTTCTTTATGGTATTTTGAGATAAGAAGTTCTTTTTATTGTGGGTCTTTTCCCTCCATAGTTTATGCTTTTAGTCTCTTCTTTAAGAAACAGTTTCCCATCACCACGTTATGAAGATATTTATCTTCTTAAAGCTTTATAGTTTTGCCGTTCACATTTAAGTCTCTAATCCACCTGAAATTTCATTTAGATGTAGGTATGAGAGTATTTTCTTTTTTTTCTACACTCCTTTCATGTTTGGTAAACTGTTAAAAGTGAGGAAGTCTGGTGTTTAATCTCTGTGGAATTTTTAAACTACTAATTCAATTTCCTTAATGGGTATAGAACCATTCATGTTTTTATTTTTTCTTAAGTCAGTTTTATGGCTTATATTTTTCCTTAGAACCGATCCATTTCTCCTAAGTTTTCCAATGTATTTGCAAACAGTTGTTCATAATGTCCTCATATTTTTTTAAAAATCTCTGCAGCATCTGCAGCTATGTTTCCTTCTTATTCCTGATATTGCTTACATGTGTTCTCCATTTTTTCACTTTATCAATCTTTGTGGAAGTTTGCAACTTACCAGTATTTTCAAATAGTCAGTTTCAGCTTCGTTGATTCTCTATATTTTTCCATCTGTTTTTGATTGCACTAATTTATGCTCTTTAATATTTTTCCCTACTTTCTCAATTTATTCTGTTGCTTTTTCTGACTTCTAATGTTCAGTCTTTCTTCTTTTCTGAATAAGTGTTAGAAACTATAAATTTTCCCATAATTATCAATTTAGCTTTATATCACAAGTTTTGAAATGTAGTATTTTGTTGTCATTCCATTTTCAATATTTTCTCATTTTAATTATAATTTCTTACTTGGCCTATAAGTTATTTAAGTGTGTTTCTTTCTTTGTTTTATTCTTCAATGTTCAGTTAACTCATATTTAAAAGATCAAATTCCCCTAAATTTTTATACCATTTGCATACTCACAGTCCCTTAGACCTTTCAAACCACAACTGTAAGTTGAGTATATCTAATTATCTCAAATACTTCAAACACCCAAAATACAGATTTATACATCAAAATCAACAAAAGCTTCCTAAGTATGTAAATCTAGTAAGTTAGACATCAATTCTGCAGTTCAAATTCTCTTAACTATTTTATCTGAAAACCACAGGTCAAGCATAACAAAGAGCACACAATGATAGTAGAACTCATTAGTATATAAAAGTGTAATTATAATTTTTAAAAATACCTTTCTTAAGACTGTAAATTTATTCATACAAAAAAATAGGACAGAATTGCCTTCCTAAACCCACTGAGGTTACTCTATCACCTTGCTACTCAAAGTATGGTCTACAGACCAGCAGCACCAAAATCAGCTAAGAATTTGTTAGAAATGCAGATTCTCAGGCCCACCCGAAACCTCCTAAGTCAGAATCCTTATTTTAATAAGATCTCCAGGTGGCTTGCAGGCACATCTAACATTTGAGGAACACTGATTTCCAATACTCAGTACGGTAATACAAGTGTGGGAAAAGGCAATTAGGTGACAACTCTGTACTGTAACAGGTCAAAGAAATTAAAACTCCTGGGTGGACCTCCCAAGACTAAACTAGGTGCTCTTAGAGTGAGTTCTTTCCATTCTCAAATTTTGTCTGGCACACCAGACATCTGGCTTTCAGATGAGATACAACCAATCACGTAAGTTTTCTTTCTTTGCAACATAGGGCTTTCTCTGAAATTTCCCGTTTAATCTGTATTATAACCTCCTACATTAAGACCTGGTGTGTCTCAGTGGAAGTCTGGACACACGATTCATGCTGCAAGTGTGCACCTCTTCCCTTTCATAATCTAATATGTGTCATTGATATTCATTCTCATGTGACAGTGTGGTTCTAAAGGAGTCTGGGAACAGGCTGCAAGAAGGGAAATGGTTGTTGAGCCAGGCCTAATAGAAGGCCGTGTCTGGCAGCTGTCAGGAAGCAGAGGGAAGTTCCAGGCATTCCCAGTGGGCAACCCCATTTCCCTCTTTCCACACCTCCAGGCCCTGAAAATGCATAGGTGAAAATGGATAGGCAGAAAGGAAAACGGAAGCAAGAACTAAAGCTCCCTTGTCTGAGGCTAGAATATTTACTTGACAGAGTCAGCCAGTGTTGATCTTGATTTCCTGTGCCAAGTGAGCATGTGTTAGCTGCTGCCCAATGAGAAACATTAATGTCAGCAAGAGATTATATTTCCATTTCAGTTGCCCTTTTCACCAATATACAAGAAGTAAGTCATATGGCAAGGTCAATTAATTGTTGGTCTAACTCATTGTTATAATTATCCTCCCCTAAGGAAGAAAAATTGGTCACTGGGAATAAAAAGTCAGTGTCCTTGAAGCACTGTTTCTGGGTTATAATACTGCACCTGACTCTGACCCTATTGTGAAAGCTTGACCAAATCTCCATTAATTTCTCTGAACCACAGATTATTTATTCATTGAGCAGGAGGACTAGTTACAGAATAATCAGTTTTTCTAGTAAGAACTGCAATCAAGATTTCCTGACCTGACACCCATGCTTCTAGAATCTTCCCACACCATTTATTAAATAACACAGTGTGTGACCCAGGGCTATTTTCACAACTCTGGGCTTGACAACGGATCTCTTAGAGATTTTTGCTCAGTACCGAAGTTCTAATCACTCTCTTATCTCAGCCACCCTCAGGAATCAAGAAGCAAACCTCCTAGAGAATAGTTCAGTATTGGGAGACTTATGAGCTACTGACTTCTGTTGACTGAATGACAAACAGAGGTCATAGACTCTGCTGCCTGAGTCTGAATCCTGACTCAACCACTTACTGTCTGCCTTGAATAAGTTAATTAACCTCTTTTTGCCTCAGCTCCCACACCTGTAAAATGAGGCTAATAATGAGAATTATCCCACAGTGTTACTGTGAGGATTAAATGAGACAGTACATATAAAAAAGTGTCTGGCATGTGGTAAGCACTCAATTATTATAAGCTATGTTTATGAAAACATTTAAATATAAAATACCACATTAAATACCCATTTTGGTACACAAATTATCTCAACATTTCTTAAAAGCAGATTTTTCCATGCATTCTACTAAAAAAACAGTTTTTGGTACTTAATTGTGGTAGACATCTCCCATAGTATGAGGAATTCCAGAATCATTGATCTGGGTGTTCTTACCTGAACTCACCGGCACAAGAAGAAAACATCTAGAATATGGCTGACTCCTGACTCAGCCTTTTTCTTTTAACAACAGTAGGACTTTTAATCATTGCATTCAGAGTAATACCTGTCAATCACCTTTTTTTCTCTAATTAAATTTACCTGGAGTTCATTTTAAAGACAATAATTTGTTCAGCCAAAAGTGGTTGCATATTTATGCCACAATTAGTTAAGGACTCCACAAATGAACCCCTCTCTCTGAGCCTCTGTGAAGAAAGGAGAACGCAGTTGAGAGCCCAGAAGATTTCAGAGCAATTAAGCCTAGAAATGCAGGTGTTTGAAACACCTGTTTCCCCTCCCTCCCACGCCTGCTGCCCTGGCCACCCTTGTCAGTAGGTTAAAATAATTAACTGACGCTATCGGAAGAAAAGCCCAAGCACTGCTAAGGGCAACAAGTCTCCTTTTCTCCCCTTTCTCAGATTAAATGAGAAAAATAAAAAGGTTCATGGGTGGTCTAAAAACAGGAGAGGGGAAAAAACCTTTCCTCTTCTTTAAAAAAAAAAAGACAAAACCAAGTGACAAGGAAGACATTGTTTCCCTCAAGCAAACTCAGTGGCTTGCTTAAGTTCAGAATTCTATGTTTGTTTTGTGAAAGTGATTGCAGCGCTGTTCATGAGCATGAAAAAAGCTATTTAAGGGATATTTATGTGAGGAAATAAAGCAACTGGGGAGACTGTAATTTTGCCTGACCTGCCTTTTGTGAATACCTGCAAATTTATACTAAATCTCAACAACAGAGTCCCTCCCAAGGGTAAATTGTGGAAATTTTATTGGGACTTTTAAAAATGAAATAGGCCATAGCTAGGAAATCAAGAAATTGTTTTTAAAAATAAAGGAAGTTCAATGTGGCAATTTGATTCAATTTTGGCCATGATGTTTTGTGTATCTCAGTTTTGTTTTCCTGAGTTTCATTAAAGCAACTGTTGAATACTATTTGGCATAACTCGGAAAGATCGTGAAGATAGTTTTGTTTTTATGATTACTGGCACTTTCCCTCTCTATTCAAACGCTTTTATTTTTTTGAGACAGGGTCTCACTCTGTCACCCAGGTTGGAGTACAGTGGCTCAATCTCGGCTCACTGCGACCTCCGCCTCCTGGGCTCAAACGATCCTCCCACCTCAGCCCCCCAAGTAGCTGGGATTACGGACACGCGCCACCACATCCGGCTTTTTTTTTTTTATTTTATTTGTAGAGACGGGGTTTCATCATGTTGCCCAGGCTGCTCTCGGACTCCTGAGGTCAAGCCATTCACCTGCCATGGCTTCCCAAAGTGCTGGGATTACAGGCGTGAGCCACTGTGCCTGGCCTCAAACACAAATTTAAGAAGCTTTATGCATTTTAATTGGAACATGTGATTTTGGAAGACAAGGATGATACAGGCCAGAGGACCTGCCAGAGTTAGGAAACTAGTTCAGTATTTAAGTAAATATGCATGCACCTACACTTTTCCATTTTTTCAAAGATAATCTAAGGTGACTGGTCCAGCTAGACTCTGGATTTGAGTAAAAGCTTTGTGACAATGCCCACATGAAATATACATTGCAGGAAGAGAATGGATTACCACATACTGTTAATTTCGTCCATAATTCTGACCAATGTATATTTTTTATAATGCCTGATGGTTTTATAAGTATTTTCTCATTTGAGGTAAGGCAGGTCTCATAACACCTGTCCTGGAAACGAGGTGGCTAAGGTGTTGGATCGAGGCAGTCACGGAGAGGGAAGGAGAGCATCTCCGGTTATGGAGGGAACCTTTGAGGACTTAAGCAACTGGCCGCCTATACAGGAAGTGGTAAAACTGGGCTCCTGCAAGACCACCTCCATCCCTCGCCCCAGGTTTCTTGACATCAGATCCAGTGCTATTGACACCACCACCCAGGCCAGGTGAATTCTTCTCCAGTATAGCACTGCCTTTTCACAAACCAGTGTTGAGGCTCACTGTTCAAAGTGGCCAGCTCCTGAGAGCAGCATTAATTTTAAATGGCCAGCAGGTGGCAGAGTAAATCCTAGTCCCAAATCTATTTCAGTAGTTTTAAATCATTTGAAACTAACAGCTGAAAACTTCATTATCAGTTCAAATAAGCTTAGCATTTAAGGTTTCATTAAAATATCGGCAATTATAATATGTAATATAGAGACCTAAGACCACTGTCAAACTAAAAGCTGATTCTAACACATGGCTTGCTTTTTTTCCCCCCTGAGCAATCTAACACAGTTGTAAAGTAGTTTTTTGTTTTTAGTTCTGTTTTCCTCTTACTGTGCTACTTAGTGAGAGAGAAATGCTGGCTTGCTACTCATTTTAGTTCCTTTTCTCATTAAGGAAATATTTTTAATAGCTGCATGTGGCATGAATCCACGAACAGTACAGC
Organism: Homo sapiens; assembly: GCF_000001405.40. Taxonomy (NCBI): domain Eukaryota; kingdom Metazoa; phylum Chordata; class Mammalia; order Primates; family Hominidae; genus Homo; species Homo sapiens. The sequence continues at coordinate 60,350,481 of NC_000014.9, forward strand.
TCTGTCTAGGTCCAGGAATGTCTTTATTAAGGGTTCGTTACTAAGCACCAGTTTTCCAACTCCTCCTAGCCTGGTGCTCTGGGGAGATAACCCAGAGGAACTGCTCAAATTACATTGCACTCCTTGGCTGTATCCTGGGCGGCTCTAAAGGGAGGCGAATTAGAGAAGACTCTCTTCATCAAAACCTTCCTCTCCTTCATAGCATCTTACTTCATGGTGTCGTAATTTAAAGGATCTGTAAACCTTGAGGCTCCCAAATGCTTTGTTTAATGCCTTCTTCAGCTGCTTTCATGCATTCTTAGCAAGGACCAATAATGATTAAAAGGGGTTTCCATCCAAACATTTGCAGAGATTTTTACTTAAAATACAATCTTCATATAGTGTATCCATACGTATACATTCATTTCCATACATACATGCATTTGCCTTTACATGTATATATATTTACATACATTTGTACAAGGATCAAATCTCATTACAATGAATTTCATTGGATTATCTAATTTCCCATATTATCGTGGAATTTTGCTGCTTCAAATATGTTTTAAGTAAATTAAAGGAATTAGGTTCTAAGTTGTAGAAACTATACCACCTACTATCACATAACTTAAGAACTTGAAAATGTTTAATCTGAATTTAATTTTTTGATATGAGATTTGCCATATGTTCATAGGCATCCATAAATCAATTGATCTTAAAAAAGCACATTGAGATTATACATATAAATATCTAATTATATATGCTTTGTCTTTTTTTCAGAAAAAAAGGTTTCAAAAGGACTTAGAGAATTACAGGTTACAAATATTTTTACACAATTAGCTGCTAAGATTTAATTAAAAATGTATTAACTGATGCTTCTAGAATGACATAATATCTTTTCAAGCTGATATATATTTCAACTGACCAAATAAAGGTAAATGTTAATAGTGCAAGTTAGCTGTCTACTTGCTCTCTAATTCACTGCAGTCAGCAGTTGAAGAATGGAGCTTATTTAGAATATCTCAAATCATGTAATAACACTATTCCTTTTTAAATGAATTCAAAGGAACTAAACGGTATAAGAATCCACCAGTAATAGAACAAGTGTGTTGACGGTAATTGTAGAAGTCATTTTGCCTTTCCTTGAAATTGCAAATTCCATTTCATAACCAGGTTAAACTCCCTTCTGTGCCAATTTCCCCATCAACAAGTACACACACATATTTTTCATAGACCCTGAACCATCCCCTCCAGGATTATTTATTTCCTTATTTTTTTAAGAACAATGTCATACCCACATAAAATTTGCTTTAAAAATGTGCACTTTTGTTTGCTTTTTCCAACATTACATGTTTATTTTACAGATTGGGTTGAGAGCTGGAAGACTTTTTTTTCCTGTTTCATCCTAAAAGCGTAAGGATCAATGCCAATTGTATACTTAGATATCAAGGCAACTTTTCCAGCTGTGCCCTAACTGTTCTCTATTGTGCTCCTTACCATGTCCTTGGTGTCATTTTTCTGATTTGAGTGAAACCTATGCAAGACATTAATTGTGTCTTATTACCGGTTCTTGCTCTTCTTTTCAATCCTGATAGGTATGAATGCCCCAAGAGAAACACAACCAATAAAACAAAACAGCAGTATATTCCTCTATACATTGTTTGTGAAGCAATGAATATGTGAAAAATTCATATTTGCCAGTGTACTTCAGGGCATTTTGGGAGGCCCTTTAAAAAAATCCATTGGTCTGTTTCTACCACAGTACCACTTCAAATCTGACTATTGGGCTGATTTAGCCAGAAGGGCAATAATTATGAATCATTTCCTTTAAATATTATAGCATTTTGTGCATCAGTGCTCAATACTAACAAAATTAAAAGTGCTGGTATAGCAAAACTAGGGAAAATTTAAAATGGAAAAGTATATATGTTACTATAGTTTCAGAATAATTATTAATAAAGCAACATTTTGGCTTGTGTTATCTACAGCCTGGATTAAAAGCAGTGAAGAAATGAGTGAGCTAGTGGAACCTACATCCAAGTTGCATTTAAAGTATTTTCTAAATATGTGGCATAGGCCTGATGTGGTGGTGGCTCATGCCTGCAATCCCAGCACTTTGGGAGGATGAAGCAGGAGAATCTCTTGAGGCCAGGAGTTGAGACTAGCTTGGGCAACATATTGAGGCCCCACCCCCCAGAAAAGAATATGACTATATGGTATACAAAATACTAATTTTGATTTTAAATTTGATAAGTTCTGCTTTAATATAGAAGTCATAAGAGTGAAATTACAAAATGGTGTAAAAATCACTTATTCAGATAATCCTTATAATCTCCAGAGGCAAAGCATGACTACGAGGACCAAACTCTTCAACCATACAGCATTACCTTAAAAATTACTTACTCTTTTGTTCAGCCAGAAGTACTAGAGATTATAAGAAATGTGAAGTCCATCAGCTATTAACTTCAGGCCTGACTAAATAACAGCTAATATAATTGGAACACTTTTATCAGAGAGCAATTTCTGGAATAAAATATACATCATATAGTAGGAACACAGTTTTAAGAATTACAGAGAACACTAACTTAAAGTGATAAAATTTTTTCATTTCAACATAGTCTTTTAAAATTTACATATTTTTATTTATGTCCGCTTGATTAATAACCCCATTCTTGGGGATGCAGTGGGAAAGAACAATACTTGTCATTTTTGTGCACCAACATTAATTTATTATAACACTAAAATTTTTGTAGGTTTAAGTGTGTTCCCTGCAGTTTTATTAACTGTGAAGATACAGAGAATATATTTTGAGTGGAAATAAAAATATATCCTTAACAATAACATTATCAAGGGTAAACATCTTTTGACAATTACAAGTTGATTTTGGTAACACATTTCATTGTATAAGAAAAGGTGGATATTTTTTAGGACCAATGGCCTGAAATTCTACTTTCTTGTATTGAAAAAGGTTAATTAGGAATTGAGCTCAAAGTTAATTTTTTGAAGGTCAGCTGCTATGCTATTGGGTCCTGTGACCCTGTCTCAAGTAATCACAGCATTAACATACAAGTTATAGCTTTCCTTTCACTTGATGACATAATCTCTTTAATTGGTGTCGGGAAGCCTGCATGTGAAAGAACCGTGGAAAACACCTAGAGACTATAATTTTACTCTCTCCATTCACAGGGCAAAAGAAACAAGCCTTAAGAATGTAGTAGAAACTCATTACAACCCATAGGCTGTCAACACAAAGCCCTCACATTTCAACCAAGGGTTTTAGGAATGATCAAGTCCGTTTAGTTCTAAGTTCGGCTGGTGAACTATTAACCTTTTCAGAAAAACTGGTGAATGCTACATGTCACATAATCTTCTTTGAGAAAGCTAAGAGGGTGGATAATGTTGTTTAACTGATTAGACATAAATGTGAGAAGATAATATTTGCAAAATTATTAAGTGTGCTCTCTGAAAGAAACTACTGGAGTGAGACTCCCTACCTCTTACGTTTCCACAGCCCTTTACATAATTCTCTTTCATAAATTCCACGTGGCTCATCATGCACACTTGAAATGGCCCATTTTTATTTGGAAGTTTAAACTTACCTTTTCCAGGGAGCTGATCTTCCCCTAGGTCAGCATGGTTGTGACCCTGTTTTCCCAGTGGATTCTGCCTAATAAAGAAGAAAGCTACTGTGGAGTAGCCCGTGAAATACCCACTATGACACTTTTGCAAAGATATGCTTTGGGAAAAGGGAGCAAGGGGAATGCTGAAGTTTGTTGAGCCCATCAGCATCAGTTTAGCAACCACTTACTATAGCAAAGGATAAAAATGGACCCTCTTCCTGTTCAAGAAACTAGTTCTGATTTTAATAAGTAAGTAAATATTCAAAACCACTTAATTCTACTAAAACAACAAAATCATGTACCACTGGGCCCTAGAAGGGAACAGGAGCAAAACCTAAAACATGAATTCTATTTTGATAAAAAAATTTTTTGATCCCAGGGGTGTCTCTGCTGAAATATAATGGTGGAAGGTCCTACTGAAAAATTCTAGGCCAATTATACCACAGAATATATTTTCAAACGTTCCTCAGGCAAAGGAAACAGGGTGAGCTCCTTTGCTTATGGAAGGGCTCTTAGTAGGCTATTAAAGCAGCTCCTGTCCTTATAGCACACAATATTTCAATTTTGTTACCTTTCCACGATCTTTTTACCTCTTGAGTTCTGACATGCCTTTTAAAACATTAGACCATCCAAGCAAGAGGTCCTGTGCCTGGAATGCCTTGTGCTGAGCCTTATATTGGGTGCCATCAGCAATGTGGCAAATATAGGGATATGTCATCTAGCAGAGATATAAAATCATCACTTAGAACTGGCTTATCTTTGGTTCTGATATACCAGGCTCTCCCTCTTGTGCCTTGTCTAGACAAAACTGCCCAGCAGGTGTGGGAAGAGATGGAGGTAAAAAGGGCAGGTAGGTGCTTATGATTGCAAACAGTACATATGCCTGCCTTCCTATGACACCTACTAGATAATTGCTATATTAGGTATTGACATGTCTTTAATCATGTCTCTGTGTAAGTAATAAATGAGTCTTTTGGGATCTGTTTTGTGTCCCATACACTCTTACATTTTTCCAGATGCACAATGCATATAACCAATCAAATAACAGTGTTGGTTGTTTTAATCACAGGGGCGTAGCAACTTTCATTTTTAAGACTTTTCAAGCCAGAAATTAACTCATTTTGCCCTGTTATTCAGATTTAGTCACTGGCACAATTTCATTAATAAGCATAATAATAATGGACAAATGCCTTAACTGCTTTTCTGCTTTGTTTCATCCTCTGTGCCAATCTGGTAAAACCTCAGTGATATCAAGGATTGACTCTACCCTGGAAATTGAAGTATTTTTCTCCTCCAACTCCTCAGTAAAACCAACAATGCCGTTTTCCCATCAGGTTTGTTAGCAAAATCTGAACTCTACATCTAACTAAAATTGTAATTGACAGTAGGGGATTTGTATTCCTTCATTACCTGGGAGCTTTCCCCAGCAAGAGGAAATAAAAATCACAAACACCTGTTAATGCCACTGCAATTCTAATCATCCCTGAGTAGTATCTATCATATCTTCCCCATGCTCTTCAAGGAAAGTCCTTATCCTAGCACGTGAGGCTATGTACAGTCTGGTGCTCAAATACCTCTCCGACCTCCAACCCCCCACCATATTGCCCTACTCTCAGTCACTAAAGTACCATGATCTTTCTCTTTTTAGAATCTTGTATGATGTTCTCTCTGCCAAGAATTTCCCTTTCATCTAGGCAGTTATTAACTACACATCCTTTAGGGATTAGCTTTGGTGTCATCTCCTCCAGAAAGTTTTACCTGCAAGCTTAATAACCCTTCCCCTACATTCTGGGCCATATATCATGCTAAGTGTTCCCTTAGGACCCTGTGCCAAACTCTATCCCAGTACCCTTTATATGTGCTACAACTGTATGATAATCCTCTGTTCTCTTGAAGGCCAGGGCTGTATATTTTTTTTATCTCTGGATCTCCAACTTCTAGAACAGTGTCTGGCACATATGGGTGTCCTGTGAATATTTGTTGAATGCATGTTTCAGTGAGAGTATGTTGTTAATATGTGGGAAACCATTTATTTTTTGTGAAAATCATTTTGTATTATAAAATCCTTGAAGTGTAGAAACTCACACATATAGTAATGCTTACTAATCTATTTAAAAATATTTTAAGTATTATTTAAAAATTAATAAATCCAATGATCTGGTTTTAAAACAAGTGTGACCATGTTGGATGCTTCTTAACAAAGACGCCAGCATAATCTTTTTATAGGGAATCAACTTAAGCCCCATGCAGGTCACTTTAATTGTGTCCTCTAGATTAAGAAGATGAGCTATTCTGCCCTCTCTTGTCGTTACCCCTTCCTCTCTGCCAGGTTAAAATTTTAATGGGTATTTAAATGCATATCTTTGAAATGGTGACTGAATTTTGACCAGCAATTTATGGCCTCGTCACAGAGGGCATAATCAAGAAATCAAAATCCTGTCTGTCATTTTTGTCCAGCTGTTGTGCAAATCAATGAGCATGCATCGCCTGTGTGCCTTCAGCAAAGCAGGCATTTGTGACTGCAACTCTGAATAGAAGTTTTCCTGTTTACCTTTTTATCACTTATTTAAGTTCTAGGGAGACAGACCTGGCCATTTTGTTACAGAATGGGTGTTTTCAATGCAAAGGAAAAAAAAATCACAGTTTTGAGTTTTTACAATGTTTGCCCCTTTTCCCAGCAGGGATGTGTTTTGAGTGCCAGGAGACAAAAAGTGTGGCCTCAACAAGCAGAATTTTAAAAAGAACATCATTTTCATTATGTAGTCAATCTCAATTACAAGCAAATGTTTTCTCTGTGGAGACTCTTCTCCTTTCAGGGCATTATGTGAGCCTCTTTTGTGGATTGAGAGAAAGGATCAGTGGTCAATAGGGAGCAGAGTGCTGTGTACAGTGGATTTTTGTATCCCTCGGTCTCCTACATAATGCGTTTTGTCAGGAGAACAGCCCGCCATCCTGAGCAGATTTGCTGAATTAAAGAGCACAGCAGGGATAGGAAACTTGTTGCTAGGTGACTGACCGCCGCTGCTTGGCGGGTCTGGGCCGAAGGTGACTCTCTGCTTTTCTTCCACTACTTAATCTTGCCTTTTAATCTGCATCTATAATTAACTCTGCTAATGCCACACATCCATTTGTTTCTTCTTTACTGCACTTCAGGCAGCCAATTTATCATTATTTAGTCTTTTCACTCAAACAACAAACTATTTTTTCTCCATTAGCGTCATATGAGGCGAAACGTTCTGCAGTGCAAAGAAAGATGTAGACACAGTAGATATTGCCTCACTTCCTGTGAGAATTTTCAAGGTACTTTTTGCTGATCTGAATGGAAAATACATCCTTGAGGAAACACTTCTGTTGGCCATTATCTCTACAGCTTGACTGGGCCTAATTAATTGAAATGTTCTTGGTGACTTTAAATTCCTCTCAGTGGTGACACATTATAAAAATTAAAAATTACTTTATTTTTTGGAGGTTATATAATTGTTCAGCACATGGTGTTGCCTCCAATATCTTTGCAGGATGTATTCTCTGTGGTTATTATCAGCCATGGGGCCTGGACATGGAGGCAAAACCTAGGGATGCAAAAAAAAAAAAAAAAAAAGGAGGGACTTTGCAGAATTCATTCTAGCAGCAGCATCCGGAATTCAGCTTGGCTGATGTCAGCGGTTCAAATGTGGTGCTGGACCCAGAGGGAGAACTAAGGTGGCTTTAAAGGACCAGGTCTGTGGCATGATTTTCAACACTGCTCCTGCCTAGATGGCTCCACTGCTGGCTCGCTGACCTTCCTAGACATTCTATGTGCTCAGACATAATCTAAGAACTAAGAAATGTAGGTCAATAGGCCTTGGCCTCCATTTCTGTATTCATACAGGCAGTCTGGTGTAAAGATGTGACCTGGAGACAGGCTGACTGCCTGAGTTCAAATCCCAGGTGTACTACTTACATGTTGTTTGACCTGAGGTAACTTATTAAACCTCTCTATGCCTCAGTTACCTTGACTCTAAAATAGTACTAATAATAGTGGCTGTCTCATTAGGGTTTTATGTCTCATAGGATTAAATGAGTTAACATATGCAAAGCAATTAGTGCTTATCAGCTATTATTATTATATTGACAATATAATGGAACAGTCATCTGATTCATTTTTTTCCATGTCTTAAGACAAAACTGCATGTTCACGGTGAATAAAAATAATACCTTTCACTAAGGGTTTTTACAGCAGTTTAATCACATGATCTCATTAATCCTCCAACTCCTCTAGTTTTGCAAATTCTTAATCTATGTACAGAGACTGGTTACCATACCAAAGACAGCTTAAATGCACATTTTTCTTAAGAATGTATATTTTATGTGTACTGTAATTGTAAACTACAGTTTGGATTTTTAAAAATGTTCAATCTGACCCACTTAAATTAAGGAAAGGCAGGTTATGCAGGCTTTTATCCCAGACATATTTGGAGAGCATTAGGCTGTAATTAGACTAACTGGGGCTAGTTGGAGGTTGTGATGGCTCTACTTCAGTGGTGCATAAAAGCATCTTGTGCACAGAGAATTAGGAAGCCAGAATAAGGACCATTAGGATGTCATTTACTACATTTTCATTTGATCAATTTGTACTCTTTAATGTGAAGGCCTATTTTGCATCTTTTATGAGGGTGTTAATTCTTTGCCTTTGACTAATACATGTCTATGAAATGTGGCTGCCTGCAAATCTATACTTGCATGATGATGGAGGTGAGATTACATTGTTGGAGAAAGTGGGCCTAGTCCATTGCTCCCTATCACACCAAACACAACAGGGCAGCTAGAAGACTTTTATTTCTGGTATTCTGAGAGTGTGCTAAAATCCCCAGTTTCTTATGAAGAGCACCTGAACCTATGTAATAAATTGAGCTAGACTTGATTTCAGGATATTGCTTCCTTATCTTTCCTATTGACCAGCAATAATAAACTAACATAAAATAACACTCAAAGCAGATGGCTCAACTGAGAACTAGTGTATGATCTCACTTTTCTTAAAAGTCTTCATAGATTATAAAGAATTCCCATTTTATAAGTGAAGAAAGTAAGCCCCATTGTTGTCTTAGCTGCCCAAGATGATTCAGTGATTCTATAGCAGGAATGCAATGGAGCACAGATACATTTTTCTTTAGGCCACGTTCACATGGCCTCTATGCTAGGTCTTCTTGCTGATTAAAGCATACCACAGTCAATAATAAGGGGTTTCTCTTCTTGTTTTTGAGAAAGGCTAAGTGATTATCTTAACTGAATTTATAGAATTATTTCACACTTTATTCGGAGAGTTTTACAAGATTTTGTCTCCAAATATAAATAATCAGACACTCTTTAAAATTGCAGTCAGTTTGTGAGGCTCCATAGCATGAGTTTGCCAGATAAAGCACCTCATGAGGGGGAAGCTCCATGAGGGCAGGGGTCATGGGAGGAATCCTGTCTTCTGGGCTCACTACTATAATCCCAGCATTCAGTACAGTGCTTGGTACATAGTAGGGGTTCATATCATATCTACTGAACAATAAATTAGTGAATAAATAAGTTATTATATAAAGGAAAAGCTGGTATCCCTATGATTCATTTTTTTCCAGTAGTTTTCTTACAGTGATTAAAATCTAACTCTCTAAAACAAATTTGAAGAATTACTATAAACTTGACTTTTAATTTTCTCATTTTCTCTCCTTTTTAATAAATTCTCAACTTTTCAGTGGACAGTGTAGAGATTTGACTAGTCATTGGTTTAAAATTATGGAGTAAAGTGAGTTCAGTAATGATAACTTATCAGTTTAATTTCTCTGTATCCATTATGCGATGAAACAAAAATAAAACAGGTAATTTTAGAGCCTTTCTACTTATTGCCTTTCCCTAAGGAAATATAACTAAAATTATAACATGTTTTGAAATCAAAAATTTTAGTCTTACTCTCTAATATTTAGGTGATTATGACCACTAGAAATGAATAAAAAGCTCAAAATTTATATTTAAGCTTGAAAGTCTAGAAATTATATACCTTTTCCTTGGTAGCCTAATGAACTATTTAAAGAAATGTAACAAATAGTTATAATTATGTACCAGGAGCCATTACTAAATTAGTTTTGTCATTCTAATATAGTTAGGGAAAATTAGCATCAAATAAAGCTCATTAATAAACTTTGATATTTGGTGGCTGATTATCTTTGATTTTGCAGCAAAAAGGGAGTCTGTTTTTCATTTATTGCTAAACATATGCCCTTTAGTTAATAAGTTTTGCTAATTGACATAGGTATGCATAATGAGAGCTATGCACTAATAGGAATATGAATATCCCCTTTTCATTTGTTAAAAACCTGACAACACTACTTATTAATCATTTTTGTGCAATAATTATTTGCAGTTGTTTTCAGAAATTTATGAATATTTGTTAGGATAAAGGTTTTTAGTTTGCATTTTTCTCCATATTTTATGTGTGTCTTGTTAACCTTATTACTTTAATATAATTCTATATCTAATAAGCAAAGGTTATTTAGATACAGAAAAATGCAATCAACAGGGAAGATGTTTTATAATGGTCTTCCTTTTAAAATAGAATATATCTGATACTTAGATTTATCTCATCATATAAACTTTAGTCACTAAGATCTTGGTGAAAATTCATATAATAATAAACACATTTGAAAATTATGTTTATCATTGAGCAAACTGTACTAAGCAAGTGGTGCAACTTAAAAGAATATATGCAGCATTAAGGGACCTCACACAGCTTTATAACAAATAGAATATGCCTATTTGTTTTACTGCCTTCAGTACATAATGCTGGCATCTAATCAAATCAAAAGTTTAATAGCCCTTGCCAAATATGTTTCTTTTAGAAAGTTATTTTAAAAAGAAATAATTATGCTTATTTTTCTTATGTTTGTGTGATTTTATAGCTATTATATAGCTAAGAGACATTAACTTTTCAAAAAGTATTACACTTCGAACTCTCAGAAAACCTTGCATGCTGATCATTAGATCCAAATAAAATTATACATTTTACCTTTAATTTTTTTGTTTACTCCTCAGAGTGCTGTGTTAAGTGTTTTGGATAAAGTGTAGTAATAATGAGGCATCTATTGCGATATAAGACAGATTGTGATCCTAGGTAGACACTGTACAGTTCTTTCATTCTTTCCTTCCTTTCCTCAGAAATATTTATTGAGAATCTTCTATGTGCCAGGCATGTTAAAGGCTGAGATATGAGGTCTCTTTCTATATAGAAAGCAGCTTCTCCAGTCATATTTTTTTCCTGGGCCTCTGATACGGTTTGGCTGTGTCCCCACCCAAATCTCATCTTGAATTGTAGCTCCCCGAATTCCCACATGTTGTGGGAGGGACCTGGTGGGAGATAACTGAATCATGGGGGCAGTTTCCCACATACTCTTCTTGTGGTAGTGAATAAATCTCACCAGATCTGATGATTTTATAAGGGGTTTCCACTTTTGCTTTGCTCTCATTCTCTCTTGCCTGCTGCCATGTAAGATGTGTCTTGCTTCCCCTTTGCTTTCTGCCATGATTGTGAGGCCTCCCCAGCCATGTGGAACTGTGAGTCAATTAAACCTCTTTCCTTTATAAATTACCCAGTCTCAGGTATGTCTTTATCAGCAGTGTGAAAACAGACTAATCAGCCTCTTTAGAAAATAAATGTATTGTTTTAATAATATTTCTTCCCCAAACATTGAAAACAACTTAAAAAGTGATAATTCCCTTTTGAACATACTATATTGAATAATAAAATTCCTTATTAGAGTGCCAAATTTTTTAGACTTTTTTTAGGTAAGAAAACGAATATTTATTTAGGTTGAGAAAATAAATAACAAGAAATTACAAACTTTAGAAAGTTCACATATACCATAAACATCACAATTGTGCTTAATTTTCTGACATGCCTCTATAATATATTGCCCCCTGTATTTTTTGAGGAAAATTCTGGAAACCCCCATCAAGTTTCTTTCATATATTAGCTGTAAAAGATGCACTTGGTGTTTGTTGATTTCCTATAGGTTTGTGACTACAAACAAGGGAATCTGATAAATTCTATTTCACATAATTACTATAGAAATCATTTCTTTCTACATGGGCCTCTCCATGGAGCATCTCACAACATGGCAGCGGGCTTCATCAGAGTGCACAAGCAAGAGGGAACATGCTAGCAAAACAAAGCCACAATCTCTTCTGTAATCTACTTACAGAAGTGATATTCTATCACTATTCAGTTGGAAGGAGTTCCTAGGCCCCACCCACACTCACAGGGAGGGGATTACACAGGGAAGATTACACAGGAGGCAGCATCCTTGGGAACTGTGTGGGAGCTGTCTGTCACAGCACCATAGGACACCTTCATAGGGTGGTCTGGACTCTGGCCTCATACCTTCCTGTCATGTGCTGGCTGAGCAGGCACAATGGGCCAAAGGAATACACTGAAAGCCATTCTGACATCATTCTGGGGTTCCTTAGATAGACACTGAAGCAACTGCAAGCCACCTAAACATACCCTGTTAAACTCAAAATGTGCCCTCAACTCACCAGTCCCTCATTTGGATCTCAAAAGTGCCATTGGCCATTCGAATATCATCTCACACAACTGGCTTTAACTGATTACAGTTAAAATATCTTATTCTTGCAAATTTTACAAAAGCATAACTCAGTGAATACATCAGAAGAGAGTCAAAGAACACTTCAGTAGTTTTACTGTCAATCTGCCTCTGAGTGAAAGCCATTATTACTGACTAGGTTGATCCCGAAAAATGCCACAAAACAGGTAAAATTTGGAAACTGCCTTGAAGAACAGTTTTCATCACTGCATTTAAGCCCCTTAAAAAATTGTGACTTTAATATAAGCAAGCCAATTAATCTTTTTCAAAAAGCTAAAGAAGAGTTTGGAGAAATATTTCTTAGATGCTTCTGCTCTTATAATGATTTAACATATTATATATGGTTTCATGTCATAGTAATTATATCAGATTCCTTACTGGTCAGTAAAACCATCAAAAAAAGGTACCCAGTAGTAATCAAGGACTGCTATTATCTTTAGGAAAAAGGTCTTAATCGTGAGGCACAGCAAGAAAGTGTTTTTATTCCAGCTCAATGCTTGCCTTGAATGAACAGTTTGAGCAACTCAGTTACCCTCTTTCAGCTTCCACACCTGAAAAACTCAAGCTTTAAACTAGCTGAGCTCTGAGTCCTTTCTAATTTGTCCTTTTCTATCATAGTACAGTGGTTTTTAAACATGTCTGCAATTTCTTTGACAATCTTCCATCAAAGGTGAAATCTAATTCCTCTCTCTTTTAATATGTTAGTATAATGACTCATTTCTAAGGCATAGGATGCAGCAAAAGAGACACTGTGAAACTTCTGAGGTTAGGTTATAAAAAGTAAACAGCATCTCTGTCTCTCCTTGAGGTGACAGGTTACTAGTCTGGTTGCCCTGAAGCCGCCATGCTAGAGACCATACAGAGAGATACCTGAAGAGCGTTAGTGGTTCTAGCCCCAGCACCAGACCTGGTGAACTAATGATCCTAGCCTGAAACTTCAAGATGCTGCAAATGGAGAAGAGACAGGCTGTCCCTGAGAGAGACCTGCCCAACTTGCAGATTCATGAACAAAACAAATTCTGTTGTTATTTTGATTAGCAACTATATGTGGGGTGGTTCGTTATGCAGCAACAGACAACCAAAACTCATGATAAAGCCTCTGAAAGCCTGGAGTAAATATTCTAGCAGCTGAAGCAAATTATATTTGAAATAGGACTAAATACATCTCAGTGGGGTGGAATATGCAATTGAAATTTCAAAAAGCTATTTTGCATGTTGCATCATTTAACCATTACTTCAGGGATCCAGATCCTAGAGTAGTGAAGACCTAGGCCCCGTCTTGGGTGGAAGCTCAGGAGACAGCAAGCCTGGGGAAGAAGTTATCTGCATTATCCAGTGTGCTAGAGCAGAAGTGTGGGGTGGGAGCCAACTACGAGCATTGATCCCACACATCTCAGGAGGCAAGAAAGAGCATCCCAAAGTTCTCATGGGCCTGGAGTGGGGCACTTACCATTTCTGCTTCTGAAAAGTGCTTCCTTGGCTTCTGAGAATCAACATTCTCCTGTTTCCTCCAACCCCCCTACCTGTTCATTCTTTATTCCCTTTGCAGGCTCATTCTTCTCCTCCTGGCCTTTAAATGTCAGAGTTGCTCAAGACTCAGTCCTAGGCCCTCTCCTCCTCTTCTCCTTTGAGCTCTAGACCTGTATATGTGACTACTCAACCTAATCAAAATGGAATTCATGATTCTTCCCCACCCCCATCTTTACCTCCTTCAGTGCTCCCCAGTGCCTGCTACTCTCTCTACCCAACTATGCATGTTCAAGTCCTGAGTCAGCCACAGTATCTCCCTCCTGCTTACCTAAAACTATATGGGTCCATAAGCCTGTTGTGTTGGTTTTTGCTCCTAAATAGTTCTTAAACCTGTTCATCCCAGCACCATCACCACCATTCTCAACCTAGTTATGGTCATCCTTCACTTGAATGACTGTAATAGCCTCTTTCATTTTTTTTTTAATTTTGGAATGAATTTTAGTGTTTCATGTGGTCAAAAATGAGATACGTGACTTCCAAGATTTGGGAATTGGGAAATAAGATTAGAGAGTTAAAATATGAAGCAATTATAATTGTTTTTTTTTAAAAAAAAAACACAGAACACCTCACTTTATAGGTAGTGTAAGAAGATAAGACTCTGCCTAGTTCAAATCCTAGCTCTGCCATTTAGTAGCTGCATAATCTTTCTTTCTTTATTTATTGAGACAGAGTCTTGCTCTGTCACCCAGGCTGGGGCGCAATGGCACCATCTTGGCTCACTGCTACCTCCGCCTCCCGGGTTCAAGTGATTCTCATGCCTCAGCCTCCTGAGTAGCTGGGATTACAGGCATGCACCACCACACCCGGCTAATTTTGTTGCTGTTGTTGTATTTTTAGTAGAGATGAGTTTTCGCCATGTTGGCCAGGCTGGTCTTGAACACTTGGCCTCATGTGATCCGTCCACCTCGGCCTCCCAAAGTGCTGGAATTACAGGCATGAGCCACCGTGTCTGGCTGTAGCTGTGTAATCTTAAACAAGTAATTTTTTTTGTCTGTTTCTCTTCTATGGCAATAATGATAGTGCCTGCCTGGTAGGATTTTGAAAATTAAATAATTAATACACAGATGTTAGAATAGCCCCTGAGTGTGGTTAAGTATTTAAAAAGTGTTATTATTGTTAAAGTTTTAGTTCCAGCCAGACAGGTGAACAAAAGTGTGAAAATGCTTAAAAAGAAGTGAGGAAGTTATGTTAGCAGTGGAAAAAAATTTAAATGGAGTCATTTGTTCATTTGCTTAAAAATTTTTTGAGCACGAATTAGTACCAGGTACTGTCATAAATGCTGAGGATAAAAAGAGAACAAAATAAGCATTCCTGCCACTGTGGAATTTATCTTCTATCAGGAAGAGGTGTACCATAAAAGAAGGTAGCTATAAATGGGCCAGGACCGAGAGAGACCAGCCGCCTGTGAGCTGAGTTGGCTTGAACTCTGACCAGCAGGATGCTTGTATTGAATAGTAGCAAATAAAGCATATAAAATCCTCTCTTTGGAAAAATATAAATGCCAAAATAAAGCTGTGATAGTTATATTAAATTGAAAAAACTAACTTTTAAAAGGTCGCTAAATGATAATAAAATGTTGTCTGCCTAGAAAATACAATGTAACTTCAAAATATGTAAAGCAAAAATTTCTAGAACTGTACAAACAGTATCATAATTCAAACATCAAAGAAACTTCAGAGACTCTGTATATGAAAATTATATTATTTGACCATAAGGTAATTAAGTTTGAAATTTATGACAAAAAGATAAATTTTAAACCACATACATTACAATTTTTAAGCATACTTTTAAATAATAAATAGATTAAAATGATATTATAATAGAACACTTAAAAATACTTAATACTGAACAATAACTATGCCACAAAATTTATGGAATAACAGTATACTGTAAGAGAAATTTGTAATCTTATTAGATAGAAGAATGGCTTATATTTAAAAAGCTAAGCATCTAACTTGAGAAATTAGAAAAAAGGTAAATAACCCCAAAGAAAATAGAATGAAAGAAATAAAAAATGTTAAGACTAGAAATTAATAAAATAAAAAAGAAGAATGAAATAGAGACAATCAACAAAACCAAAAGTTGTTTCTTAGAAAAGACTACTCAAATAGACAACTGCTGAAGAGATTGTATAAGGAAAAAAGGCACAAATATATACTAGTAAGAATTTAAAAAGGAACCAGGGACCACAGCTATATGAACAGCAGATATTAAGATGAAAATACAATAAATCTATCAATAATTTTACATTAATAAGTTTGAAATAACAATAAAATAATACACTGAAAACAGACAAAATAACAAATTATTAGAAAAAGATAACATCGAAACTGATGCAAGAAGACAGAAAGCCTGAATAGTGGGTCTTATAACATATATTTGACAAATTGAGCAAGAAATGTATGAGAAAGGAAAATTACAGACCAAACGAATTCACCAACATAAATGGTAAAGTCTTAAACAAAATACTAGAAAACTAAGTCCTTTAGTATATTGCAAATACCATGCATCATGACCAAGTTGGGTTCATCTTGAGAATGCAAGGTTGTTTTAACATTAGAAAATCTATAAATGTAATGTACCATATAAGCAGATTAAAAGAGAAAACCCATGTGATCATTGCAATTGATGAGAAAAGTATTTGATAAAATTCAACACCTATTCACAAAAAAAGAATAAAAACTCTCATAGTTTTTATTTGGGATAAATAAGTTTTTAGTTGGGATAAAACGAAGCTTCTTAATCTGATTTTTTTTAAAGATATCTCCAAAAATTTACAGCAAATATCATTTCAAGTGACAAAACATTAGAAGAAGTCATTTTAAAATCAGGAACAAGAAAGAATGTCAACTCTCACCTTGGGGTTTTCAGAGAATCCCTAAGGGCTAACCTCAATATAAGAGGTACCAAATACTCCTACAGTCTAAAGTCAGTTGGTGTGATGCCTATTCAGGAAATGCTAAGAGATTGTGTACTTCTAAAACATCAGCTATTACTCATCTTCTGGCTATATAAAAAAGTACTGAGGGGTTGAAGAGGCTATTAGGGAGTGTTCTTTTGGAGAAAGTAGTTGCTATCTTATGCCTTCCCAAGCTATATGCCTATCTCCTACTGCTACTGCTACACTGCCCCATCCACCATGAGGGAGAGAAGAGCTGGTGCTTCCTCTTAACTTTAAAAAAAGTTGAATCAGGATGGTTTTAGGAGAAGCTCTTGGATATTTTAATATCTGTTTCCTCAGAAAACACTAAACTCTAAAAGTGAATGATCATATTTACAGAGACTTGCACTTACAGAGTTGCACTGGTAGAAAATGGCACTTACACCAATATATTAATATTTCTGATTAATTGACAATCCTCAGAAGGCTGAGCATACTTGAAAGGAACATCTTCTCAAAAGTTTCACACCAAGAGTGCAACAAATTTTTGTTTGTTTGTTTGTTTGTTTTGTTTTGGACAGTCTCACTCTCACCCAGGCTGGAGTGCAGTGGCGCAATCTTGGGTCACTGCAACCTCCACCTCCCAGGTTCAAGCAATTCTCATGCCTTAGCCTCCCAACTAGCTGGGACTACAGGCACGTGCCACCACGCCTAGCTAATTTTTGTATTTTTCTTTTTTTTTTTTTTAGTAGAAATGGGGTTTCACCATATTAGCCAGACCATATTCTGGCCAAACAAATTCTGGCCAGGCTGGTCTCAAAATCCTGGCCTCAAGTAATCCATCCACCTCGGCCTCACAAAGTGCTGGGATTATAGGTGTGAGCACTGTGCTCTGCCAACAAACTTAACATAAAGAAATAAGAGGTGTACTACAGGATGCAGATTTGGGGAGGAGAAATTCTAAATAGTCTGCTTCAGTGGAAGATCCCTAAGACCTACAAACTGTAGTTGGAGTCAGTTCTGATATGTGAGTTTCAAGAACTCAGTCATATATACATACAAAGAGTCTAAAGCCTATCCTTCTCCCTCACTAGATTGTAATCTCTTGAAGAGCAGAGTATATATTCCAGTACATAGTAACCTCATAGTAAGTATTTGTTGAACTGAATAACTGCAGGATGACTGATATTAATGATAGAATAGTAACTACGAATTTGCAAAAATTAAAAAGCATTACCTTCTACAACATAGATGAAAATTATACATCGAAAACCTATTATGATTCCATTACACAGAATTTGTTCTTACCTATAAATAAAACTGCCATTGTCAGAGAGCAAGGAGAATTGACAATGTTTCTGGAACAAATACAAGATTTATATGTGCTTATCATGTATCAGATACTGTTCTAAGTGCTTATGTATATTAACTCAATTAGTGTTCACATAAACCCTATGAGAAAACTAAGACTAAGGAAATATCCTAGGGTCACATAAGCAGGTTTTGAACCCATTCATTACAAAATTTTTTAAACTATTGGTAAAATTTTGAAACATGTAGTTTATTCAAACTGTGTATTTTTTAAACAACCAAAAGACTTAAATCAAATCTCTTATTGTCATATTTTCAAAAGAATTATCACACTTTGGGAGGCCAAGGTGGGCAGATCACTTGAGGTCAGGAGTTCTAGACCAGCCTGGCCAACATGGCAAAACCCTGTTTCTAGTAAAAATACAAAAATTAGCTGGGTGTGGTGGTGCACGCCTGTAATCTCAGCTACTTGGGAGGCTGAGGCAGGAGAATCGCTTGAACCTGGGAGGCAGAGGTTGCAGTGAGCCAAGATGGTGCCACTGCACTCCACCCTGGGTGACAGAGTGAGACCCTGTCACAAACAAACAGACAAAAGAAATGTCAAACTGGGAAGTGGTGTCAGTAAGATGATGAACCAGGAAGCTCCAGGCCTTCCTTCCCCTACAGAGACACCAAGTTAACAACGATATGTGAACCAGAATACCTCTGAGAAATTATGAGACCAGTTGAGATGCTATAACACACAGGCCAATATAAAACCAAGAAGGGATTCAAGTGAAAGGCGATAAGAAAGTTCACATGTTTTGCTTGCTCATCCATGTCCCCTCTCCATGTGGCTTAGCACAATGCAACCAGGAGGAAACCCCTCAAACTCAAGCTACTCCTTCTGGAGTGAATCATGCATCCAGTGTTCTAAGTTGCATGGGAGCCACCAGAGGGACTAGTTTTGGTCTTGCTTGATGGATCAAAGGCATAATTTGGAGGCCAATCAAAACAGAGATAAGCACTGCCATACATTAGAGCTGCAGTTTTGCAGGCAGATGCCAAGGGAAGCAAGAAATCAGAGAAGGTTTGAGAGGCTCTAGAATCTCTAGCTAGGCTGATTGAAGTTCATCTGCACAAAGACTGGGAGTGGTGTTTGCTTTTACAAATACCCAAATCTCAACAAAAGATTATAAGGCATACAAAGAAACAAGAATCATGGCCCAATAGAAAGAAAAATAAAATAAAATTCAGAAACTGATCTTAAAGAAATGCAGAACTATGAGCTGCCTGACAAAGAATTTTAAATAGACCAGGTGCAGTACTTTGCGAGGCCAAGGTGGGTGTGTCATTTGAGCCCAAGAGTTCAAGACTAGCTTGGGCAACATGATGAAAACTCATCTCTGTAAAAAGTACAAAAGTTAGCTTGGTGTGGTGGTGTGCCCCTGTGGCCCCAGCTATTCGGGAGGCAGAGGTGGGAGGATCACCAAAGCCCAGGGAGACTGAGGCTGCAGTGAGCCATGATCTTGCAACTGAAAAATTTTTAAATAACCATCATAAAGATTCTCAATGAGATAAAAGAAAACACATGTCAACAATTAAATGAAATAAAGAAAATAACACATGAACAAAATGAGAATATAAAAAAAGAGATAGAAACTATTTTTTAAAAGAAACAAACAAATTCTGGCACTGAAAAATACAACTGAACTTAAAAAAATTACTACAGAGGTTCAACAGCAGACTTGATCAGGCAAAAAAAAAAAAAAAAGAATCAGCAAACTGGAAGACAGGTCATCTGAAATCATCAAGTCAGAGGAGCAAAAAGAAAAAAAGAATGAAGATGAGTGAAGAGTGCCTGGGGGACTTATGGGACATGATATCATTTGGATCTATGTCCCCACCCAAATTTCATGTTGAATTATAATCCTTAGTGTTGGAGGTGGGGCCTGGTGGGAGGTGATTGGATCATGGGGGTGGAGTTCTCATGAATGGTTTAGCACCATACCCTCTGTGCTGTTCTCATGATAGGAGTGAGTGAGTTATCATGAGATATGGTTGTTTAAAAGTATGTAGCACCTCCTCATTCTCTCTGAGTCTTGCTCCTGCCATGTAAGGTGTCTGCTTCTGCTTTGCCTTCCACCATGATTGTAAGTTTCTTGAGGCCTCCCCAGAAGCACATGCTGCCATGCTTCCTGTACAGCCTGCAGAACTGTGAGTCAATTAAACCTCTTTTCTTTATAAATTACCAAGTCTCAGGTATTTCTTTATAGCAGTGCGAGAACAGACTAATACAGAAAACTGGTACCAAGAGTCGGGCATTGCTATAAAGATACTTAAAAATGTGGAAGTGGCTTTGGAACTGGGTAATAAGCAGAGGCTGGAAGAGTGTAGAGTGCTCAGAAGAAGACAGAAAGATGAGGGAAAATTTGAAACTTCTCAGAGACTTTTTAAATTGTTGTTATCAAAATTCTGATAGCGAGGTGGACAATGAAGTCCAGGTTGAGAAAGTCTCAGATGGAAATGAGCAACTTATTGGGAACTAGAGCAAAGGTCACTTTTACTATGCTTTAGCAAAGAGACTGGCTAAATTGTGCCCCTGCTCTAGGAATCTGTGGAACTTTGAACTTGAGAGAGATGATTTAAGGTATTTGGCCAGAGAAAACTTCTAAGCAGCAAAGCATTCAAAATGTGGCCTGGCTGCTTCCAACAACCTATGCTTATATCTATGAGCAAAGAAATGACCTGCATTAGTCCATTTTCAGGCTGCTGGTAAAGACATATCCGAGACTGAGCAATTTACAAAATAAAGAGGTTTAACTGGACTCACAGTTCCATGTGGCTAGGAGGCCTCACAATCATGGTGGAAGGCAAGGTGAAACAAATCACATCTTATGTGAATGGTGGCAGGCCGAGAGGGCTTGTGCAGGGAAACTCCTGGTTTTAAAACCATCAGATCTCGAGACCCACTCACCACCAGAAGAACAGCATGGGAAAGAACTGTTCCCACAATCCAACCACCTCCCACCAGGTCCCTCCCACAACATGTGGGAATTATGTGAGTTACCATTCAAGATGAGATTTGGGTGAAGAGACAGCCAAACCACATCATGACCTGAAACTGGAATTTATATTTAAGAGAGAAGTAGGGCATAAGTTTGGAAAATTTGCAGCCTGGCCATATGGTAGAAAAGAAAAGCCTATTTTCAGGGGTGGAAATCAAGTGGGCTGGAGAAATTTACAAAGAAGGCCTCAGAGGCATTTCAGAGACCTTCTCAGCAGCTGTTCTCATCACAGGCCCAGAGACCAAGGAGGACTGAATGGTTTCATGGACAAGGTCCAGGGCCCACTTCCCTGTGCAGCCTCAGGACATTGCTCCCTGTTTTCCAGCTGCTCCAGCTCCAGTTGTGGCTCAAAGGGGCCCAGGTACAGCTCAGGCTGCTGCTTCAGAGAATGCAATCCATAAGCCTTGGTGGCTTCCACCAGGTGTTAAGCCTGTGGGTGCACAGAATGCAAGAATTGAGGCTTGGGAGCCTCCACCAAGACTTCAAAAAATGTATTGAAAATGTATCCAAAAATGTATTGAAAAGCCAGGCAGAATCCTGCTGCAGAGTTGGAGCCCTCATGGAGAACCTCTATTGGGTCAGTACAGAGAGGAAACATGGGGTTGGAGCCCCAACACAGACTCTCCACTGAGGCACTGCCTAGTGAAGCAGTGAGAAGAGGGCCACCATCCTCAAGACCCTAGAATGGTAGACCCACAGAGAGATTGCACCTTCAGTCTGGAGGAGTGCAGGCCCACAATCCCAGCCCATGAGAGCAGCCGTGGGGGCTGAACCTTGCAAAGCCACAGGGGCAGAGCTGCCCAAGTCTTTGGGAGCCCAACCCATGCAGCAATGTGCCCTGTATGTGAGACAGAGAGTCAAAGGAGATTATTTTGGAGCATTAAGATTTAATGACTGCTTGTTGGGTTTCAGACTTGCATGGGGCCTGTAACCCCTTTCTTTTGGTCTATTTCTCCCTTTTGGAATGGAAATATTTATGCAACACCTAAACCCCCATTGTATCTTGGGTGTAACTAACTTGTTTTTGATTTTACAGGCTCATAGGTGGAAGGGACTAGCCTTGTCTCAGATGAGACTTTGGACTTCGGACATTTTAGTTAATGCTTGAATGAGTTAAGACTTTGGGGGAACTGTTGGGAAGGCATAATTGAATTTTGCAATGTGAGAAGAATATGAAATTTGGGAGAGTCCAGGGGTGGTATGATATGGCTTGGATCTGTGTCCTCACCCAAATCTCATGTTGAACTGTGATCCCCAATGTTGAAGGTGGGGCCTGGTGGGAGGTGACTGGATCTTGGGGACAGAGTTCTAATGAATGGTTTATCACCATCCTCTCGGTACTTTTCTCATGATAGTGAGTGAGTGAATTATCATGAGATCTTGTTGTTTAAAAGTGTGTAGCACCTCCTCATTCTCTCTCGGTCCCATTCCTTTCATGTAAGATGTCTGTTCCTGCGTTGTCTTCTGCCATAATTATAAGTTTTCTGAGGCTTCCCCAGAAGCAGATGCCACCATGCTTTCTGTATAGCCTGCCAAACCATGAGCTGATTAAACCTTTTTTCTTTATAAATTACCTAGTCTCAGATATTTTTATAGAAATGTGAGAATGGCCTAATGTAGGACACTATCAAGTGACCAATATTCACATTATAGAATTTAAGAAGGAGAAAAGAGCAGGGATATAATGGCTGAAAACTTTCTAAATCTAAAGAAATAAATGGATATACAAATTTGACAAGCTCAAAAGACTCCAACTAGGATAAAACCAAAAAAGAACCCCACCAACATTCATTATAATCAAACTGTTTAAAGTCAAAGAGAGAATCTTGAAAGCAGCAAGAGAGAAGCAATTCATCATATACAAGGGAACTGTCATAAAATTATCAGTGGATTTCTCAGAAGAAACCTTTCATATCAGAGGGGAGTAGCATAATATATTAAAAGTAATAAAAGAAAAAAAAACCTGTTAACTAAGAATACCAGGTCTAGCAAAACTGTCCCTCAAAAATGAAAGATAAATTAAGACTTTCTCAGGTGAACAAAAGTTGAAAGAGTTCATTACCACTAGACCTGCTCTATAAGAAATGCTGAAGAGGGCCCTTCAAGTTGAAAAGAAAGGAAAGTAGAAAGAAACAGAAAGCCATTGAAAAATATAAGGTTCCCTAGTAAAGGTAAATGCAGACAATTAACATAACTTGTGTTCTTGTAATTTTGGTGCATATAATTTGAATGACAAAAACATATTTAAAAACTATAAATTTAACTATATATTTTATTAATGGTATACAATATATAAAGATATAACTTTTGGCATCAATAACATGAAGTTGGAGAGGTGCAGCTGTAAATAAGTATGTGATTGAAGTTTCTATCAGTTTAAAGTTTCTGTCAGTTTAAAATAGAATGCTATAACTTTAAGATGTTTTATCAGTTTAAAATAGAATGCTATAACTTTAAGTTTCTATCAGTTTACAGTTTCTATCAGTTTAAAATAGAATGCTATAACTTTAAAATGTTTTATGTAATTGCAATGGCAACCACACACAAAAAATCTTTAGAATATACACAAAAAGATATGAGAAGGAAGTAAAAGCATGCCACTACAAAATATCAGTGAAACACAAAGGAAGTTAAAGAGGAAATCGGGGACGAAAAAGCAATATAACATACAAAAAACAATTAACAAATGGCAATAGCAAGTCCTTTCCTATGAGCAAATAAGTGTAAATGGATTTAACTCCCCAGTCAAAACACATAGATTGGCTAAGCAGATAAAAAACAGGATCAAACTATATATTCTCTATAAGATACTCATTTTAGATCTATGGGCACACATAGGCTAAAAGTTGACAAGATGGAAAAGGATATTCCATGCAAATGGTTACGAAAACAGAGCATGGTAACTACACTAATATCAGGTGGAATATACTTTAAGTCAACAACTGTTATAAGAGACAAAGGAGTACATTGTATAATGATAAAAGTTTAATTCACCAAAAAGATATAACAATGATAAATACAGGCATAGCTCATTTTGCTGCACTTCACAAATACTGAGTTTTCTTTACAAATTGAAGGTTTGTAGCAACCCTGCATCTAGCAATTCTTTTTTTAAAATTTTATTATTATTACATTTTAAGTTTTAGGGTACATGTGCACAATGTGCAGGTTTGTTACATATGTATACATGTGCCATGTTGGTGTGCTGCACCCATTAACTCGTCATTTAACATTAGGTATATCTCCTAATGTTATCCCTCCCTCCTCTCCCCACCCCACAACAGTCCCCAGAGTGTGATGTTCCCCTTTCTGTGTCCATGTGTTCTCATTGGTCAATTCCCACCTATGAGTGAGAACGTGCTGTGTTTATTGGTACCATTTATCCAACAGCATGTGCTCACTTCATGTCTCTGTGTCACATTTTGGTAATTCTCTATTTCAACCTTTTTCATTATTATTATATTTTTTATAGTGATCCATGATCAGTGGTCTTTAATGTTACTATTGTAATTGTTTTGGGGCACCATGAACCATGCCCATATAAGACAGTGAACTTATTGATAAATATGTGCGTTCTGACTGCTCCACTGACGAGTCAGTCCTCCATCTCTCTCCCTCTCCTTGGGCCTCTCTATAACCTGAGAAACAACAATATTGAAATGAGGCCAATTAATAACCCTAAAATGGCCTCTAAGTGGTTCAAATGAAAGAAAGAGTTGCACATCTCTCACTTTAAATCAAAAGCTAGAGAGGCATGTCAAAAGCTGAGACAGGCTGAAAGCTAGGCAACTTGTGCCAAAAAGTTAGCCAAGTTGTGAATGCAAAGAAAAAGTTCTTGAATAACATTAAAAGTGCTACTCCAGTGAGCACATGAATGATAAGAAAGTGAAATAGGCTTTTATTACTGATATGGAGAAAGTTTCAACGATCCGGATAGGATATCAAAGCAGCCACCACATTCCCTTAAAAACTCCAGGGCAAGGCCCTAACTCTCTTCAATCCTATGAAGGCTGAGAGAGATGAGGAAGCTGCAGAGGAAAAGTTTCAAGCTAGCAGAGGTCTGTTTATGAGGATTAAGGGAAGAAGTCATCTCTATAACAAAACATCTCCATAACAAAAAATTGCAGGATATAGTAGCAAGTGCTGATGTAGAAGCTGCAGCAAGTTATTCAGAAGACCTACCTAAGATAATTGATGAAGGTGACTACACTAAAAAACAGATTTTCAATGTAGATAAAATAGCCTTTTATTGGAAGATGATGCCATCTAGGACTATCATAGCTAGAGAGGAGAAGCCAATATCTGGCTTCACAGGCTAACATCCTAACCTTTGAAGGACAGGCTAACAGATAATGTAGCAGCTAATGTAGCTGGTGATTTGAAGTTGAAGCCAATGTTCATTTACCATTCCAAAACTCCTAGGGCCCTTAAGAATTATGCTAAATTGACCCTGTCTGTGCTCTATCAATGGAACAACAAAGCCTGGATGACAGCACATTTGTTTATAGCATGTTTTACTGAATATTTTAAGCTCATAAAAAAGATTTTTTTTACTGCTCATAAAAAAGATTTCTTTCAAAATATTACTGCTCACTGACAATGCATCCAATCATGCAACAGCTATGAAGGAGATGTACAAGGAGATCAATGTTGTTTTCAAGCCTGTTAACACAACATCCGTTTTGTATCCCATAAGTCCAGGAGTAATTGCAACTTCCAAGTCTTATGATTTAAGAAATGCATTGTATAAGGATACAGCTGCCATAGATAGTGATTCCACTCATTAATATGACCAAGCAAATTGAAAAATTCTGAATAGAATTCATCATCCTGGATGCCATGAAGAACACTTGTGATTCACGAAAGGTCAAAATAGCAACGTTAACAGGAGTTTAGAAGAAGTTGTCTCTAACCCTCATGGATGACTTTGAGGGGTTTAAGACTTCAGTGGAGGAAGTAATCCCATCAGCAAAGTTACTTCCTCCACTGAGGTCTTTGAACCCCTCAAAGTGAGGTTGGAGAATCTCAAGAGAAATAGAATTAGAAGTGGAGCCTGAAGATATGGTGAATTGCTGCAATCTCATGATACAGTTTGAACAGAGGAGGAGGTGCTTTTTCTGGATGAGCAAAGAAAGTGGTTTCTTGAGATGAAATCTACTCCGAGTGAAGGTGCTGTGAACATTTTTGAAATGACAACAAAGATTTAGAATATTACACAAATTTGGTTGATTAAGCAGCAGCAGGGTTTGAGATGACTGACTACAATTTTGAAAAAAGTTTTAGTATGGGTAAAATGCTATCAAACAGCGTTACCAGAAAAATCCTTTGTGAAAGGAAGAGTAAACCAATGTGGAAAACTTCATCGTCTTATTTTAAGAAATTGGCACAGCCACCCCCCAAATTGAGTAACAACCACCCTGATTAGTCAGCAGCCAAGAACAAAGAGGTAAAACCGTCTAACAGCAAAAAGATTTCAACTCACTAAAGGTTCAGATGATCACTATCATTATTTAGCAATAAAGTATTTAAAAAATTAAGGTATGTATATTTTTAAAGACACTTAATAGACTATAGTATAGTGTAAACATAACTTTTAAATGTACTAGGAAATCAAACAATGTGTATGGCTCACTTTATTATGATATTCACATTATTGTGGTTGTCTGGAACTGAACACACAATATCTCTGAGGTATGCCTATAGTTAAATTCATTGAAACAGAAAGTACAATTATGATGACTGGGTGGGGGAAGAAAGGGAAGTTGCTTAATGGATATAGATTTTCAGATTTATGGGATCAAAAAGTTCTGGAGATCTGTTTTCACAACAATGTGAATATACTACTGACTACATTACTGAATTAAACACTTAAAAATGGTTAAAATGGTAAGTTTTATAGTTTTTTTCTTTTTTCTTTCTTAGACAGAATCTTGCTCTGTCATCCAGGCTGGAGTGCAGTGGTGCAATCTTGGCTCACTGCAACCCCCACTCCTAGATTCAAGCAATTCTCATGCCTCAGCCTCAGGAGTAGCTAGGACTATAGGCGTATGCCTCCACACGTGGCTAATTTTTGTATTTTTAGTAGATATGGGGTTTTGTCATGTTGGCCAGGCTGGTCTTGAACTCCTGGCCTCAAGTGATCCACCCACCTCAGCCTCCCAAAGTGCTGGGATTATAGGTATGAGCCACCATGCCCGGCCAAGTTTTATGTTTCTTCTGTTTTTTTTTTTAACAAGAATAAAAAAAAAGAAATATGAAGCTGAAGAATTATTCACTCTTCTCTATTGTAGCACTGGCTTATTGAAAAAGCCAAGAAACCCTTGTGGGTTTTAAAACAGTGCTTTTAGGAAACAAGGATTGGAATGAGAGAAAACGTCTGGAAACAACATGACTAACTGAACAACCTAGAATAACATTTTTGAAAGCTGTTTTATAGAACACTAATTCTTTGAGATGTTAATATAAGTTAAAATTATGTAGTCTAGATTGATAAATGGAAGATTCAGCACATATAAAAACAAAATTTCCTAACTGTGGAACATCTTAGAACTTTGTATTTTCTAATAGGCATTTTTAATTTGTTGAGAGAAGACATGTGTTCTCAAAGCTTATTTAACTACAGAAGCAGTTTTTATTTTCATAGAGCATCTGTTAGCAGTAATGTCATGAAGAACACATTTTGGGCGACAATGATAGAGCATACAGAAACAAAAACCTATTTGACTTAGTTTAAGCACAATCTTAATTAGACTGCAGAATAAAACATTTTCAAATAAGTACTGGAAATAAGAGGCATCATCGCTTTTCAACAAATAAACACAACACATACTTTTTAAAAATAAATACCATGGGAACAATCGCTGACTGATGTCCTTTACCGTATATGCAAATTCTAAGATATCCTCTTCGAACACAAAGGGTTCAGTGCTTAGCATATGGCCCCCCTTGCATACAGTTGGCATAAATATTTTTTAGTCCTGAGTGAACTACATGAGTTAATAAGAAACAAATTTTAACCTTCAAATATTCCACCAAGTCAGTCTTTCATAACTTGGAAGCCTAAAGCTTTCTTTAGGTGTCCCTCAAAGGAGCTATAACATGCCTTCTAAATTCCAAAATTCTCATATCCAGTTTAAATGTGAGACTTGAAAATTATGTAAGGGTCTTTGGTAGTCATCAAAACTATGATTCCACTATTGAATCCTCTTTATTTTATTTTATTTTATTTTATTTATTTTTGCTGAGATGGAGTCTCACTCTGTCGCCCAGGCTGGAGTGCAGTGGTGTGATCTCAGCTCACTGCAACCTCCACCTCCTGAGTTCAAGCAATTCTCCTGCTTCAGCTTCCTGAGTAGCTGGGACTATAGGCGTGCACCATCATGCCCAGTTAATTTCTGTATCTTTAGTAGAGACGGGGTATCACCGTGTTGGCCAGGCTGGTCTTGAACTCCTGACCTCAAGTGATCCACCTGCGTTGGCGTCCTAAAATACTGGGATTACAGGCATGAGCCACCATGCCAGACCCCACTATTGAATCCTTATAGTCATTTTACCTTACAGCAGGCAGACTAACATTTTCAAGACAAATCAGGTTATATCTTCATTCCAACGCCTGAATTCAAAACTCTAATGACATGCTGTTACACCCTCAATAAAATCTGCACTCCTTACCATGGCCTGTGAGAGTCTACATAATATGGTCCTTGCTAACTTTCTGATTTCAACATTTACCTCTCCTTCCTCATTTAGTCCTGATATACCCGTAACTTCTTTCTGACTCCAGACCTTTGTCTTCTACATAAAATAGTCTTCTTTCATATCACCCTTTACATTACAAACATCTTCCCACTTTTTCCTTTCATACTGGTGAGTCCCTCACTTTATCTTGGTTATTATCCAAGTGCTATCTCCTCAGAGAAAGGCCTTCCTTGACCACTTTATTTAACATAGTACTTCTGTCATGCTCCAGCTTCTCACCCTCCATTTCCAGTTAATTTTCTTCATACCACTTGTTACTTTCTGACACCTATTTTTGGCTGACTTTCTCTTACCCACTGATATAAGCTCCCTAAGGCATGGGCACTCTCTGCTGTCTTATCTATCATATCCCATGCCTGGAACAACTCAAAATTTATTGAGACTTCAGGCACAAAAGAAGTCTCAATAAATTTTTTGTTGACATGATAAAATGTATTAAACCCCTTTCTTATGTCAATACCAAATGAGTAAAATATAAGTATCATGTACCTCTCTTAATGGTAATAGACAATTATTTATTTGTTGATTTTGTCTAGAGGGGGTACTTATTTTTGTCACCAGTCAAAAGTCAGGTAACAAATATATACTGAAAGCTTACTGCAAGCCAGTGACTATTCTGGTAATCACACTTAAGAAAGAATCATGTGTCTGGGCACAGCGGCTCACGCCTCTAATCCTAGCAATTTGAGAGCCCGAGGTGGGTGGACCACCTTAGGTCAGGAGTCCGAGACCAGCCTGACCAACATGGTGAAGCTCCATCTCCACTAAAAACACAAAATTAGCCCAGTGTGGTGGCGCATGCCTGTAATCCCAGCTACTCAGGAGGCTGAGGCAGGAGAATCGCTTGAACCTGGGAGGTGGAGGTTGCAGTGAGCTGAGATTGTGCCATTGCACTCCAGCTTGGGAGGCAGAGTGAAACCCTTTCTCAAAAACGAACAAACAAACCAACCAAACAAACAAAACAAAAACAAAAGAAAGAATCATGGGGCTGGCACCAGTGGCTCCTGCCTGGAGAGGAAAAAATAAACTTGATAAACCTCTAGCAATAAAGACACAGACTAACAGAGACAAGACAAAAATCATCAATGCCCGCAATGGCACAGGAAATATCATGGCAGATTCCACAGCCATTAAAAGGAAAATAAGACCAGGCATGGTGGCTTACACCTATAATCCCAGCACTTTGGAAGGCTGAGGGGGTTGAATCCCTTGAGCCCAGGAATTCGAGAACAGCCTGGGCAACATGGTGAAACCCTGTCTCTACAAAAAATACAAAAATTAGATGGAAGTGGGGGCACACGCCTGTAGTCCCAGCTACTCGGGAGGCTGAGGTGGAGGGATCAATTCGGCCTGGGAGGTCAAGGCTGCAGTGAGCCGTGATTGTGCCACTGCACTCTAGCCTGGGTCACAGAGTGAGACCCTGCAAAAAAAAGAAAGACAGAAAGAGAGAAAAAGGAAAGAAAGAAAGAAAGAAAGAAAGATGAAAGAAAGAAAGGAAGAAAGAAAGAAAGAAAGAAAGAAAGAAAGAAAGAAAGAAAGAAAGAAAGAAAGAAAAGGAAAGAAAATAAATAAGGAATACTACTGCATTAGTCAGGGTTCTCCAGAGAAACAAAGCCAAGAGGATGTGTGTGTGTGTATATATATATATATATTTGTGTGTGTGTATATATATATTTGTGTGTATATATATATGTGTATATATTTATATATGTGTATATATTATATATATACACACACATATATATATTTTTTTAAGAAAATATGTGTTTATGGAGGCTGGTAAGTCTAAAATTTGCAAACTGGGCTGTCAGGCTAGAAACCCAGAGGAGACCTGATGCTATAGTTAGGGTTCAAAAGCCATCACACTGAAGACCCAGGAAAGAGTCAATGTTGCAGGTCAAGGCTGAAGGCTGTCTCCTGCAGTATTCTTCCTTGATCAGGGCAGGTCAATCATTTTGTTCCATTCAGTCCTTTAACTGATTAGATGAGGTTAATCCCCATTATTGCAGTCCACCAAGTTCAATGTTAATCTCATCCACAAACATCATTACAGAAACATCCAGAATAATGTTTGACCAAATATCTTGAAATTGTCATCCAGCCCAGTTGACACATAATATTAACTATCAACCAAACATTTAAAGAATGAACACCAATTTTACACAATTTCTTTCAGAAAATAGAAGAGAAGGGGATACTCTCCAATTAATTTAAAAGGCTAAAATTACCCTAATACCAAAATCAAAATGACAGACAATATTAAAAAAAGTAAAACCAAAACAAAAAAAACCCCATGTAACTACAGACCAA
Organism: Homo sapiens; assembly: GCF_000001405.40. Taxonomy (NCBI): domain Eukaryota; kingdom Metazoa; phylum Chordata; class Mammalia; order Primates; family Hominidae; genus Homo; species Homo sapiens. The sequence continues at coordinate 60,381,535 of NC_000014.9, forward strand.
CATCTCTAACAAACTCAGACATAAAAATTCTCAACAAAATATTGGCAAGTTGAATCCATCCATGTATAAAAAGACTATGTACCATGACCAGGGGGTGTTGCAAGATGGCCGAATAGGAACAGCTCAGGTCTGCAGCTCCCAGCGTGATTGATGTAGAAGACAGGTGATTTCTGCATTTCCAACTGAGGTACCTGGTTCATCTCATGGGGACTGGTTGGACAACTGGTGCAGCCCACAGAGGGTGAGCTGAAGCAGGGTGGGAAGTCACCTCAGCTGGGAAGTGCAAGAGACCACGTGATTTCCCTTTCCCAGCCAAGGGAAGCTGTGACAGACTACCTGGAAAAACAGGACATTCCCACCCAAACACTGTGCTTTTCCCAAGGTCTTAACAACCAGAAGACAAGGTGATCCTCTCCCGTGCCTGGCTCAGTGGGTCCCATGCCCATGGAGCCTTGCTCACCGCTAGCGCACCAGTCTGAGATTGATCTGCCAGGCAGCAGCCTGGCTGGAGGAGGGGTATCCGCCATTGCTGAGGCTTGAGTAGGTAAAAAAAAAGTGCCGGGGAAGCTCGATCTGGGCGGAGCCCACTGCAGCGCAAACAAGGCCTACTGCCTCTAGACTCCACCTCTGTGGGCAGGGCATAACTGAACAAAAGGCAGCAGACAACTTCTGCGACATAAACATCCCTGTCTGACAGCTCTGAAGAGAGCAGTGGTTCTCCTAGCAGGGCGTTTGATCTCTGAAAACAGACAGACTGCCTCCTCAAGTGGGTCCCTGACCCCGTGTAGCCTAGCTGGGCGACACCTCCCAGTAGGGGCTGACAGACACCTCATATAGGCGGCTGCCCCTGTGGGATGAAGCTTCCAGAGGAAGGATCAGGCAGCAATATTTGCTGTTCTGCAATATTTGCTGTTCTGCAGCCTCTCTGGTGATACCCAGGCAGACAGGGTCTGGAGTGAACTTCCAGCAACTCCAACAGACCTGCAGCTGAGGGGCCTGACTGTTAGAAGGAAAACTAACAAACAGAAAAGAATAGCATCAACATCAACAAAAAGGTCATCTACACAAAAACCCCATCTGTACGTCACCAACATCAAAGACCAAAGGTCGATAAAACGACAAAGATGGGGAGAAACCAGAGCAGAAAAGCTAAAAATTCTAAAAATCAGAGCGCCTCTTCTCCTCCAAAGGATCGCAGCTCCTTACCAGCAATGGAACAAAGCTGGACGGAAAGTGGCTTTGACGAGTTGACAGAAGTAGGCTTTAGAAGGTTGGTAATAACAAACTTCACTGAGCTAAAGGAGGATGTTCAAACCCATTGCAAAGAAGCTAAAAACCTTGAAAAAAGATTAGACAAATGGCTAACTAGAATAAACAGTGTAGAGAAGACCATTAATGACCGATGGAGCTGAAAACAATGGCACGAGAACTTCGTGACGCATGCACAAGCTTCAATAGCTGATTCAATCAAGCAGAAGAAAGGATATTAGTGATTGAAGATCAAATTAATGAAATAAAGTGAGAAGACAAGGTTAGAGAAAAAAGAGTAAAAAGAAATGAACAAAGCCTCCAAGAAATATGGGACTATGTGAAAAGACCAAATCTATGTCTGATTGGTGTACCTGAAAGTGATGGAGAGAATGGAACCAAGTTGGAAAACACTCTTCAGGATATTATCCAGGAGAACTTCCCTAACCTAGCAAGGCAGGCCAACATTCAAATTCAGGAAATGCAGAGAACACCACAAAGATACTCCTCGAGAAGAGCAACCCCAAGACACATAATTGTCAGATTCACCAAGGTTGAAATGAAGGCAAAAGTGTTAAGGGCAGCCAGAGAGAAAGGTCAAGTTACCCTCAAAGGGAAGCCAATTAGACTAACAGCAGATCTCTCAGCAGAAACCCTACAAGCCAGAAGAGAGTAGGGGCCAATATTCAACATTCTTAAAGAAAAGAATTTTCAACCCAGAATTTCATATCCAGCCAAACTAAGCTTCATAAGTGAAGGAGAAATAAAATACTTTACAGACAAGCAAATGCTGAGAGATTTTGTCACCACCATGCTTGCCTTTCAAGAGCTCCTGAAGGAAGCACTAAATATGGAAAGAAACAACCGGTACCAGCCACTGCAAAAACATGCCAAATTGTAAAGACCATTGATGCTATGAAGAAACTGCATCAATTAACACGCAACATAACCAGTGAACACCATAATGACAGGATCAAATTCACACATAACAATATTAGCCTTAAATGTAAATGGGCTAAATGTCCCAATTAAAAGACAGACAGGCAAATTGGATAAAGAGTCAAGACCCATCAGTGTGCTGTATTCAGGAGACCCATCTCACGTGAAAAGACACACATAGGCTCAAAATAAAGGGATGGAAGAAGATCTACCAAGCAAATGGAAAGCAAAAAAAAAAAAAAAAAAAAAAAAAAAAAAGGAGGGGTTGCAATCCTAGTCTCCGATAAAACAGACTTTAAACCAACAAACATCAAAAGAGACAAAGAAGGCCATTACATAATGGTAAAGGGATCAATTCAACAGGAAGAGCCAACTATCCTAAATATATATGCACCCAATACAGGAGCACTGAGATTCATAAAGCAAGCCCTTAGAGAGCTACAAAGAGATGTAGACTCCCACACAATAATAATGGGAGATTTAACACCCCACTGTCAGTATTGGACAGATCAATGAGACAGAAGGTAAACAAGGATATCCAGGACCTGAACCCAGCTCTGCGACAAGCAGATCTAATAGGCATCTACAGAACTCTCCACCCCAAATCAACAGAATATACATTCTTCTCAGCACCACATTGCATTTATTCTATAATTGACCATATAATTAGAAGTAAAGCACTCCTTGGCAAATGTAAAAGAACAGAAATCACAAAAAACTGTCTCTCAGACCACAGTGCAATCAAATTAGAACTCTGGATTAAGAAACTCACTCAAAACTGCACAACTACATGGAAACTGAACAACCTGCTCCTGAATGACTGCTGGGTAAATAACGAAATGAAGGCAGAAATAAAGATGTTCTTTGAAACCAATGAGAACAAGGACAAAACGTACCAGAATCTCTGGGAAACATTTAAACAGTGTGTAGAGGGAAACTTATAGCACTAAATGCTCACAAGGGAAAGCAGGAAAGATCTAAAATCGACACCCTAACATCACAATTAAAAGAACTAGAGAAGCAGGAGCAAACACATTCAAAAGTTAGTAAAAGGCAAGAAATAACTAAGATCAGAGCAGAACTGAAGGAGATAGACACACAAAAAACCCTTCAAAAATTCAATGAATCCAGGAGCTGGTTTTTTGAAAAGATCAACAAAATTGATAGACTGCTAGCAAGACTAATAAAGAAGAAAAGAGAGACAAATCAAATAGATACAATAAAAAATGATAAAGGGGATATCACCACTGATCCCACAGAAAAACAACTACCATCAGAGAATACTATAAACACCCCTATGCCAATAAACTAGAACATCTAGAATAAATGGATAAATTCCTGGACACATACACCCTCCCAAGACTAAATTAGGAAGAAGTTGAATCTCTGAACAGACCAATAACAGGCTCTTAAATTGAGGCAATAATTAGTAGCCTATTGACCAAAAAAAGTCCAGGACTAAAAGGAATCGCAGCCAAATTCTACCAGACGTACAAAGAGGAGCTGATACCATTCCTTCGGAAACTATTCCAATCAATAGAAAAAGAGGGAATCCTCCCTAACTCATTTTATGAGGCCAATTTCGTCCTGATACCAAAGCCTGGCAGAGACACAACAAAAAAAGAGAATTTTAGACCAATATCCCTGATGAACATCAATGCAAAAATCCTGAATAAGATAGTGGCAAACCGAATCCAGCAGCACATCAAAAAGCTTATCCACCACAATCAAGTGGGCTTCATCCCTGGGATGCAAGGCTGGCTCAACATATGCAAATCAATACACATGTCCCATCACATAAACAGAACCAACGACAAAAACCACATGATTATCTCAATAGATGCAGAAAAGGCCTTCTACAAAATTCAACACCCCTTCATGCTAAAAACTCTCAATAAACTAGGTATTGATGGAACGTATCTCAAAATAATAAGAGCTATTTATGACAAACCTACAGCCAATATCATACTGAATGGGCAAAAACTGGAAGCATTCCCTTTGAAAATGGGCACAAGACAAGGATGCCCTCTCACAACACTCCTATTCAATATAGTGTTGGAAGTTCTGGCCAGGGTAATCAGGCAAGAGAAAGAAATAAAGGGTATTCGGTTAGGAAAAGAGGAAGTCAAATTGTCCCTGTTTGCAAATGATGTGATTGTATACTTAGAAAACCCCATCGTCTCAGCCCAAAATCTCCATAAGCTGATAAGCAACTTCAGCAGTCTCAGGATACAAAATCAATGTGCAAAAATCACAAGCATTCTTATACACCACTAACAGACAGAGAGCCAAATCATGAGTGAACTCCCATTCACAATTGCTTCAAAGAGAATAAAATACCTAGGAATCCAACTTATAAGGTATGTGAAGGACCTCTTCAAGGATAACTACAAAGCACTGCTCAACAAAATAAAAGAGGACACAAACAAATGGAAGAACATTCCATGCTCACGGATAGGAAGAATCAATATCGTGAAAATGGCTATACTGCCCAAGGTAATTTATAGATTCAGTGCTATCCCCATCAAGCTACCAATGACTTTCATCACATAATTGGAAAAAACTACTTTAAAGTTCATATGGAATCAAAAACAGCCCACATTGCCAAGACAATCCTAAGCAAAAGAACAAAGCTGGAGGCATCATGCTACCTGACTTCAAACTGTACTACAATGCTATGGTAACCAAAACAGCACGGTACTGGTACCAAAACAGATATACAGACTAATGGAACAGAACAGAGGCCTCAGAAATAACACCATACATCTACAACCATCTGATCTTTGACAAACCTAACAAAAACAAGAAATGGGGGAAGGATTCCCTATTTAATAAATGGTGCTGGGAAAACTGGCTAGCCATATGGAGAAAGCTGAAACTGGATCCCTTCCTTACACTTTATACAAAATTTAATTCAAATGGATTAAAGACTTACATGTTAGACCTAAAACCATAAAAACCCTAGAAGAAAACCTAGGCAATACCATTCAGGACATAGGCATGGGCAAGGACTTCATGACTAAAACACCAAAAGCAATGGCAACAAAAGCCAAAATAGACAAGTGGAATCTAATTAAAATAAAGAGCTTCTGCACAGCAAAAGAAACTATCATCAGAGTGAACTGGCAACCTACAGAAAGGGAGAAAATGTTTGCAATCTACCCACCTGACAAAGGGCTAATATCCAGAATCTACAACGAACTTAAACAAATTTATAAGAAAAAAAATCAAAAAGTGGGCAAAGGATATGAACAGACACTTCTCAAAACAAGACATTTATGCATCCGACACATGAAAAAATTCATCACCACTGGTCATCAGAGAAATGCAAATCAAAACCACAATGAGATACCATCTCATGCCAGTTAGAATGGCAATCATTAAAAAGTCAAGAAACAACAGATGCTGGAGAGGATGTGGAGAAACAGGAATGCTTTTACACTGTTGGTGGGAGTGTAAATTAGTTCAACCACTGTGGAAGACAGTGTGGCGATTCCTCAAGGATCTAGAACTAGAATTACCATTTGACCCAGCAATCCCATTACTGGGTATATACCCAAAGGATTATAAATCATGCTACTATAAAGACACATGTACATGTATGTTTATTGCGGCACTATTCACAATAGCAAAGACTTAGAACCAACCCAGATGTCCATCAATAGTAGACTGGATTAAGAAAATGTGGCACATATACACCATGGAATACTATGCAGCCATAAAAAAAGGATAAGTTCATGTCCTTTGTAGGGTCATGGATGAAGCTGGAAACCATCATTCTCAGCAAACTATCACAAGGACAAAACCAAATACCGCATGTTCTCACTCATAGGTGGGAATGGAACAATGAGATAGATCACTTGGACACAGGGCAGGGAACATCACACACTGGGGCCTGTCGGTGGGGCGGGGGCCTGGGGGAGGGATAGCATTAGGAGAAATACCTAATGTAAATGATGAGTTGATGTGTGAAGTAAACCAGCATGGCACATGTATACCTATCTATCAAACCTGCACATTGTGCACATGAACCCTAGAACTTAAAGTATAATAAATAAATAAATAAATAAACAAATAAATAAAAGATTATATACCACAAACAAGTGGGATTTATCCTACATATACAAGGCTGATTCTCAAAAAATAAATCAATGTAATACACCATATCAACAGGCTAAGGAGAAAAATCACATGATCATCTCAATTGAGGCAGAAAAGGCATTTGACAAAATATAACTCCCACTCATTTAATACAAACAAAAAAACCTCTTAGCAAACTAGGAATAGAGGAATACTTCCTCATCATGATAAAGAGTATCTATTAAAAAAAACCCTACAGTTAACATTATACTTCACAGTAAAAGACTGAATGTTTCCTTTAAGATCAGAAACAAGGCAAAGATGTCCACTTTTATCCTCTTATTCAACATAGTACTGAAGTTCTAGACACTGCGATGGGACAACAAAAAATACTAAAATCCATACAAATTGAAAATGAAGAGCAAAATCTGTTTTTATGTGCAATGATATGATTATCTGTGTAGAAAATTCCAGAGAATCTACAAAACTAAAACAAAAACAGCTAGAGCTAAGAGGAGTTGCAGAAAACAAGATGGTATAGTTTGAATGTTCGTCCCTGGCCAAATCTCATGTTAAATTGTAATCTCCAATGTTGGAGGTGAGGCCTAGTGGGAGGTGTTTGGATCATGGGAGTGGGTCCCTCATAAATGGCTTGGGCCAGCCTCTTGGTAATAAATGAGCACTCACTCTGAGCTCACCACCAATCAACAGAGATCTGGTATTTTTAAGGTGTGTGGCACCTCTCCCCTCCACTGCCTCCTGCCCTCTCTTGCTCCTGCTTTTGCCATGTGAAGTGCCTGCTGTAACTTCACCTTCCACAATGACTATAAGCTTCTTGAGGCCTCCCCAGAAGCTGATGCAGGAGCTGTGCATCCTATAGAGTCTGCAGAACTGTGAGCCAATTAAGCCTCTTTTATTTATAAATTACCAGCCTCCGGTATTTCTTTATAGCAATGCAAGAACTGTCTAATACACAAGATCAACACACAAATATCAATCATATTTATACATGCAGTAGTTCCCCTTTTCCAGTTTTGCTTTCCATGGTTTCGGTTACTCATGGTCAATCACAGTCTTTAAGGATTAAATGTAAGATTAGAGACATAAACAATCCATATGTTTTAAATCGTGCACCATTCTGAGTAGCATGATGAAATCTTGTGCCATCCTGCTCTGTCCCACCTGGGACGTGACTTATCTGTTTGTCCAGCGTATCCACACTGTATATGCTACCCACCCATTAGTCACTTAGCAGCCATCTTGGTCATTAGATCAACTGTCCTGGTGTCACAGGGCTTGTGTTCAAGTAACCTTTATTTTACTTAATCACGATCCCAAATCATAAGAGTAGTAATTATGGCATATTGTTACAGTTGTTGTATTTTATGGTTAGTTGTTGTTAATGTTTTACTGTGCCTAACTTACAAATTAAACTTTACCATAGGTATGTATGTATAGAAAGAAGCATAGTATATATAGCGTTTGGTAATATCCATAGTTTTAGATATCCCCTGGGGGTAAACGGGGAACTACCGTACTAACAATGAACATGTGGACACTAAAATTAAAAACCTAATGCTATCTGCAATTACTCCAAATAAAATTGAATGCTTACATATACACTTAACAAAATGGATGTAGAATCTGCATGCTGAAAATGACAAAATGCTGATTAAAGAAATAAAAGAAAACCTAAATAAATAGAGATATACCATGTTCGAGGATTACAAGACTCTATGCAATAAAGATCACAGTTACAGTTCTCCCAAATTGATTTAATGTAACTCCTATTACAATTCCAGAAGGGATTTTCATAAACATAGAGAAGCTTATTCTAAAATTTATATAAAAAGGCACAGGCCCTAGAAACACTAAACCATCTTTTAAAAGAAGAATACAACGGGAGGACTCACTCTACCCAATATTAAAGCCTACTGTATAGCAACAACAATCAGGACAGAGTGGTGTTGTTGTTAGAGGGATAGATACATACATCAACAGAACAAAACAGAAAACATGGAAATAGACCCACACAAATATGCCCTAATGATTTTTTTGCAAAGGTGCAAAAGCAATACAAAGGAGTAAGGACAGCCTTTCCAAAAAAAGGCAAAAAATGACCTAAACCTCATGCCTTATACAAAAATTAACTCAAAATGTATCATAGACTTAAATGTAAAACATAAAACTATATAACTTTTAGAAAAAAAGGAGAAAATCTTCAGAATCTAGAATTAGAGAAAGTTATTAGACTTGACAACATAATCCATAAAAGAAAAAAAGCATAATCCATAACAGAAAAAATAGATACATTGACTCTTATCCAAATTAAAAACTTTTTCTCTGTGAAAGCCCTCGTTAAGAGGATGAAAAAAAGGCTACTGACTAAAAGAAAATATCTTCAAAGTACATATGCAAAAAGTACTATTATATAAAATATATAAAGTACTCTCAAAACTCAACATTAAAAACAATCTAATTAGAAAATGCACAAAAGATTGAACATGGGCATTTTATTGAAGAGGATATACAGATGGCAAATAAATACATGAAAAAATTTTCAGTATCATCAGCCATTGGAGAAATGCAAATTCAAACCATGAGATATCACTACACACCTATTATTAGAATGGCTAAAATTAAAAGGTGACAATCAGTGTAGATGAGGATTCAGAGAATCTGATCACTAATATATTGCTGGTGAGAAAATGAAATGGTACAGTGACTCCGAAAAATATTTTGGCAGTTTCTTTAAAAAAGTAAAACATGAAACTACCATATGACAATGCGCAACAAGTATTGAGCATTTGTCACAAAGAAATTAAAACATATTCACACAAACACTTGTAGACAAATGTTCATAGAAGCTTTATATGTAGTAACCAAAAACTGGAAATAACTCAGATGTCCTTCTATGGGTGAAGGATTAAACAAACTGTGGTACATCCATACAGTAAAATATTACTCAGCAACAAAGAACAACAAGCTGTTTATATGTTTATATGTAACAATTTGGATGAATCTCTAGGAAATTATGATGAGCAAAAAAAAAAAATCCAATCCCCAAAAATTACATGGTCTATGATTCCATTTATATAACATTTTTGAAATTCAAAATTATGGAAATAAAGAACAGATTAATAGTTACTAGGGATCATGAAAATGTGGGATGAGGATGACTATAAAAGTTTCATCTTTGTGGTGATGAAACTGTTTATTATCTTGACTGTATAGTACTATATCCATGTCAATATCATAGTTGTAATGTACAAAAGTTTTGCCCTATATTACCATTGGGGAAAACTAGGCAAAGAATGCGTGGACTCTATTGTTTCTTAACAACTGCATGTGAATCTACAGTTATCTCAAAATACAAAAATTAATTTTAGAAATTTATATGCCTGCCGTTCCACTAATCCCAGGCCTAAGAATTTCTCCCATAGAAATAAAGCCATTAGAGGCCAGGCGCAGTGGATCATGCTTGTAGTCCCAGCACTTTGGGAAGCCAAGGCAGGCAAATCGCTTGAGCTCAGGGCAACATAATGAAACCCCATGGCTACAAAAAATACAAAAAATTAGCCTGGTGTAGTTGCATGTGCCTGTAGTCCCAGCTACTTGGGAAGCTGAGGCGGGAAGATTGCTTGAGCCAGGGAGGTTGAGACTGCAGTGAGCTGAGGTCATGTCACCGCAAAGGCCCTGTCTCAAAAAAACAAAAAAGAAAGAAAAAGAAAAAAAGAAAACTATTAGAATATAAAAACATATAAACATTCACTGAATTTGTTTTTAGTGGCAAAACCTGGAAATAAAGTGAATACCCAGCAATTTGACAGTGTTATAATAAATTATGGTAAATAATATTATGTGTCCATTAAAATAATAAATTAGAGCAATACTGTTGACTTAAAGGGATTTTTAAAAAGTTGAGTAAGTAAAACAAGATGAAGGAAGATGTGTGGAATGTGAGTCTCTTTTTATAAAGCAAAAAATGACAAAACCACTATATATTTGCGAGTATATGTATGCATACATATGAATTTATATTCCTTTTCATAATTATATGAGTGATATAGTTTCCCTCCAAATCTCATGTTAGAATGTAATCCCCAGTGTTGGAGGTGGGGCCTGGTGGGACGTTTTTGGTTCTTGGGGGTGGATCCCTCAAGGCTTGGTGCTGTCCTTGTGATAGTGAGTTCTCACATGATCTGGTTGTTTAAAAACCCTACAGTTAACATTATACTTCACGGTAAAAGACTGAATGTGTGTGTGGCACACACCCACACCCCTCTCTTTTGGTCCCTCTCTCACCATATGATGTGCCTGCTCCCTCTTAGCCTTCTGCCATGAGTCAAAGCTCCCTGAGGCCTCCCCAGAAGCCAAGCAGATGTCAGTGCCAGGTTACTACAGCTGCAGAACCGTGAGCCAATTAAACCTCTTTTCTTTATAAATGACTCTGCCTCGGGTATTTCTTTATAGCGATGCAAGAAAGGCCTAATACAATGAGTATGGAAAAATATGGAAACATATATATTAGGTTGCTGATAGGGTTACCTGGGAATAAAGAGGTTTTGGGGACATCAATGCAGTAGAATAGGGAAGAACGGTAGTGCAAAGAAAATGAGGAAAATAAAAACAGATAGACTGAATTAAAATGTATACAATGTGATAAAAATTATGTATTTCTGTAAAATTACATGTCTGGTACTTTTTCTTATGTTTTCTAACACATTACTGGTGATATATATAAGTTATAGATTTTTTAGTTTGATTTATATCTGGCTTCTATACTAAAATATCTTATTAATTTTAATAGCTTTTCCATTGATTTTCTTGGGTACACAATTGAATATGTTGAAAATAAAATTTTGGATCCTACTTTCTAGTTTGTATGCTTGCTGTTTCTTTTATTTTGACACCTTTAATTACTTGAAACTTTAGCTTCCAAGAAAATATTAAATAATATTGGTTTTCTCATCCATCCGTGTTTTGTTTCTTTAATATTCCTAGGGCTTACAATTAAATATAGTGTTAGTTACAAACTTAAAGTATTTTTTGGAGGAAAATATGTGTGTGTCCTTTTTATGAGGAAAATATGCTGAAAATTAGTGAGTGCCTTTGACATCTATCAACATAATACTTTTTAAAAGTTTCTTTAGGCAGGGCAGAATGACTCATGCCTGTGTTCCCAGCACTTTGGGAGGCTGTGGTGGGTGGATTGCTTGAGCCTGGGAGTTCAAGACCAGCCTGGACAACATGGCGAAACCCCACCTCTACAAAAAAAATACAAAAAACTAGCTGGGCATGATGGCACATGCCTGATGGCACATGCCTGTAGTCCCAGCAATTCAGGAGGCTGAGGCAGAAGGATCAATTGAGCCCAGGAGGTGGAGGCTGCAGTGAGCCATGATCATGCCACTGCACTCCAGCCTGGGTGACAGAGCAGGACCCTGTCTTAAAAAAATATTCTTTGACCTATTAATATGATATATCATATGAATAGGTTTATTAATATTAAACCATCATTGCATTTTAGAAAATAAATTCTCTATGGGTGGTGTTCATTTATTTAATGTAGTTCTGGGTTTAATTTTCTAATATTTCATTTGAAAGTTATTCCAAATTCATTGGCGGATTATCTGTAGTTTCCTTTTTTAACTTTTATTTTATTTTATTTTTGTGGGTACATAGTAGGTGTATGTATTTATGGGGTACATGAGATGTTTTGATACAGGCGTGCAATGTGAAATAAGCACACAATAAAGAATGGGGTATCCATTCTCTCAAGCATGTATCCATTGAGTTGAAAACAATTCAATTGCACTCTTTATTTTAAAATAAATTTAAAATTGACCATTTTATAGTCACCCTGTTGTCCTATCAAAAAGTAGGTCTTACTCGTGCTTTCTGACTATTTTTTTACCCATTAACCATCCCCACCTCCCCCACTAGCCCCCCACCAATCCTTCCCAGCCTCTGGTAACCATCCTTCTACTCTCTATGCCCTTGAGTTCAATTGTTTTGATTTTTAGATCCCACAAATAAGTGAGAACATGAGATGTTTGTCTTTCTGTGCCTGGCTTATTTCACTTATTTCACCTCCAGTTCCATCCATGTTGTTGCAAATAACTGGATCTCATTCTTTTTTATGGCTGAATAGTACTCCATTGTGTATATGTAGCACATTTTCTTTATCCATTCATCTGGTGATGCACACTTAGGTTGCTTCCAAATCTTAGCTATTGTAAACAGTGCTGCAACAAACATGGGAGTACAGATATCTTTTCGATATACTGATTTCCTTTCTTTTGGGTATACACCCAGCAGTGGAATTGCTGGATCATACGGTAGCTCAATTTTTAGTTTTTTAAGGAATCTCCGAACTGTTCTCCATAGTGGTTGTGCTAATTTACATTCCCACCAACACTGTACAGGGTTCCCTTTTCTCCACATCCTCACCAGCATTTATTATTGCCTGTCTTTTGGATATAAGCCATTTTAACTGGGGTGAGATGATATCTCATTGCAATTTTGATTTGCATTTCTCTACTGATCAATGATGTTGAGCACCTTTTTATATGCCTGTTTGCCACTTGCATGTTTTCTTTTGAGAAATGTCTGTTCAGATCTTTTGCCCATCTTTTCATCAGATCATTATATTTTTTTCCTATAGAGTTGTTTGAGCTCCCTATTTATTCTGGTTATTAATCCCTTATCAGATAGGTAGTTTGCAAATATTTTCTCCCATTCTCTGGGTTGTCTCTTCACTTTGTTGATTGTATCCTTTACTTTGCAGAAGCTTTTTAACTTGATTTAATCCCACTCGTCCATTTTTGCTTTGGTTGCCTGTGCTTGTGGGGTATTGCTCAAGAAATTTTTGCCCAGGCCAGTGTCCTGAAGATTTCCCGCCAGTGTCTTCTTGTAGTCGTTTTATGGTTTGAGTTTTTAGATTTCAGTCTTTAATCCATTTTGATTTGATATTTTGTATACAGCAAGAGATAGGGGTCTAGTTTCATTCTTCTGCATATGGATATCCAGTTTTTCCAACACCATTTATTGAAGAGACTGTCTTTTCCCCAATGTATGTTCTTGGCACCTTTGTTGAAAATGAGTTCACTGTAGGTGTGTGGATTTGTTTCTTGGTTCTGTATTCTGTTCCATTGGTCTATGTGTCTGTTTTTATGCCAGTGCCATGCTGTTTCATTTACTACAGCTCTGTAGTATAATTTGAAGTCAGATAATATGATCCCTTTAGTTTTGCTCCTTTTGCTTAGGATAGCTTTGGCTATTCTTGGTCTTTTCTGGTTCCATATAAATTTTAGTATTGTTTTTTCTATTTCTGTAAAGAATGTATTTTTCTAGGGATTGCATCGAATCTGTAGATTGCTTTGAGTAGTATGAATATTTTAACAATATTGATTCTTCCAATCCATGAGCATGGAATATTTTTCCATTTCTTGGTGTCCTCTTCAATTTCTTTCATCAGTGTTTTATAGTTTTCATTGTAAAGATTTTTCACTTCTTTGGATAACTTAATTCCTAGGTATTTAATTTTATTTGTGGCTATTGTAAATGGGACTTTTAAAAATTGTTTTTCAGATTGTTCACTGTTGGAATGTAGAAGGCTACTGAATTTTGTATGTTGATTTTGTATCCTGCAACTTTACTGAGTTTGTCAGTTCTGATAGTTTTTTGGTGGAATCTTTAGATTTTCCAAATATAAGATCATATCATCTGAAAACCAGGATAATTTGACCTCTTCCTTTCCAATTTGGATGCCCTTTCTTTCTCTTGTCTGATTGCTCTAGCTGGAACTTCCAGTACTATATTGAATAACAGTGGTGACAGTGGGCATCCTTGTGATGTTCCAGATCTTAGAGGAAAGGCTTTCAGTTTTTCTCCATTCAGTATGATACTAGCTGTGGGTCTGTAGCTTTCTTTTGTGTACAATTTTTATCAAATGTTGGTATCAGAGTTATTAAAATGATCTGAAATTCTCTCATATATTTTTGTTTCTCAGCACAGCACATTTTTTCTATACTTCTCATAATTTAAAAAGCATATAAATTATTTCTTGAGAATTTGATGTGACAATCATTAAAATATCTAAGGCCTGGTACATTCCATAGAGGCAATTTTTAATAAACTTTTCAATTTGTTACACGGTTGTTCTCTTCTTGAGTCAATTTTTTATAATGTACATTTTCCCAGAAAAGCATTCCTTCTATCAAAATAGCTCTATCAGATCTTCTCAGTTTCAAGAGAAGCCAGAAATTTTCATTACAGTAGTACTGCTTTTATTAAAAATAATTTTAGACTTATATTAATGTTAACATCTTATGTAACCACAGCACAATTACCAAAGCCAAAAATTAACATTAAGAGATTATTAGCTAATTTGAAAAACCAATTGTCCTATTAATATACTTTTTTTCTGCAACAGGATCCAATTAGATCCCACATTGCTTTTAATTGTCTCCTTTGTCCTTGTTTTTTAGTGTTAACAAATAAGTTATAACACTGCCGGACTAACAAGACCTCAGACCTACAGTTTGCTACTTCTGGACAAGTAAGGCACAGCTAATGCTTATGTCTTGTGTATTATCAGCAAAAGCTGTCCTGAAACTAAATGCAAGGCTGATGAGAGTTTAATAGAGTATAGAAAAGTGAGTATTCACTATACCTTTACTTTCTTTAATTTGCCAGAGGGATATTTCTTGCACTTAATGTATCATGTAGAAATCAATTTTTATTTTCTTATTCTGGTATTCTCTACATCTTGCATGGCCTAGCATATAGTATATGTTGAGTATCTGTTGAATAAATGAGTAAATTCTGACAAAAAAGAAATGTTGGCCATTTGGGAAAAGTTTCTACTAGCAAGAATGTATGTGTGCTATATTTTTGTGCACACGTGATGTTTTTGTTTATTCATCATCTATTTTCCTTTCTTTTGGAATAGTAACCCAATTTTCCTTTTGGAAACGACTTTTCCCAACACTATGCAGTCTTGCTGAAACCATCAGTCAAGGTGCCAAGAAATGAGCAAATGACTCAGATTAGACCAATAAAGTTTTCCTGGAATTTCAAGCCTTGAGCAGAATGATATTCTGCTCAATGAATGGCTGGAGCTGATTCATTCCATTGGCAGAACACTGAATGGACCTAGATTCTTGGAATTTTTCTGATTCCTATCCTTCCCATAGCTTAATTTGTTCAGCTTTTTCTTCTATTTTATAAGCTACTTCCATCCTTCCAATGAATGCTCACCTTACCGCCACTTGGTTTGGCTGTATTTAGTCAGTGTCAGTTTCTATTGCTTATAAAGAATGAAATTTAAGTATATATGAAAGGGGAAGTGGGAAGCCTATTTCTAGATTTTCTTCCCTAAATGAGTAGAAATTAGCAAAGAGGAAAGGTATGGTATATAAAATCCAAGTTCTCCCCTCTTCCATATGTAAGCTAATCACATGTCCTTCATAATATTACAGCTTATTTAACATCCATATATCAACTATAGTATTATATAACAGCTATGGATATATCTATATTACATACAACATATATCAATATCATATAATTATGTTCTATATTATATATATTACATATATTAAATTTAACAATATAGCTCAATATAAAATAGTGATACAAGATATAGCAAATGATACTTTTTTCATGAAAAAAATTCAAGTAGATATTTCATCTTGGAAAACAATAATCAAGCATTTCTCAAGCTACTAGATTAACATTTACTGAAGTTAATATCACTTTTTAAACAGGTATATAATAATCTGAAAAATACATTATTTGACTTCCAAATCCTTGGTAATAGTGATCCACTATGTTCTAAAATGTCTTACCCTATAACAGTTTGCACAGTTGAATCATAATTTAAAAAAAAAAACATTTTGGAGGTACCTAGTGTCTGAGCGGCACAGACGAGATCTCGATCGAAGGCGAGATGGCGGACGTGCTAGATCTTCACGAGGCTGGGGGCGAAGATTTCGCCATGGATGAGGATGGGGACGAGAGCATTCACAAACTGAAAGAAAAAGCGAAGAAACAGAAGGGTCGCGGCTTTGGCTCCGAAGAGGGGTCCCGAGCGCGGATGCGTGAGGATTATGACAGCGTGGAGCAGGATGGCGATGAACCCGGACCACAACGCTCTGTTGAAGGCTGGATTCTCTTTGTAGCTGGAGTCCATGAGGAAGCCACCTAAGAAGACATACACGACAAATTCGCAGAATATGGGGAAATTAAAAACATTCACCTCAACCTCAACAGGCGAACAGGATATCTGAAGGGGTATACTCTAGTTGAATATGAAACATACAAGGAAGCCCAGGCTGCTATGGAGGGACTCAATGGCCAGGATTTGATGGGACGGCCCATCAGCATTGACTGGTGTTTTGTTCGGGGTCCACCAAAAGGCAAGAGGAGAGGTGGCCGAAGACGCAGCAGAAGTCCAGACCGGAGACGTCGCTGACAGGTCCTCTGTTGTCCAGGTGTTCTCTTCAAGATTCCATTTGACCATGCAGCCTTGGACAAATAGGACTGGGGTGGAACTTGCTGTGTTTATATTTAATCTCTTACCCTATATGCGTAGTATTTGAGTTGCGAATAAATGTTCCATTTTTGTTTTCTACATTTAATGTTACTTTCCTGTCCTAAAATTGAAAGTTCTAAAGCATAGCAAGGCTGTATGGATCATTGTGAAGATACTTCTAGGGACTGAACTCTATGTATTTCTTTTTTTTCTTTTTTTTGAGATAGAGTCTTGCTGTGTTACCCAGGGTGGATTGCAGCTGATCATAGCTCACTGCAGCTTCAAACTCTTGGGCTCAAGCCATCCTTCTGCCTCACTGTCCCTAGTAGTTGGGATTACAGGCACATGCCACCATGCCCGGCTAAATTTTTTCATATTTTGGTAGAGATGGGGTCTTGCTGTGTTGCCTGGGCTAGTTATGTGAGTTTCTATATTAGACATAGTCTCAAGTTTCAGGTAGGGTTTAAAGTAGAGACACTGGTCAGTATTTCTTTTTTGGGGGGAACTAGGAGAGCAGGAGTAGAAGTGAGATGTTAAGATCTTATGGCACTAAAGACTTACTATTCTGTTCCTACATACTCTGTTAGGATCAGATAGATGTTATAGAAATGCCTTTTGTTTCTCCTGCCCTTCTTGATGTCACAGTTTTTTGTACTTCCAGCTGTCTAAAGGCATGAATCTCCTCTTGGAGCATTCTCCCAGACCCTTCTTTAGAAGAGTCTATACTAAGTTCTTGGTGCCCTCTTCGGCAGCCAAGGGTGAAGGCCCCATAGAGGAGAGGATCCAAAGGAGCATTGAGGAGGCCCAAGAGGAAAAGGATGTGGCTCAGGCTGGGAGGGACTTCAGTTAGCATGGTGGGGGAGAACCAGTACCACATACCCAGTAGGTAATAAGGTGTCCAGCAGAGGATGAAGGTCAGCAAGATAAGCAGGGCCAGTCTCAGGGCCCGGAGACGAACACGGGGACAATTGTCAAAGGAGCGGGGGAGGGCAAATTCACCAGCAGGGGCTAGGAATTTAGAAAATATACTGTAATTCAGACACTCAGCTTCTGATCTGAGTATAGGGTGAATTGATGGAGGGGCATAGGTAGTGAGACAGAGCTCACCTCCTACAAGGAGGAGAATGTTGCAAACCGTTTTCCCCTTCCCAACCTGGGACTATATGATTTCTTACCCCCAGGGATTATGATAGAAATATGAAGCCACCAAGTCTAGACTTGATGGTGTTCAAGAATAAATAATACTCATTGCCTCCCTAGTCCTTGTCCAGCTAACTCAGCTGTTTATAATTGAAGGGATTCAACAAAATTATCTCTAGCATCAGGTGCTAGACATGGTTAGAATCTCACCATGGTTTAGTGACTGGTAGATAGCTATTAGGTAGGTAGATAAATAAATGATGCTAGAGGCAACAGGTCTAGGGTTAAGGATTAAGGCCTGGGAATTGGAGTCTCACCATGGCTCCCCTTCCTTGTCTGGGGGCTGGACACACTGAGGACAATGCGGCTATAGCAGATGACCATGGCAGTCAGTGGCAGCAGAAAGAGGCAGCAGAAGGTGAAGAGGTTATAGGTGGTCTCTTGCCATTGAGCCTTGAAGCTGCCTTTGGTGACACACTGAGTGAAAGGGACTGGGCCAGCTCAGTGGACGGTGTGGAACAGGAACAGCTGGAGTGGAGTTGAGGACTATTAGAACTGGTTCCCCTCACCACCCAACCTACCTACCTATGTCATACTATCTCCTCCCAATTCATCCTTAATTCCAAGTTAAGCAGCACAGTGCTGAGAAACAGTTCATCCATGGTGCCATGTTAAAGAAGTTGGAAATATATCTTGAAAATCCTATCTTCCTTTTAGGCTTGAATATGATGCTGAACAGTAAGTTTGTTAAATCTTGGAACTTAAAACAATCCTGCTTTCTCAAGTACTATTCTAACATTGTGCTTTATAAGGGATGATATTTCTACCACCTCACTCATATTTTTAGCTGAAATGATTTTCCTGGTATGTCTGTTATTTTGTGGAAAAAGAAATATTGTGTAAAATGGGTGCTGCCAAAATTCCAGGCCATTTTGCAGTGACTCTGAAGTGACCTTTAGTAGTAATAGTCTTATGTGCAGTAACTATAATGGTAAAGAATATTAAATAATAAAATTTAACATTTTCCAAATGCAAAAAAAAAAAAAAACCACATTTAAACTATTTGCTTATAAGACTCTTGATATATTTGTGTTATTTTTCTTTACATGTTTACAGTATGGAATTTGAACATCACAATACAAAATAATTCTTATTACTGGTTTAGGAATCTGTGTTTATTAACTTATAATAAAAATACATGCATTTGTATCCAATTTCATTTCTTAACATAAAGATGTGGTAAAAGCATTGACCATCAAATGTCATCTCTCATATATTGATAGCTCAGAGAAAAGGTAACTACATTTGAAATCCTGGAAAAAATTGTTAAGCCTTCAGCATTCCCGTGTCAAAGTAATCACTGTGACTAATACGCAGCAATAAATGACAAAAAACAGAAATACAAATTGCTGTTTTACATTATGTCAGTACTTACAATTGACCTAGTCTCTGTGTTTGGTCTCTGATGATCTTAATTCTGAAGTGTCATTTCCTTTAAGAACTAAAGGAAAATACAGTGTACATAATGTCCCATGAAATCAAATAGTTGTTCTAGATTGGTCTTAGTTTTACAGGCAGAAAGAAACAGATCATGAAAGATGTTAAATTATGTAAATGAAAAGTTAACCCTCTTTTAGTTTTTTTTGTATTCTCCCTTGTTATCTAAACCAGAGAATACTTAGTTGTGTTTATTAATAGATGAAAATTCGCAAGAAGTGAAATGCACTTTTTGAGGCCAAAGCCAAAAGATCACCTGAGGCCAAGAGTTTGAGACTATCCTGGGGAACATACATAGCAAGACATTGTCTCTACAAAAAATGTTTTAAAAATTAGCTGGGTGTGGTGGTGTATGCCTATAGTCCCAGACACTTGAAAGACTGAGGCAGGACAATCACTTGACCCCAGGAGTTCAAGGTTGCAGTGAGCCATGATCATATCACTGCATTCCAGCCTGGGCAACATAGCAAGACTCCATCTCTAAAAATCAATCAATCGATCGATTAATTAATTAACTTTTAAAAAATAAGTAAAATGGCAACAGCATATGTCAAAAGAGCTAGCACATCAGTGTACTTTCTATAATCCTTGTTCTGTCCAGATCATCTGTACCTTCCAGAAAGAAGTAATTCTTTTTCTAATATAAGAAAAGGATTGCCACGTAGTTACATTTTTTCTTTTTATATGGCATAGAGGAGCTTGCTTCATTTCTCAATAAAAAATTTAATGGCAATTTCTGAGGCATAATTCTCTAGATTTTACTGACCTACAAATTTCAGTAGTTTTCAAAAAGAATTTTAATCATTTACTCAACAAATATTTATGAAGTATTGTTATGTAAAAAATCCTGTGCTAGATGTTTTGGAGACAGGGCAAACAAGACAGACTTAATCTCTCACCTCCTGGAACTTACAGCCTAGTAGCAGGTACAAACATTAAACAATTAAGTACATAATTTTTGTATAATTAAAATTGTGATAAGTTATATGAAGGAGGTATGCAGGGTGTTATGAAAATGTAGAACAGGTATTCCAGTAGTCTTTGGTAGGGAAAGTAAGACTTCTTTGAGGAAGTGGCATGAATCAGTGAAAATCTTATTAACAAAGTCTATGATTCTCTTCAGATCTAAAGCCACATTTTTGGTTACTTTTCTGTTTAAGCTAGTCTGAGTTGGGTGTCTGTTACTTACATGTGAGAATCTTAACTAATACGCCATTTAATGTCAAGTAAGAAGTAAAATTACTTTTGTTCAAGATATTCAGGAAAAAACATTATTATTAGGGTTTAGGTTGCTATGTGAAGTTCACTTCTAATTGCAATTAATTTTTCCTAGGTAATTTTTTTCAAGCTCATTCCCCAAAGAAAGTGTAAAGAAAATAATTCAATATATCCACACATATGTTTTTTGAAACTCAGAAAAACTATACTTTAGGTCAAACTAATTATCCACTAGGACAAAAATATTTCAATTTCAAATATTTTCTTTTTTTTTTTTTTTTTCTGGAGATGGAGTCTCGCTCTGTCACCCAGGCTGTAGTGCAATGGCACAATCTTAGCTCACTGCAACCTCTACCTCCTGGGTTCAAGCGATTCTCATGCCTCAGCCTCCCAAGTAGCTGGGATTACAGGCACCCACAGTCATGCCCGGCTAATTTTTGTATTTTTAGTAGAGACAGGGTTTCACCATGTTGGCCAGGCTGATCTTGAACTCCTGACCTCAGGTGATCCACCCACCTTGGCCTCCCAAAGTGCTGGGATTACAGGTGTGAGCCACTGCACCCGGCCTCAAGTATTTTCAAATAACTTTAAGGAATATCAAAGAAGACTATTTTTCAAAGTTATCATCTGCATATACATTTACCAAGTATATACTAAATGTTATATAGTAATTTAGTAAACATTTATTGAGCATATGCTAAAAACCAGACTATAGGATGTAAAGATTAAAGACCAAATTATTGCTCTCAAGAAGCCCACTTCTAGGATTGTGAGAAAATTTCATAGGGAAAACTATATTCAACAAAACAGTAGTGTTAGATACTGGAAACACAAAAGTGATTAAGATTTACTTTGATCTGGAGGACCAGCCTAGTGGCACAGTTAGCTCATGCCATTCACCTTTCTTTCAAAAATTATTTATTGAGCACCTACCATGTGCTAGGGACTCTGCTAGGTTCTGTCTGAGGAAGCAGTAGCAAACAAATCAAATACATCCAAATGGGAAAGACGGAAATTACTCAAGAATTATAAAAATAATTAAAGCATTACTCCACTTTGGGGTCACTAATAGACCTAGAGCTTAATCCTTCCACTTATAGATCACAAAGTGTAATTTTAAAAAATAGATAAATTATAAAATAATGTTTTAAAAGCTATGATAAGAGATATGAACAAAGTGGTTTTGAAGCATACAAGAAATGCCAGGATCTGCTTAGTAAAATCAGAGAAGGCATTGCAGAAGTGTCTTTGAGCTAAATTGTAAAGGACAAATGGGAATCAATAGCATAGGGGTGGTATCTTAATCAATAAAAGAAGATAAGAGACTTTTTTGCCTGCAATTCTCTAATCACAATGAAAAGATATGTACTATTTTATTTATTTTGTTTTTCTAGGCATGGAATGCTAATTATGTTTCTGTTTAATTAAGCTACCTGTTAGAGATATACTGATAAGTTACACTTCTTGTGTTGCATTGAAATATAGGAATAAAATATTTTGTTTTATACTCACAACTGTGTTTTTGAGACCAGGTTGATTTTATGCATGAATAAATTCAAGTTCTTAGAGAGGTGCTACTGTTGCTGTGGAGGATTAATTTTTGTTTGGCTCAGATAAGCTATACTATTATGTTGTCCCTCTTTTCTCTCCCTTATTCATCATATTCTTGCCACATTGACTTCTACCTCCTAGAAATTCCAAGTTCCTGCCTCAGGACCCTTGCCCATATTATGCCCATTACCTAAAACATGTTACATATTTACACAAGTCTTGTACGTTACCTATATTTCCCACATAGTAAGCCTTAAATTTTTCTCTTGAATTAATTATTATTAAGTCAGCCACATTTTTACTTCTGAGATCCTTTTATTTTTCTGCTTCTATCAAGAATAGACAGAAAGGAAGAGAAACAATTCAGCAAAGAAGACTGCTATTGGTTATGTTTTAAAACCTTCATAATTCACAATTGAAATATGTCTCTATAGTGAGAATGCATCAATGATTTTATTTTATTTAAGTTCCGGGATGTGCAGAATGTGCAGGTTTGTTATGTAGGTAAATGTGTGCCATGGTGTGCCTAGATAATACCTAGGTGCTGGGTTGATAGGTGTATCAAAACAAAAATTAATCCTCCACAGCAATAGTAGCACCTCTCTAAGAACTTGAATTTATTCATACATAAAATCAACCTGGACTCAAAAACACAGTTGTGAGTATGAAACAAAATATTTTATTCCTATATTTCCACATAAAACAAGAAGTGTAACTTATCAGTGTATCTCCAACAGATAGCTTAATTAAACAGAAATATAATTAACCTATCAACCCATCACCTAGGTATTATGCCCAGTACACATTAGCTATTTTTTCTGATGCTCTCCTTCTCCTCACACCCCCAACAGGCCTCAGTGTGTGTTGTTCCCGTCCCTCTGTCTACGTGTTCACATTGTTCAGCATACACTAATAAGTAGGGGCATGCGGTGTTTGGTTTTCTGTTCCTGCATTAGTTTGCGTAGGATAATGGCTTCCAGTTCCATCCATGCCCCTGCAAAGGACATGATCTCATTTCTTTTTATGGCTGCAACGTATTCCATGGAAAATATGTACCTTTTCTTTATCCAGTGTATTATCAATGGGCATATGAGCATTTGGGTTGATTCCATGTCTTTGCTATCGTGAAGAGTGCTTCAATGAACATATGTGTGCATGTATCTTTATAATAGAATGATTTATATTCCTTTGGGTATATACCCAGTAATGGGATTGCTGGGTCAATGTTATTTCTGTTTCTAGGTCTTTGAGGAATCTCCACACTGTCTTCCACAATGGTTGAACTAATTTACATTCCCACGACAGTGTAAAAGCAATCCTATTTCTCCACAGCCTCACCAGCGCCTGTTGTTTCATGACTTTTTAATAATCACCATTCTGACAGGTGTGAGATGGTATCTCACTGTGGTTTTGATTTGCATTTCTCTAATGATCAGTGTTGTTGAGCTTTTTTCACGTTTGTTGGCTGCATAAATGTCTTTTTTTGAGAAGTGTCTGTTCATGTCTTTTGCCCACTTTTTAATGAGGTTGTTTGGTTTTTTCTTGTAAATTTGTTTAAGTTCCTTGCAGACTCTGGATATAAGACCTTTGTCAGATAGATAGATTGCAAAAGTTTTCTCCCATTCTGTAAGTTGTCTGTTCACTCTGATGATAGTTTCTTTTGCTGTGCAGAAGCTCTTTAGTTTGATTATTTTAATTTAAATTAGTTTAATTTTGATCCCATTTGTCAATTTTTGCCTTTGTTGCAATTGCTTTTGACATCTTTGTCAAGAAATCTTTGCCCGTGCCTATGTCCTGAATGGTATTGTTTAGATTTTCTTCCAGCGTTTTCATAATTTTGGATTTTGCACTTAAGTCATTAATCCTCTTGAGTTAATTTTTGTATAAGATGTAAGGAAGGGGTCCAGTTTCAATTTTCTGCATGTAGCTAGAAAACAGGCTAGCCTGTTCTCTCCCAGGGGCATTTATTAGAAAATCCTTTCCCTATTGCTTGTTTTTGTCAGGTTTGTCGAAGATCATATGGTTGCAGATGTGCAATCTTATTTCTGAGTTCTCTATTCTGTTCCATTGGTCTATGTGTCTGTTTTTGTATCAGTATCATGTTGATTGGGTTACTGTAGCCTTGTGGTATAGTTTGAAGTTGGGTAACATGATACCTCCAGCTTTGTTCTTTTTGCTTAGGATTGCCTTGGCTATACAGGCTCTTTTTTGGCTTCATATGAATTTTAAGATAGTTTTTTTCTAATTTTGTGAAGAATGTCAATGGCAGTTTGATGGGAATAGCAATGAGTCTATAAATTACTTTGGGCAGTATGGCCATTTTCACAATATTGATTGTTCCTATCCGTGAGCATGAAATGTTTTCCCATTTGCTTGTGTCCTCTCTGATTTCCTTGAGCAGTGGTTTGTAGTTCTTGAAGAGGTCCTTAACTTCCCTTATTAACTGTATTCCTAGGTATTTAATTCTCTTTGTAGCAATTGTGAATGGGAGTTCATTCATGATTTGGCTCTCTGTCTGTTGTTGGTGTATAGGAGTGCTTGTGATTTTTGCCATTGATTTTGTATCCTGAGACTTTGCTGAAGTTGCTTATCAGCTTAAGAAGCTTTTGGGCTGAGAAGATGAGGTTTTCTATGTTATCTGCAAATAGAGACAATCTGGCTTCCTCTCTTGCTATTTGAATACCCTCTATTTCTTTCTCTTGCCTGATTGCCCGCCCTGGCCAGAACTTCCAATACTATGTTGACTAGGAGTGGTGAGAGAGGGCATCCTTGTCTTGTGCCAGTTTTCAAGGGGAATGCTTCCAGCTTTTGCCCATTCAGTATGATACTGGCTGTGGGTTTGCAACAAATGGCTCTTATTATTTGGAGGTATGTTCCTTCAATACCTAGTTTATTGAGTTTTTAACATGAAGGGATGTTGAATTTTATCAAAGGCCTTTTCCATGAGATAATCATGTGTTTTTTGTCTTTAGTTCTGTTTAGGTGATGAATTACATCCACTGATTTGTGTCTGTTGAAACAGCCTTGCATCCTGGGGATGAAGCTGACT
Organism: Homo sapiens; assembly: GCF_000001405.40. Classification (NCBI taxonomy): domain Eukaryota; kingdom Metazoa; phylum Chordata; class Mammalia; order Primates; family Hominidae; genus Homo; species Homo sapiens. The sequence continues at coordinate 60,406,797 of NC_000014.9, forward strand.
TCACTGTGGTGGATAAGCTTTTTGATGTGCTGCTGGATTCAGTTTGCCAGTATTATATTGAGGATTTTTGCATCGATGTTCATCAGGGATATTGCCCTGAAGTTTCATCTTTTTGTTACATCTCTGCCAGGTTTTGGTATCAGGATGATGCTGGCTTCATAAAATGAGTTAGGGAGGAGTCTGTCCTTTCAGTTGTTTGGAATAGTTTCAGAAGAAGCAGTACCTGCTCCTCTTTCTACCTCTGGTAGAATTCAGCTGTAAATCATCTGATCCTGGGCTTTTTTTAGTTAGTAGGCTATTAATTATTGCCTCAATTTCAAACCCTGTTATTGTTCTATTCAGGGATTCAACTTCTTCCTGATTCAGTCTTGGGAAGGTGTAGGTGTCCAGGAATTTATCCATTTCTTCTAGATTTTCTAGTTTATTTGCATAGAGGTATTTGTAGTATTCTCTGACGGTTATTTGTACTTCTGTGAGGTCAGTGGTGATATCCCCTTTATCATTTTTTATTGTGTCTATTTGATTATTTGCTCTTTTCTTCTTTATTAATCTAGCTAGAAATAAATCTATTTTATTGATTTTTTCAGAAAAACAGCTCCTGGATTTGTAAATTTTTTCAAGGGTTTTTCATGTCTCTATTTCCTTCAGTTCTGCTCTGATCTTGGTTATTTATTGTCTTCTGCTAGCTTTGGGGTTTCTTTGCCCTTGGTTCTCTAGTTCTTTTAGTTGTGATGTTAGTATGTCGATTTGAGATCTTTCTAGCTTTTTGATGTGGGCACTTAGTGCTGTAAACTTCTCTCTTAACACTGCATTAGCTGTGTCCCAGATTTTCCCTGTTAACCCTCCATTAGCTATGTTGTCTCTTTGTTCTCTTTAGTTTCAAATAACTTCTTGATTTCTGCCTTAATTTCATTATTTACCCAGGAGTCCTTCAGGAGCAGGTTGTTCAATTTCCATGCAGTTGTGTGCTTTTGAGTTAATTTCTTAATCTTCAGTTCTAGTTTAATTGTGCTGTGGTCTGAGAGACTGTTTGTTATGATTTCAGTTCTTTTGCTTTTGCTGTGGAGTGTTTTACTTCCAATTATGTGATCAATTTAGAGTTAAGTGCCATGTGGCACCAAGAAGAATGTATATTCTGTTGTTTTGGGGTGGAGAGTTCTGTAGATATCTATCAGGTCCACTTGATCCAGAGCTGAGTTCAAGTCCTGAATATCTTTCTTAATTTTCTATCTTGATGGTCTAATATTTACAGTGAGTTTTAAGTCTCCCACTATTATTGTGTGGGAGTCTAAGTATCTTTGTAGGTCTCTAAGAACTTGTTTTATGAATCTGGATGCTCCTGTATAGGGTGCATATATATTTAGGATAGTTAGCTCTTCTTGCTGAATTGGACCCTGTACCATTATGTAATACCCTTCTTTGTCCTATTAGATCTTCATTGGTTTAAAGTCTGTTTTGTCAGAAACTAGGATTGCAACCTCTGCTTTTTTCTGCTTTCTATTTGCTTGGTTAATTTTCCTCCATCCCTTTATTTTGAGCCTATGTGTGTCTGTGCACATGAGACGGGTCTTAACTTTTTATCCAGCTTGCCATTCTGTGTCTTTTAATTGGGGCATCTTGCCCATTTACATTTAAGGTTAATATTGTTATGTGTGAATTTGATCCTGTCATCATGACGCTAGCTGGTTATTTTGCAGACTTGTTTATCTAATTGCTTCATAGTGCCATTGGCCTGTGTACTTCAGTGTGTTTTAGTAGTGCCTGGTAATGATTTTTCCTTTATAGCAGCATGAAATGGACTAATATAGGAGGAGTCTGTCCTCCTTGATTTTTTGAAATAGTTTCAGTAAAATTGGTACCAACTCTTTGGTGTATGTCTGGTAGAATTTGTCTGTGAATCCATCTGGTCTGGGGCTTTTTCTTGTTGGGAGGTTTTTTATTACTGATTCAATTGCAGAACTTGATATTGGTCAGTTCATGGTATAAATTTCTTCCTGATTCAATCTTAGGAGGTTGTGTGTTTTCATAAATTTATCCATTTCCTCTAGATTTTCTAGTTTGCATGTGTAGAGGTATTCATAATAGTCTCTGAGGATCTTTTGTATTTCCGTAGGATCTGTCGCCTTTGTTGTTTCTGATTGTGCTTTATTTATATCTTCTCTCTTTTTTATTGTTAATCTAGCTAGCAGTCTATCAATCTTGTTTATTCTTTTAAAAAACAAACTTTTGCTTTTGTTGATTCTTTGTATGGATTTTTGGGTCTCAGTTTTATTCAATTCTACTCTGATTTTAGTTATTTCCTTTCTTCTTTTAACTGTCGAATTAGGTTGTTATTGTTTTTCTAGTTCCTCTAGGTGTCATGTTAGATAATTAATTTTAGATCTTTCTAACTTTTTGAGGCAGGCATTTAGTATTATAAATTGTCCTCTTAATACAGCTTTTGCTGCATCCCAGAAATTTTGGTATGTTGTGTCTCTATTTTCATTTATTTCAAAGAATTTTTAAGTTTCTGCCTTGATTTTGTTATTTATCCAAAATCACTCAGGATCAAGTTGTTTAATTTTCATGTAATTGTGTAGTTTTGAGAGATCTTCTTGGCATCAATTCTATTTTTATTCCACTGTGGTCTGAGAGTATGGTTGGTATAATTTCCAACATTTTGAATATATTGAGACTTGCTTTATGGCTGAACATGTGGTTAATCATAAAGTATGTTCCATGTGCAGAGGAGAAGAATGTATAGTCTGTGGTTGATGGACGGAGTATTCTGTAGATGTCTATTAGGCCGAATTGGTCAAGTGTCAAGTTTAAGTCCAGGATATCTTTGTTAGTTTTCTGCCTTGATGATCTGTCTAATGCTGTCAGGGGTGTTGAAGTCCCCCACCATTATTGTGTGGCTAAGTCTTTTCGTAAGTTTAAAAGTACATTGTTTTGTGAATCTGAGTGCTCAAATGTTGGATGCATATATATATTTAGGATAATTAAATATTCCTTTTGAATTGGACTCATTATCATTATGTAATACATGGTAGTTTTTGTCCATTTTTACGGTTGTTGGTTTAAAATCTGTTTTATCTGATAAAAGAATAGCAACCCCTGCTTTTTTTTTTTTTGTTTTCCATTTGCATGGTAGATCTTTCTCCAATCCTCTGCTTTGAGCCTATGAGTGTCATTGTGTGAGGTGGGTCTCTTGAAGACAGAAGACTAGATGGGTCATTTTAAAAAATCCAATTTACCACTCTGCTCTTTTTAAGTGGGAGTGTGTAGACCATTTATATTCAAGGTTAATATTGATAGGTGAGGTTTGATCTTATTGTGAAGTTTTTAGCTGTTTGCTTTAGAGTTTCAATTATTTGGTTGCTTTATAGGGTCTGTAGGCTATGTACTTAAGTGTATTTTTGTGGTAGCAAATATCATTCTTTTTTTTCCATGTTTAGAACTCCCTTAAAGATCTCTTGAAAGGCTGGTCTAGTAGTAATAAATTTTTAGTGCTTGCTTGTCTGGAAAAGATTCCATTTCTCCTTTGCTTATGAAGCTTAGTTTGGCAGGATGTGAAATTCTTGGTTGGAATTTCTTTTCTAAGAATGCAGAAAATAGGGCCCCAAGATCCCTGGCTTGTAAAGTTTCTGCTTAGAAGTGCACTGTGAACCTGATAAGATTCCCTTTGTATGTGATCTGCCCTTTTTCTCTAGTGGCCTTTAAGATTTTTTCTTTAGCATTGACCTTGGACAGTCTGGTGACTATATGCCTGGTGAGGATCATTTTGTATAATATCTCGCAAGTGTTCTCTGGATTTCTTGTATCTTGATATCTACCTCTCTAGCAAAATTGGGCAAGATTTCTTGGGTTGTTCTCTTAAATATATTTTCCAGATTATTTGCTTTTTCTCCTCTCTCAGAATGCCAATAATTCATATGTTTGGTTGCTTTAAATAATTCCATATTTCTCAAAGACTGCTCATTTACAAAAATTCTTTATTCTTTATTTTTGCCAAATGTAGTTCAAAAGATGGTCTTCAAGCTCTAAAATTGTTTCTTCTGCTTGGTCCAGTCTATTGATAAAGCTTTCAGTTGTATTTTGAAATTCCTCAAGTGAGTTTTTCAATTCCAGAAGCTCGATTGATGTCTTTTTAAGATATTAATCTCTTCCTTCATTCCCTGGATTACTTTATAAGTTTCTTTGTGTTGACGTTTTAAATTTTTTTAATTTTATTTCAATAGATTTGCGGAACAGGTGGTTTTTGTTACATGGATACGTTATTTAGTGATGATTTCTGAAATGTTGGTGCACCCATCACCTGAGCAGTGTACACTATACCCAATGTGTAGTCTTTTATCCATTACCCTCTGCCTAACCTTCCCCCCAAGTACCCAAAGTCCATTCTGTCATTCTTATGCCTTTGTGTCCTCATAGCTTAGCTCCCACTTATAAGTAAGAACATACAATATTTGGTTTTCCATTCCTGAATTACTTCACTTAAAATAATGGTCTCTAACTCCATCCAGGTTGCCACAAATGCCATTATTTCATTCCTTTTTATGGCTGAATAGTACTCCGTGGCATATACATACCACATTTTCTTTATCCACTTTTTGGTGAATGGACATTTAGGTTGGTACCATATTTTTGCAATTGAGAATTGTGCTGCTATAAACACGTGTGTGCAAGTGTCTTTTTTACATAACAATTTCTTTTCCTCTGGATAAATACTCAGTAGTGGGATTGCTGGATCAAATGGTAGTTCTGCTTTTAGTTCTTTAAGAAATCTCCATACTGTTTTCCATAGTGGTTGTACTAGTTTACATTCCCACCAGTAGTGTAAAAGTGTTCCCTTTTCACCACATCCATGCCAACATCTATTATTTTTTATTTTTTAAATTATGGCCATTCTTTCAGGAGTAAGATGATATTGCATCGTGGTTTTAATTTGCATTTTCCTGATAATTAGTGATGTTGAGCATATTTTCATGTTTTTTGGCCATTTTTATGTCTTCTTTTGAGAACTGTCAATTCATGTCCTTAGCTCACCATTTGACAAGATTATTTGTTTATTTCTTTCTAATTTGTTTGAGTTCCTTGTAGATTCTGGCAATTAGGACTTTGTTGGATGCATAGTTTGTGAAGATTTTCTCCCACTCTTTGGGTTGTCTGTTTACTCTGCTAATTATTTATTTTGCTGTGCAGAAGCTTTTTAGTTTAATTAAATCCCATCTGTTTATCTTTATTTTTGTTGCATTTGCACTGGGGTTCTTGATCATGAACTCTTTGCCTAATCCAATGTCTAGAAGAATTTTCCGATGCTATCTTCTAGAATTTTTATGGTTTCAAGTCTCAGATTTAAGTCTTTGATCCCTCTTGAGTTGATTTTTGTGTAAGGTGAGAGATGAGGATCCATTTCATTTTTCTACATGTGGGTTGCCAATTATCCCAGCACCATTTGTTGAATAAGGTGTCCTTTCTCCACTTTGTGTTTTTGTTTGCTTTCTCAAAGATCATTTGGCTGTAAGTATTTGGCTTTATTTCTGGGTTCTCTATTCTGTTCCATTGGTCTGTGTGCCTATTTTTTTACCAGTACCAAGCTGTTTTGGTAACTATAGCCTTGTTGTATAGTTTGAAGTCAGGTAATGCGATGCCCCTAGATTTGTTCTTGTTGCTTAGTCTTGCTTTGGCTATGCAGACTCCTTTATGGTTCTATATGAATTTTAGGATTGTTTTTTCTAGTTCTGTGAAGAATGATGATGGTATTTTGATGAGAATTGCATTTTAACCAATGGATAAAAAAATTACAAATGAAATTAGATATAGACACAAATTAGACAAATTATAATTAAAGACAAATGAAAATGAAAACACAATGTACCAAAACTTATGAGACACAAAGAAAAAAATGCAAGGGATTTATACCAATAAATGCTTGCATTAAAAAACAAGAAAGAGCTCAAGTCAACAACATAGCTTTCAACTTGAATAACTGGAAAAATAAGAAGAAAACAAACCCAAAACCAACAGAAGGAAGGAAATAATAAAAATTGGAGCACAGATCAATGAAATAAAGAAAAGAAAAATGATTGAGAAAAATCAAACTAAAAGTTGGTTCTTTAAAAAAATCAAGAAAGTTGACAAACCTTTAGTTAGACATACTGAGAAAAAAAGAAAGACTCAAATGACTTAAATAAATGAAAGTGGGGAAATTATTGATTCTATAGAAATAAAAAGGATTATAAGACAGTATTATTATGAACAATTATACACCAACAAATTGTTTGATGTAGATGAAAGGAAAATTTTCCTAAAAACAGAAAACCTACTAAGACTAAATCATGAAGAAATAAAAAATCTGAATAGACCTATAACTAGTAGGGCAATTGAATCAGTAATCAAAAAATCTCCCAACAATAACAGCCCTAGACCTGATGACTTCACTGGTTAATTCTACCAAATATTTAAGGAAGACCTAATGCCAACCCTTTTCAAACTTTCCCCCCAAAATTGAAGAGGATGGAACACTCCCTAACTCATTTTACTTTTTTGTTTTTTAGTTTTCATCAACTTTTATTTTCAGTTCTAGGGTACATGTTCAGGGTGTGTAGGTTTGTTACATAGGTAAATGTGTGCCCTGGTAGTTTGCTGTACAGATCAACCCATCACCTAAGTATTAAGCCCAGCATCCATTAGCTATTTTTCCTGATGCTCTCCCTTCCCCTGCCCCCATGACAGGCCCCAGTGTGTGTTGTTCACCCTGATGTGTCCATGTGTTCTCATAGTTCAGCTCCCACTTATAAGTGAGAACATGCAGTGCTTGGTTTTCTGTTCCTGCATTAGTTTGCTAAGGATAACAGCTTACAGCTCCATCCATGTCCCTGCAAAGGACATGATCTCGTTCCTTTTAATGGCATAGTATTCCATGGTGTACAGGTGCCACATTTTCTTTATCCAATCTATCATTGATAGCCATTGGGGTTGATTTCATGTCTTTGCTATTGTGAATAGTGCTGTGATGAACATACATGTGCATGTATCTTTATAATAGAATGATTTCTATTCCTTTGGGTATATATCCAGTAATGGCATTGCTGGGTCAAATTATATTTCCACTTCTAGATCTTTGAGGAATCACCACACTGTCTTACAATGATTTAACTAACTTACATTCCCCCAAACACTGTGAAAGCACTTACCTCATTTTATAAGGCCAGAATTACCCTGATACCAAAGCCAGACAAAGACAATACAAGAAAACTATAGACCAATATCCGTTATGAACATTGATGGAAATATCCTCAACAAAATAGAATTCAGCAGCATATTAAAAGGATTATACACTATGACCAAGTGGGATTTATTCCTGGAATGCTAGGATAGTTCAACATGTAAGAATCAGCCAGTTGTAACACACCACATTCACAGAAGGAAGCACAAAAACCACATGATCATCTCAAATAATGTAGAAAAAGCATTTGACAAGATTTTACATCTTTTTATGATTAAAAATAATACTCAACAAAGTAGGAATAAAATGAAAATACCTCAACATAATAAAAGGCATATATAAAAGGCCCACAAGGATCATTATGCACTTAGTGGTAAAATACTAAAAGCTTCTCCTCTACAATCAGAAATAAAGGCAAGGATACATGCTTTTCACCACTTCTATTCAACATAGTACTGAAAATTCTAGCCATAGCAATTAAACAAGGAAAAGAAACAAAAGGCATCCAAATTGAAAAGGAAAAAATAATATTACCTCTGTTCACAGATGATATGATCTTATATGTAGAAAACCCTGAAGATTCTACCAGAAATACTGTTAGGACCAATATATAATTTAGCAAAGGAGCAGGACACAAAGACAACATGCAAAAATCAGTTGCATTTCTTTTTTTTTTTTTTTGAGACAGAGTCTCGCTCTGTCGCCCAGGCTGGAGTGCAGTGGCACGATCTCGGCTCACTGCAAGCTCCACCTCCTGGGTTCATGCCATTCTCCTGCCTCAGCCTCCCAAGTAGCTGGGACTACAGGTGCCCGCCACCACGCCTGGCTAATTTTTTTTTTTTTATTTTTTAGTAGAGACAGGGTTTCACCTTGTTAGCCAGGATGGTCTCGATCTCCTGACCTCGTGATCTGCCCGCCTCGGCCTCCCAAAGTGCTGGGATTACAGGCGTGAGCCACCGCGCCCGGCCAATCAGTTGCATTTCTATACACTACAATGAACAATCCGAAAAGGAAATTAAGACAACAATTCCATTTGCAGCAAAAAGGATAAAACACTTAGAAATAAACCTAACCAAGGAGGTTACACTTAATACACTGAAAACTATAAAATATTGCTGAAAGGAATTGTAGAAGATATAATAAATTGGAAACATCCCATATTCTTGGAAGACTTACTATTAAGATGTCAGTACTATTCAAAATGATCTACAGATTCAATGCAATCCTTATTAAAATCCCAATTATTATTTTTTTGGGCAGAAATAGAGAAAGCTGTCTTAAAATTCATACAAAATCTCAAGGGACTCCCAAATAGCCAAAACAATCTTTAAAAAGGTGAACAAACCTGGAAAACTCACACTTCCTGATTTCAAAATTTAATACAAAGCTACAGTAATCAAGCTACAGTAGACAAGAGATAGAAACAGCCCAAACATCCATCAGTAATTAAATGGATCAGCAAAATGTGGTATATGCTACAATAGAATATTATTGATCTCTAAAAGTGAATGAATTTCTGACATATGCTACAATATAGATGAACCTTGAGAACATTATGAGTAAAATAAGCTAGTCACAAAAAGATAAATAATGTATCATTCCACTTATATGAGGTACTTAGCATGGTTAAAATCAGAAAGATAGAAAGTAGAATGGTGGTTGCCAGAGGCTGGGGAGAGCAAGGAATGGAGAGTTATTGTTTAATGGGCATAGAGTTTCAGTATTACAAGATGAAGAATTAAGAAGATGGATGATGGTGATGATTGCACATTATGAATATATTTAATACCATTAAACTATGCACTTAAATTGGCTAAGATGGTAAATTTTTCTATGTGTATTTTACCACAATTTTTAAAATGAAGGAAAAGATTAAAGTTAGTAACAAAAAAGCCATTTGAAAGTAAGTTGCAGACATGTATTTTCTAATAAAAACATTCTCTCTTATTTAAACACAATACCATTATCACATGTAAAAAATCTAACACTGATACAAGAATATTATCTAGTATATAGTTTATATTCCAAAAAATATATATATAAACAGTAATTTTTACACAGAAAAAAATTAGTTAACATTTTGGCATTTCATTTCAATCTTTTTATATATTTATATTTTGACACAGTTGAATGAATACACATTATATATAACAACGTACTACTAGCTTTTTAATTTTTTCAACTACCAATGTATATTACAAATTCTATGATGGCATTATTTTAAAATGCTTTATAAAAATAAAAAGTGATGTGTCTTGAAGCAGAACTGCCGAGCTGCAAACAACCTGGGTGTGAGTCACAGGATATTAGGATAAGCCTGTCCACCAGGGATATAAATTTGATTGCATGTGACTTGTGTCAACTTTGGAGAAAACAAGAGCAAACGTAAAGCAAGGCAATGGAAATTGTTTTTAAATGAGCCATTCAGCCTCTAAGGCAAGTTACAGGGCAGCAATTGAAATTCAAAGGGAAAGCATCAACATGTCAGGTTTACCATCTTTAAATTACACATCCCTTTTTCATTCATTCCTTCAAAATAGCAGAAAAACTTTATTTTATTTTATTTTATTTTTGAGACGGAGTCTCGCTCTGTCACCCAGACTGGAGTGCAGCGGCGCGATCTTGGCTTGCTGCAAGCTCCGCCTCCCGGGTTCACGCCATTCTCCTGCCTCAGCCTCCCCAGCAGCTGGGACTACAGGCGCAGGCCGCCACGCCCGGCTAATTTTTTGTATTTTTTGTAGAGACAGGGTTTCACTGTGTTAGCCAGGATGGTCTCGATCTCCTGACCTTGTGATCCGCCCGCCTCGGCCTCCCAAAGTGCTGGGATTACAGGCGTGAGCCACTGCGCCCGGCCAGAAAAACTTTACTTTTAAAATTTTAATATCATGTCAAAATTACTGGCACTATCTGGTCATTTAGCAGTTATGCAAGCTCTAATCAGTCACACATTCAGGCCCTTGAAATTCTAATACCTACACAGTTGGAATAAATAAAAAGTTAATCTTTATATTTTCCATCCACCAAAAATAATTTATAACCTTGAATCAGCAGGGTAGTAGAGAGATCACTGCTTTTTATAATATAAATCTACATATTCCAATCTGCTCTAGTCAGTAGCATTTACATCTTATTGTCTGACTATGCTTAAGTACCTTAAAGCTATGATGTTCAAGTAGAGGGTTATTTCATTCCGAGTTTAAATTTAATATAAATTACACTGTTAAAAATGTAACAGAACTATGAATAAAAGTAAAGTCAATTAAATAGTGAATTGCCTTAATACCTAATACTAAGGTACCTAATATCTTAATACTGAATAAAACGTAAACTATAACCAAGTCAAGTGATTTCTGCATAGTGACAGTATGGTTTCGAACTGTTAAGAAAGTAAAACCAATTTAAATAAGCTTTCTTCAGTCTAAGAGTTTCAAAATGCTGCCTAAATTTCAGTGTCAAAGATAAGTATTTCCAGCAAGATGGCAGCACAGGAGTTTCCAATGCTTATCCCCTTGCAGAATCATCAATTTGAACAACTATCTACATAAGAAAATAGATTCACAAGAGCTCAGGAATCTGGGTGAGAGATGACAGCACCTGGGTAAACCACAGAAATGAAAAAAAGATGCATTAAAGGAGGTAGGAAGGACAGTTTTACTTTGCCCATGCCACCTCTCTCCCAGCCCAAGTTTCACAGCACAGAGGGAGATCCTTCTGCGTGAGAGAAGAGTGTATGAGCACCCAACTTTACTGAAAACCCCAGCACCAAGCTCACTCCAGTGAACCCCAGTGCCAGGCTGGTCCCTGCAAACCTAGGTTCCTGGCCCACCCCATACTCTGACCAGCTTGTGCAGCTTCTGGTTTGAGAACCAACCTTGCAGATCCAGGCTCTAAGTCTGTCCCAGCACTCACAACCCCAGGTTCAAGGCAGGTCAGGCCTGCTTCGGCATGTCCATTATCAAAAAGACAAAAAATAATAAATATTGGCAAGCATGCAGAGAAAAAGGAATTTGTATACACTGTTGATGGCAATGTTACTTGGTACAGTGATTATAAAAAACAGTATGGAGGTTCCTTAAAAAGTTACAAGTAGAACTACCATATAAACTAACAAACCCACTTCTGGGTATATGTCCAAAAGAAACAAAATCAGTATGTCAAAGAGGTATCTGTTCTTTGCAGCATTATTCATGTTCATTGCAGCATTATTCACAATAGTCAAGATATGGAATCAACCTAGATGTCCATTAACAGATGAACAAATAAAGAAAATATGATACATACACACACACAATGGACATTATTCAGCACTTAAAAAGGAGAAAATTGGCCAGGCACAGTGGCTCACGCCTGTAATCCCAGTACTTTGGGAGAAGAAGGTGAGAGGACCACCTGAGGCTCAGAGTTTGAGACCAGCCTGGGCAACATAGCAAGACCCTGTCTGTACAAAGAAATAAAAATTAGGCAGGCATGATGGCACCCACCTGTAGTCCTAGCTACTTGGGAAGCTGAGGTGGGAGGATTGCTTGAGCCCAAGAGTTTGAGGTTACAGTGAGCTACAATTGTACCACTGCACTTCAGCCTAGGCAACAGAACAAGATCTTGTCTCTTTTTTTAAAAAAGGAGGAATTTCTGTCATTTGTGCATTTTTGACAACATAGATAAACCCAGTGGACATTATGTTAAGTGAAATAAGCTAGGCACAGAAAGACAAATACTGCATGATCTCACATATATGTGGAATCTAAAAAAGCCAAATTCATAGGACAGAGTAAATGATGATTGCCAGGGACTGGGGCATGGGGGAATGGGAGATGTTGGTCAAAGGGTAAAAAGTTTCAGTTAGGCAGGATTAATATATTCTGGAGACCTAATATACAGCATGGTGACTATAGTTAATAATATTGTATTGTATACTTGAAATATGCTAAAAGTGTAGACCTTAAAGATTTTCACCATTTAAAAAAGGCAAATATGTGAGGTGATGGAGATGTTAGCTTGATTGTGGTAATCATTTCACAATGCATATGTATATCAACACATCACATTGTGTATCAAAAATATATATAATTTTTGTAAATTTTGGCTCAATAAAGCTGAAAAAAATAAAAATTATTTTAAAAAATATATTTCTTGTTTTATAGAGCATCTTATTCAGCCCTGGTCCACATTTCTTTAAGTTTTATGTTTGTGTTTCCCTTAAAATTTGTATTTAGGCTGGGCATGGTGGCTCAGGCCTATAATCCCAGCACTTCGGGAGGCCGAGATGGGAGGATCACCTGAGGTCAGGAGTTCAAAACAAGCCTGGCCGACATAGTGAAAACCCATCTCTACTAAAAATACAAAAATTAGCTGGGTGTGATGGCAGGCGCCTGTAATCCCAGCCACTCAAGAGGCTGAAGCAGGAGAATTGCTGGAACCCGGGAGGTGGAGGTTGCAGTGAGCCAAGATTGTGCCACTGCACTCCAGCCAGGGAGACAAGAGCAAAACCCCTTCTCCAAAAAAGAAAAAAAAAATTGTATTTAACCTTGTTCAACAAATTAATATGTAGAATTATGAGATTAGTTCTTTTGGAAAGAAGGCAAATATTCCCTAACTCTTTCCCAAATATTTTATTCTCTAAGTCTAAAAGAAAATTATCTTGTTGAATAGATAATTCAAGTGTGCTGACTATATAAGAAAATAATGGTTAGAAAGTGGATGCCAGGAATGCAGCATATATAATTATCCCAGATTTTATGAAATTTCCAATAATTTTCAAAGGTTATCTCTAAAAAAATACAAAAACTGAGTAACAGCATAAAACAAAGAGAGCACAAGCATGGAGTATTGTCTTTCTCCTCAAACCCAAATCTAAAGACATCACAAAAGCTAGAAAAAGTTTGAAGTATCTGTCAAACTAATATAAATACTGTGAGAAACCATCACAGCTGAACAACTCTGTCAGGGTTCTCCAGAGAAATAGAACCAATTGGAAATAGATATAGATGATATAGATATATAAAGAGATTTATTATAAGGAAATGGCTCAGGAGACATAGTGGTACAGATTCTGTTTGAATCCAAAGGCCTAAGAACTAGGAGGGCCAATGGTGTAAGTTCCAGTTCAACTCCACGCCCGAAAGCAGAAGACCAGTGTCTCATCTTGAAGACAGTCAGGCAGAGAGAGGGAATTCGCCTTTATTCAGCCTTTTTGTTCTATCTAGGCCTTCAATGAATTGCATGAGTTCCAGTCACATTGGAGAGGGCAATCTGTTTTCCTCAGTCTCCCAATTCAAATGTTAATCTCATTCAGAAACACACACTTAGAATAATGAGTACCCCAAGGCCCAGTCAAGTTGACATAAAATTAACTATCACGGCACTGTTCTGGGGAGCCAGCATTGGGATAAGTTTTTAGGCGTGTCCTTTTATCTTACCCTGGCAGTGGCAGCAGCATGTGTTTGGTGTGAAATGGCAGGGAAATATTAGGATCTGGAGAGCAACTGAGAAGTACAAGAAGGTTAGCCAGCCCCTGAATATATCCTCTACCTTGACTCCCTTATATACCCACTTTTCAAAAACAACTGTTAAAAATGTGTATACCTGTTTAACTTAAAAAAATATGAACAAAGGGGCTTGAATAGATGTTTCTCAAAAGAAGATATACAAATAGCCAACAGGTATATGAAAAAATGCTCAACATCCCTATTCGTCAGGAAAATGCAAATTAAAAACAAAATGAGAGATCAGCTCATACCTGTTAGAATGGCTATTATGAAAAAAGACGAAAGATAAGTGTTTTGGGGGATATGACGAAAAGGGAACTGTAGGTGGGAATGTTAATTAGTATAGCCATTATGAAAAACAGTATGAAGATTTCTCAGAAAATTAAAAATAGAACTACCATATCACCCAGCAATCACACTACTGGGTATATATCCAAAACACAAGAAATGAGTATGTAGAAGAGATAATGGCCACTTCCACGTTCATTGTAGCATTATTCACAAAAGCCAAGATATGGAATCAACCTAACTGTCCTTTAGGAGATGAATAAAGAATATGTGATATATGTATTATATATAATTATATATATTTATATATACATTTAAATTTATATATACAATAAATATTATTCAGCCTTAGAAGAGAATTCTGTCATTTGCAACAACATGAATGAATCTGGAGGATATTCTCTTTTTTTATTATTATACTTTAAGTTTTAGGGTACATGTGCACAATGTGCAGGTTTGTTACATATGTATACATGTGCCATGTTGGTATGCTGCACCCATTAACTCGTCACTTAGCATTAGGTATATCTCCTAATGCTATCCCTCCCCTATCCACGCACCCCACAACAGGCTCCGGTGTGTGATATTCCCCATCCTGTGTCCATGTGTTCTCATTGTTCAATTCCCACCTATGAGTGAGAACATGCAGTGTTTGGTTTTTTGTCCTTGCAATAGTTTGCTGAGAATGATGGTTTCCAGCTTCATCCATGTCCCTACAAAGGACATGAACTCATCCTTTTTTATGGCTGCATAGTACTCCATGATGTATATGTGCCACATTTTCTTAATCCAGTCTATCATTGTTGGACATTTGGGTTGGTTCCAAGTCTTTGCTATTGTGAATAGTGCCGCAATAAACATATGTGTGCATGTGTCTTTATAGGAGCATGATTTATAATCCTTTGGGTATATACCCAGTAATGGGATTGCTGGGTCAAATGGTATTTCTAGTTCTAGATCCCTGAGGAATCATCACACTGACTTCCACAATGGTTGAACTAGTTTACAGTCCCACCAACAGTGTAAAAGTGTTCATATTTCTCCACATCCTCTCCAGCACCTGTTGTTTCCTGACATTTTAATGATCGCCATTCTAACTGGTGTGAGATGGTATCTCACTATGGTTTTGATTTGCATTTCTCTGATGGCCAGTGATGATGAGCATTTTTTCATGTGTTTTTTGGCTGCATAAATGTCTTCTTTTGGGAAGTGTCTGTTCATATCCTTCATCCACTTGTTGATGGGGTTTTTTGTTTTTTTCTTGTAAATTTGTTTGAGTTCATTGTAGATTCTGGATATTAGCCCTTTGTCAGAGGAGTAGATTGCAAAAATTTTCTCCCATTCTGTAGGTTGCCTGTTCACTCTGATGGTAGTTTCTTTTGCTGTGCACAAGCTCTTTACTTTAATTAGATCCCAATTGTCAATTTTTGCTTTTGTTGCCATGGCTTTTGGTGTTTTAGACATGAAGTCCTTGCCCATGCCTATGTCCTGAATGGTATTGCCTAGGTTTTCTTCTAGGGTTTTTATGGTTTTAGGTCTAACATTTAAATCTTTAATCCATCTTGAATTAATTTTAGTATAAAGTGTAAGGAAGGGATCCAGTTTCAGCTTTCTACCTATGGTTAGCCAGTTTTCCCAGTAGCATTTATTAAATAGGGAATCCTTTCCCCATTGCTTGTTTTTGTCAGGGTTGTCAAAGATCAGATAGTTGTAGATACGTGGCATTATTTCTGAGGGCTCTGTTCTGTTCCATTGGTCTATATCTCTGTTTTGGTACCAGTACCATGCTGTTTTGGTTACTGTAGCCTTGTAGTATAGTTTGAAGTCAGGTAGTGGGATGCCTCCAGCTTTGTTCTTTTGGCTTAGGATTGACTTGGCAATGTGGGCTCTTTTGTGGTTCCATATGAACTTTAAAGTAGTTTTTTCCAATTCTGTGACGAAAGTCTTTGGTAGCTTGATGGGGATGGCATTGAATCTATAAATTACCTTGGGCAGTATGGCCATTTTCACGATATTGATTCTTCCTACCCATGAGCATGGAATGTTCTTCCATTTGTTTGTATCCTCTCTTATTTCATTGAGCAGTGGTTTGTAGTTCTCATTGAAGAGGTCCTTCACATCCCTTCTAAGTTGGATTCCTAGGTATTTTATTCTCTTTGAAGCAATTGTGAATGGGAGATCATTCATGATTTGGCTCTCTGTCTGTTATTAGTGTATAAGAATGCTTGTGATTTTTGTACATTGATTTTGTATTCTGAGACTTTGCTGAAGTTGCTTATCAGCTTAAGGAGATTTTGGGCTGAGACAATGGGGTTTTCTGATATACAATCATGTCATCTGCAAACAGGGACAATTTGACTTCCTCTTTTCCTAATTGAATACCCTTTATTTCCTTCTCCTGCCTGATTGCCCTGGCCAGAACTTCCAACACTATGTTGAATAGGAGTGGTGAGAGAGGGCATCCCTGTCTTGTGCCAGTTTTCAAAGGGAATGCTTCCAGTTTTTGCCCATTCAGTATTATATTGGCTGTGGGTTTGTCATAAATAGCTCTTATTATTTTGAGATATGTCCCATCAATACTTAATTTATTGAGAGTTTTTAGCATGAAGGGCTGTTGAATTTTGTCAAAGGCCTTTTCTGCATCTATTGAGATAATCATGTGGTTTTTGTCGTTGGTTCTGTTGAGATGCTGGATTACATTTATTGATTTGCGTATATTGAACCAGCCTTGCATCCCACGGATGAAGTCCACTTGATCATGGTGGATAAGCTTTTTGATGTGCTGCTGGATTCGGTTTGCCAGTATTTTATTGAGGATTTTTGCATGGATGTTCATTAGGGATATTGGTCTAAAATTCTCTTTTTTTGTTGTGTCTCTGCCCGGCTTTGGTATCAGGATGATGCTGGCCTCATAAAATGAGTTAAGGAGGATTCCTTCTTTTTCTATTGATTGGAATAGTTTCAGAAGGAATGGTACCAGCTCCTCCTTGTACCTCTGGTAGAATTCGGCTGTGAATCCATCTGGTCCCAGACTTTTTTTTGGTTGGTAAGCTATTAATTATTGCCTCAATTTCAGAGCCTGTTATTGGTCCATTCAGAGATTCAACTTCTTCCTGGTTTAGTCTTGGGAGGGTGTATGTGTCCAGGAATTTATCCATTTCTTCCAGATTTTCTAGTTTATTTGTGTAGAGGTGTTTATAGTATGCTCCGATGGTAGTTTGTATTTCTGTGGGATTTGTGGTGATATCCCCTTTATCATTTTTTATTGCATCTATTTGATTCTTCTCTCTTTTCTTCTTTATTAGTCTTGCTAGTGGTCTATCAATTTTGTTTATCTTTTCGAAGAACCAGCTCCTGGATTCATTGATTTTTTGAAGGGTTTTTTTGTGTCTCTATTTCCTTCAGTTCTGCTCTGATCTTAGTTGTTTCTTGCCTTCTGCTAGCTTTTGAATGTGTTTGCTCTTGCTTCTCTAGTTCTTTTAATTCTGTTGTTAGGGTGTCAATTTTATATCTTTCCTGCTTTCTCTTGTGGGCACTTAGTGCTATAAATTTCCCTCTACACACTGCTTTGAATGTGTCCCAGAGATTCTGGTATGTTGTCTCTTTGTTCTCGTTGGTTTCAAAGAACATATTTATTTCTGCCTTCATTTCATTATGTACCCAGTAGTCATTCAGGAGCAGGCTGTTCAGTTTCCATGTAGTTGAGAGGTTTTGAGTGAGTTTCTTAATCCTGAGTTCTAGTTTGATTGCACTGTGGTCTGAGAGACAGTTTGTTATAATTTCTGTTCTTTTACATTTGCTGCGGAGTACTTTACTTCCAACTGTGTGGTCAATTTTGGAATAGGTGTGGTGTGGTGCTGAAAAGAATGAATATTCTGTTGATTTGGGGTGGAGAGATCTGTAGATGTCTATTAGGTCCGCTTGGTGCAGAGCTGAGTTCAATTCCTGGATATCCTTGTTAACTTTCTGTCTCATTGATCTGTCTAATGTTGACAGTGGGGTGTTAAAGTCTCCCATTATTATTGTGTGGGAGTCTAAGTCTGTTTCTAGGTCTCTAAGCACTTAGTTTATGAATCTGGGTGCTCCTGTATTGGGTGCATATATATGTAAGATAGTTAGCTCTTCTTGTTGAATTGATCCCTTTACCATTATGTAATGGCCTTCTTTGTCTCTTTTGATTTTTGTTGGTTTAAAGTCTGTTTTATCAGAGACTAGGATTGCAACCCCTGCCTTTTTTGTTTTCCGTTTGCTTGGTAGATCTTCCCCCCCTCCTTTATTTTGAGCCTATGTGTGCCTTTGCATGTGAGATGGGTTTCTTGAATACAGCACACTGATGGGTCTTGACTCTTCATCCAATTTGCCAGTCTGTGTCTTTTAATTGGAGCATTTAGCCCATTTACATTTAAGGTTAATATTCTTTTTTTTTTTTTTTTTTTTTTGAGACGGAGTCTCGCTCTGTCGCCCAGGCTGGAGTGCAGTGGCGGGATCTCGGCTCACTGCAAGCTCCGCCTCCCGGGTTCACGCCATTCTCCTGCCTCAGCCTCCCAAGTAGCTGGGACTACAGGCGCCCGCCACTACGCCCGGCTAATTTTTTGTATTTTTAGTAGAGACGGGGTTTCACCGTTTTAGCCGGGATGGTCTCGATCTCCTGACCTCGTGATCCGCCCGCCTCGGCCTCCCAAAGTGCTGGGATTACAGGCATGAGCCACTGCGCCCGGCCAGGTTAATATTCTTATGTGTGAATTTGATCCTGTCATCATGATGTTAGCTGGTTATTTTGCTCATTAGTTGATGCAGTTTCTTCCTAGCCTAGATGGCCTTTACAATGCGGCATGTTTTTGCAGTGGCTGGTACCGGTTGTTCCTTTCCATGTTTAGTGCTTTCTTCAGGAGCTCTTGTAGGGCAGGCCTGGTGGTGACAAAATCTCTCAGCATTTGCTTGTCTGTAAAGGATTTTATTTCTCCTTCACTTATGAAGCTTAGTTTGGCTGGATATGAAATTCTGGGTTGAAAATTCTTTTAAGAATGCTGAATATTGGCCCCCACTCTCTTCTGGCTTGTAGAGTTTCTGCCAAGAGATCAGCTGTTAGTCTGATGGGCTTCCCTTTGTGGGTAACCCGATCTTTCTCTCTGGCTGCCCTTAACATTTTTTCCTTCATTTCAACCTTGGTGAATCTGACAATTATGTATCTTGGAGTTGCTCTTCTCGAGGAGTATCTTTGTGGCGTTCTCTGTATTTCCTGAATTTGAATGTTGGCCTGCCTTGCTATATTGGGGAAGTTCTCCTGGATAATATCCTGCAGAGTGTTTTCCAACTTGGTTCCATTCTCCCTGTCACTTTCAGGTACACCAATCAGACACAGATTTGGTCTTTTCACATAGTCCCATATTTCTTGGAGGCTTTGTTCGTTTCTTTTTTTTTTTCTCTAAACTTTTCTTCTTGCTTCATTTCATTCATTTGATCTTCCATCACTGATACGCTTTCTTCCAGTTGATTGAATCAGCTACTGAGGCTTGTGCATTCATCATGTAGTTCTCGTGCTGTGGTTTTCAGCTCCATCAGGGACTTCTCTGCATTGGTTATTCTAGTTAGCCATTCGTCTCATCTTTTTTCAAGGTTTTTAACTTCTTTGCCATGGGTTCGAACTTTCTCCTTTGGCTCAGAGTAGTTTGATCGTCTGAAGCCTTCTTCTCTCAACTCGTCAAAGTCATTCTCCATCCAGCTTTGTTCCATTGCTGGTGAGGAGGTGCGTTCCTTTGGAGGAGGAGAGGTGCTCTGATTTTTAGAATTTTCAGTTTTTCTGCTCTGTTTTTTCCCCATCTTTGTGGTTTTACCTACCTTTGGTCTTTGATGATGGTGACATACAGATGGGGTTTTGGTGTGGATGTCCTTTCTGTTTGTTAGTTTTCCTTCTAACAGTCAGGACCTTCAGCTGCAGGTCTGTTGGAGTTTGCCGGAGGTCCACTCCAGATGCTGTTTGCCTGGGTATCAGCAGGGGAGGCTGCAGAACAGTGGATATTGGTGAACATCAAATGTTGCTGCCTGATCGTTCCTCTGGAAGTTTTGTCTCAGAGGAGTACCCGGCCATGTGAGGTGTCAGTCTGCCCCTACGGGGGGTGCCTCCCAGTTAGGCTACTCGGGGGTCAGGGACCCACTTGAGGAGGCAGTCTGTCCATTCTCGGATCTCCGGCTGCGTGCTGGGAGAACCACTACTCTCTTCTAAGCTGTCAGACAGGGACATTTAAGTCTGCACAGGTTTCTGCTGCCTTTTGTTTGGCTATGCCCTGCCCCTAGAGGTGGAGTCTACAGAGGCAGGCAGGCCTCCTTGAGCTGCGGTGGGTTCCACCCAGTTCGAGCTTCCAGGCCGCTTTGTTTACCTGCTCAAGCCTCAGCAATGGCGGGCACCCCTCCCCCAGCCTCACTGCTGCCTTGCAGTTTGATCTCAGACTGCTGTGCTAGCAATGTGCAAGGCTTCGTGGGCGTGGGACCCTCTGAGCCAGGCGCGGGATATAATCTCCTGGTGTGCCGTTTGCTAAGACCATCAGAAAAGCACAGTATTAGGGTGGGAGTGACCTGATTTTCCAGGTGCCATCCATCACCCCTTTCCTTGGCTAGGAAAGGGAATTCCCCAACCCCTTATGCTTCCTGGGTGAGGCGATGCCTCGCCCTGCTTTGGCTCAGGCTCGGTGCACTGCACCCACTGTCCTGCACCCACTGTCCAACAATCCCCAGTGAGACGCACCCAGTACCTCAGTTGGAAATGCAGAAATTGTTCATCTTCTGCTTTGCTCACACTGGGAGCTGTAGACTGGAGCTGTTCCTATTTGGTCATCTTGGCTCCACCCTCTCGAGGATATTCTGTTAAGTGAAATAATTCAGGCACAGAAAGACAAATACTGCACAATCTCACTTATACGTGGAATCTGAAAAAGTTTAACTCATAGAAGCAGACAGTAGATTGGAGGGGTGGGAGTTGGGGAGATATTGGTAAAAAAATACAAAATTTTAGTTAGACAGGAGAAATAAGTTCAAGAGATCTAGTGTATAACATGATGACTACAGTTAATAACAATGTATCTTATATTTGAAAACTGTGAAGAGTAGATTTTAAGCATTCTAACCACAAAAAAAGATAAGTGTGTGAGATAATGCATATGCTAAATAGCTTGTTTTAGTGGTTCCACAATATATACATATTTCAAATATCATGTTTTACACCATAAATATATATAACTTTTGTTAATTAATTAAAACTGGCTGAAAAATTTATACCTAGTCAAACTTTTTAAAATACTTTTATTGACATATAATATTTGTACATATTTATGGGGTACATGTGATATCTTGTTACATGCATACAATGTGTGCTGATCAAGTCCATGTATTTATGGTATTATCTTGAGTACTTATCATTTCTGTGTGTTAGGAACACATTTCAGGTCCTCTCTTCTAGCTTCTTTGAAATATATAATACGTTGTTGCTAACTATAGTCACCCTACTCTGCTATTGATAATTGGGGATTATTTCTTCTATCTAACTATATGTTTATATCCACTAAATTAACCTCCCTTTATCCTCGCCTCCTAAACTCCCTTTATCCCCACCTCCTACCTACACACTCTTCTCAGCCTCTGATATCTACCATTTTATTCTCCATCTCCATGAGATCAATTTTTCTCATATATGAGTGAGAACATGCAGTATCTGTCTTTCCAGGCCTGGCTTATTTCACTTAGCATAATAATCTAGTTCCATCCATGTTACTGCAAATCACAAGATTTCATTATTTTTTATAGCCAATTAGTATTCCATTATGTCTATATACCACATTTTATTTATCCACTTATGGACACTTAGCTTGATTCCATATATTTGCCATTGTAAATATATGAATACTGTGATATTCATATCACATTGTAAATATATAGAATGCTGTGATAAACATTCTAGTGCAGGTAGATATGCAAATTTTGATACACAAATTTCTTTTCCTTTGGATAAATACCCAATAGTGGGATTGCTGGATCATACGGTAGCTCTATTTTCAGTTTTTCGAGGAACTTCCATACTGTTTTCCGGAATGACTGTACTAATTTACATTCCCACCAACAGTGTATAAGAGTTAACTTTTCTCCACAACCTCACTGTAATTTTCTGTCTTTTTAGTAATAGCCATTCTAACTGGAGAAAGATGATACGTCATTGTGGTTTTGATTTGCATTTCCCTGATGATAATTTATGTTGAACATTTTTTTCATGTATCTGTTGGCCTTTTGTATGTCTTCTTCTGAGAAATGGAAATAGACATTTGTGTGTGTCCTTAGCTCACCTTTTAATGGGATTTTTTTCCTGTAGAGTTCCTTGTATATCCTGGATATTAGTCCCTTGTCAGATGAACAGTTTGCAAATATTTTCTCTCATTCAACAGGTTGCCTCTTCACTCTGTTTATTGTTTCCTTTACCATGCAGATGCTTTTTCAGCTTAATATAGTCTCATTTGTCTATTTACATTTCGGTTGCCTGTGCTTTTGAGGTTATAGCTACAAAATCTTTGTCTAGACCAACCTTCTGAAGTGTTTCCCCTGTTTTCTTTTAGTAGTTTTACAGTTTTAGGTGTTACATTAAGTCTTTAATCCATCTTGAGTTGATTTTTGCAAATGGTGACAAGTAGGGGCTCAGTTTCATTCTTTTGCATTTAGATATCCAATTTTCCCAGCATCGTTTATTGAAGAGGGTGTCCTTTCCCCAGTGTATGTTCTTGACACCTTTGTCCCAAATCAATTGGGTGTAAATATGTGGATTTATTTCTGGGTTCTTTATTCTGTTTCATTGGTCTATGTGTTTGTTTTTATACAAATACCATGTTGTTTTTATTACTGTAACCTTGTAGCTTATTTTGAATATATTCATGAAGGCATATTGGAAATGAAGGAATGAAACTGTCTCTATTTGTAAGCAACATGATTGCTTATATAGAAAATCCCAAAGATTCTACAAAAAAAGCTACTACACCTCCTGAGTTCAGCATGATCACAGTTGGTATATAAAAATCAACTGTATTTCTATATACTGGTTATGAATAATTGGCATTTAATATAAAAAATATTGCATGTTTCTATTTATATAACATTCTGGAAAAGACAAAGCTACAGGAATAGAAAACAAATCTTTGGTTTCCAGGCTTTGGAAGTAGGGGAAGGGATTGACTACAAAAGTCAATGCTAGGGAATTTGGGGTATGATGGAACTGTTCTATATGGTGCTATGATGGTAGATACATGGTTCTATTTGTCAAAACCCATAGACTTGCACATCACAAAGTGTCAATAAAAAGAATCAAACTGTAAAATATTTGAAGAGATTTATTCTGAGCTAAATATGAGTAATCAATGGCCCATAACATAGCCCTCAGGAGATCCTCAGAACATGTGCCCAAGGTGGTCAGGCCATAACTTGGTTTTATACATTTTAGGGAGACATAAGGCATCAATCAATACATGTAAGATGAACATTTCTTTGGTCCAGAAAGGCGAGACAACTGGAAGCAGAGGCTGGGGTTGCTTCCAGGTCGTAGGCAGATTCAAAGATTTTCTGATTGGCAATTGGATGAAAGAGTTATTATCAATAGGATGTTTGGTTATGATAAGGGTTATGGAGACCAAAATTTTATCATGCAGATAAAGACTCCAGATAGCAGGCTTCAGAGAATAGATTGTAAATGTTTCTTATCAGACTTAAAGAGCCTGTTCTACCAGTAATTCCAAAAGGGAGGAGAGTATAATGAGTCATGTCTGGCTCTCCCTTCCCATCATGGCCTAAATTAGTTTTTCAGGTTAATTTTGGAAAGTCCTTGATGATAGGAAGGATCCATTCAGATGGGTGGGGGGCTTTGAATTTTACTTTTGGTTTACAGAAGGAATTTTACTGTATACAATTTTTTTTAAACCAAGCAGTAATTCAGATAAACCCAAGATGGAATGTAGATGGCCACAAATGAATCCATGTTACAAATGAATGACACAATCAAATGTAAGGGGGTATAGAAGATAGGAGCTAACTTAAGTAACTTTGGAAAATATTGCTGTAACTGGATAAAGAAAACACACAAACACTATACCTTATGTAATAGACTGGAAATGGCCCCCCAGAAGATTTCCATGACCTAATCCCTGGAATCTGTGATTGTTACCTATATGGAAAAAAAAATGAGGCTTTGTGGATGTGACTAAGTCAAAGTCTTGAAATGGGGAGATTATCTGAATTATCCATCCAGATGGACCCTAAATGCAATCACATGTATGCTTATAAAAGGGAGGCAGTGGGAGAGATTTCACACACTAAGGGAAGGCCGTGTGAAGGCGGGTCAAAGAGAAATTTGAAGATGCTGGCTATGGTGGTTAATTTTATGTCAATTTGGATAGGATATGGTACCCAGTTGTTTGGTGAAACACCATTCTAGATGTTGATGCAAAAGTATTTTTTAGATATGATTAAGTCAGTAGACTTTGGGTAAAGCAGAACTCTCCATAATGTGGGTAGGCTGCATTCAATTAGTTGAAGGCCTTAGGAGCAAAGACTGAAGTTTCCTAAAGAGTGAATTTGACCTTGAGACTGCAACACAGAAACCCTGCCTGAGTTCCCGGCCTCCCTAGTCTGCTCTGTTGATATTGAACTCAACTGAAACATCAACTCTTACCTGAATTTCTAGCCTGCCAGCTTGTCCTACAGATTTCAGACTTGCCACCTCTACAATCTTAACAACCAATTCCTTAAAATAAATCTAGATGAATGGATGGATAGATTAGATATAGATAGACAGATAGATAGATAGATAGATAGATAGATAGATAGATAGATACTATAGATAGATACTATTGGTTCTATTTCTCTGTAGAATACTGACTGGCTTTGAAAATTGGAGTGATGTAGCTACAAGCCAAGAAATGCCAGCAGGCACCAAAAGCTTAAAGAAGAAAGGAATGGATCCTTCCCTAGAGCATCGAAAGTATGATCCTGCTCACACCTTGATTTTTGACCTGTAACACCAATTTTGGATGCCTGGCCTCTGGATCTATGAGAGAATGAATTCCTATTGCTTCAACCCAAAAAGGCTATAGTAATTTGCTACAGCAGTCACAGAAAACTAACATACTCTAGTTAATAAATTTGTTTATCACAGCGTCTGGGTTACCAATTTAGAAATAACTTTACATGTATACGAGGACTGAAAAAGAAAGCAAATAAATTGTAGTTAATGACAGCCAGGTTTCTCACTGTCAGAGAAAGCAGTTACAAATAAACAAAAGGGGAATACTAGATGAGCCTCTTGTTGCTGGAGTTACCAGTATAAACTCGTGTTTTGTTTTCAGTAGTTAGATACACCAACAAACATGTATATAGATATAGTATACATACATGTATTTCCTAGCTTTGTCTACTGACAGATCCTAGGCCTGTCCACTGAGAAGCAGTTATACTCCAGGAACCACTGTCTGCTTATACATATACCTCTTGTGACAATAAATCAAGAGTCTTAACTGATTTTGGAGTATTACTCTTATATTCTTAGAATACCTCTTCTAATCACAGAGAAAAAATTCATCTAACCATATTAAAATAGATTTTTTGGACTTAAACAAAATTAGATATGCAGTGTCTATTTTTCTTCTAAATTTAACAAAGAGCTCTGGGACTAGACCCCTTATTTCTGAAAACTCATTGAATAGAAGTGGGAACAAATTCCTATTTTAAAGATGATAGAAGATTTGATTTATCTCTAGGGTAATAATTATCTTTTAAAAGTTATCTTTATAAGGCTATTTGATTACACAAAGTTATTTTTGTGATTTGTATTCGAAACACTGCATATGCCTCCACTAGTTGGATGAGCTATGATATTCAAACACGAACAACTCCGGTTCCTTTCTCCTTTTACCTTATACTCAGATGATGTTCAATCAAATGTATTTCTTTTAAACAAGATATATTTTTCCAATTTTAGGTGTCAGCAGTATGAAACCACAAGACAATCAGTTGTTATCACCTGGAACATATCATTACACACTTGGACCACTGCAATTGACTCCTAATTGGTTTATCCAACTCTTAATTTCTCCTAACTCTGGCTGTATTGTCAGTTTAATTTTCCTAGTCATTTCTTTTCTCTTGAAACTCTGACATTAAAATACAAGTTCTGTAAAACCAAGTCAAAACACTTCACGATCCTCTATAAATCAGTCCTATCATATCTGTTAAACTCAATTTCCTGGTATTATTCTTCATTGCAGTTAGGTCTATTCTTTAACTTCCTCTACACTTATTAATAGTAAACATGTGACTGCATTTTTCTTTTGATCATATTAGTCCCCCTATCTAGAGAGCTCTGTCTCCTTTACCAATTCAGTTAAATTCTATTAAGTCAATAATTGTTTAATGCAATCCTACTAAAGACTAGCAACTAGTTAGGTAATTAAAACATGAAAGGCTAAAAAAGCATCAATCTTACACTTGAAAATTTTACAATCTACATACCTGTAAAGTCCTAATTCAATTTTACCTCTTCGGTGAATCCTTCCCAGGTTTTCTAGCTCATGATGACCTTTTTTCCCCTCATTCCGAAAACACTTGGTCTTTTCTATAACGAAAGTCACATTATAATAATATAGTTATTATATTACTATAGTTATAATACAGTTGTTATATTATTATAGTTATAATATAGTTGTTACTATAATATAGTTGTTATAGTTATAATATAGTTGTTATATTATTATAGTTATAATAGTTATATTATTATAGCTATATAATAATGTTATATCATTATAGCTATATAATAATGTTATATCATTATAGCTATATAATAATGTTATATCATTATAGCTATATAATAATGTTATATCATTATAGCTATATAATAATGTTATATCATTATAGCTATATAATAATGTTATATCATTATAGCTATATAATAATGTTATATCATTATAGCTATATAATAATGTTATATCATTATAGCTATATAATGTTATATCATTATAGCTATATAATAATGTTATATCATTATAGCTATATAATAATGTTATATCATTATAGCTATATAATGTTATATCATTATAGTTATATAATGTTATATCATTATAGTTATATAATAATGTTATATCATTATAGTTATATAATGTTATATTATTATAGTTATATAATGTTATATTATAGTTATATAATGTTATATTATTATAGTTATATGTTATATTATTATAGTTATATAATGCTATATTATTATAGTTATATGTTATATTATTATAGTTATATAATGTTATATTATTATAGTTATATTATAATGTTATATTATTATAGTTATATTATAATGTTATGTTATTATAGTTATATTATGTTATGTTATTATAGTTATATTATGTTATTATAGTTATATTATGTTATTATAGTTATATAATAATGTTATTATAGTTATATAATGTTATATTAGTTATATAATAATGTTATATTATTAGTTATATAATAATGTTATATTATTAGTTATATAATAATGTTATATTATTATAGTTATATTATAATGTTATATTATTATAGTTATATTATAATGTTATATTATTATAGTTATATTATAATGTTATATTATTATAGTTATATAATGTTATATTATTATAGTTATATAATGTTATATTATAGTTATATAATGTTATATTATAGTTATATAATAATGTTATATTATTATAGTTATATTATTAATATAATATATAATTATTATATTATTAATATAATATATAATATATAATTATATTATCATATTGTTATATTATATTATTATTATATTATTATAATTATATTATTATATATAATATATATTATTGTAATATATATTATATATAATACATTATAATATATTATTATAGTTATATTATAATATTATAGTTATAATATAATAGTTATATTAGTTATATTATTATAGTTATATTATTATAGTTATAATATATTATAGTTATATTATAATATAGTTATATTATAGTTATAATATTATAATATAGTTGTAATATTATATTATTAAAGTTATATTATATTATAGTTATGTTACATTATTATAGTTATATTATAGTTATAATAGTATAATATTATAGTTATATTATATTATTATAGTTATACTATAATATAGATAATATATTATAGCTATAATATATTATAGTTATAGATATTATATTATAGTTATAATATAGTTATTATATTATAGTTATAGTTATTATAATGTGCTTTTGTTATTTCCTAAGTTTTGTCTACCCAACCAAGTTATAAGTTCCTTGAGTATAAGACCACGTCTGTGTTCTAGCCTTTTATATGCTGTCAAAATGCCATGTGCAAGGTAGATACTTTTAAAATACTTATTTCATATCACTTATTGATACATGATAAATCTAACCATACTGGTCTGCTAGACATTACTCTAAAGTAAAAATAAATCATGGAATCACTGAATCATTCAAGGCTAAAACTAGTTTTGAATTTATCAATAAACAAACAAATTATAACTTTTTCTTCTGTCTCATATATAGCCAATGTCTTTATTATATAAAAACTACCAATCAATTCAGTCATAGAGTCAATAAGATAAATACCTGTTAAAAAACGAAAAAAAAAATCCAGCTTTTTAACTGAAATTTTCACCTTTTAAGCAGTTGTTGAATGTTTGATGGTTTTTTTTTTAACAGAGTCTAAAATTTTCTTAAACTCTATCATTAGTTAGATTGCCCTTCTTTTTAAGTCTTCGAGACAGCTTAATGTAATACAACTGTGATAATTTGTAGACACCCTGAAGAAGCAGTATAGACCCTTACCCAAAATTTGATTTGCATATTGAAACTGATGATGCCACACATCCCAATAGGGCATGAAAAGATTTTTCTAGTCATATATTAAGGCCTTCTGGGGAGAGCGGGGCAGGCCTCCTGAACTGAAAAATAGCTTGAGAAGTAGAGAAAGAAGACTGGCTTTGGGTTTTTATGGTAGTTAGGGGGTGGGCTGGGTGGGGGCTCCCATATGTGGTTTGAACTTCCTACTGGCACCAAAGGAGGGAGCAACCAGGCTTTCTGATCAGCTTGGCCAAATGTGGGCAGAATGAGAAAAGAAGGGGTTAGGTTTAAAAATCCATCAACAGTCACATCAAAATATGGAGTCAAACCCTTTATTACTTGGTAACTCAGTACAGCTAATTTACAAAGCACAAAATACAATGATATTGAGCAAAATGTTTACAGAAGTTCATCAAATCTTAAATATCTTCACTTAAGCTATATAATTAATTGACAAATACTGAACACAAAACATAAAGAAGAAATTTTTGTTATTGAAGGAGACAAAATTGTAAATGTTCTTCAAAAAATATTTAAGCAAAAAAGAATATTAACAGGATCACCACTGATACAACAATCCAATTTTCAGAAATTACTCTTGCCCTTTACATTTAATTTTTAGCCATTGAAAGCATTAGCATAACTCATAAAATTAGAATTGTACCATGTGTTATATTAGAAGAAAATAACACAGATTTTGTTATTAACATAAATTATTTGAAATTATTATTACAGTACCACTCTGTATACTACATAGTGAAGCAGAAGTGAAACCCAATAATTTTAATAGAAATTTTTAGTAGCTAAAGTACGCTTCAGCACTAACTCTGGAGTTACTACTGCAGTTCTTGTTCTTATCAAAGTACCAACAATACTTCCAGAAAAAAACCTTAGGTTCCAAGGAGAAGCAGGCTTAATATTTAAATAAAGAGTAATGAAAAAAGCATCAAATTCTATTAAGATTAATAAAAGTTCTACCTGACCACGGCTCGCAAAATCAAAACCAAAATAAATAATGATTAGTTAATAGCACACACAAAACCCAAAATATTCAGTATTTCAATATTTCAATAAATATAATCAAATAATGTAAACATTACTGCTTTAATCAATAAAAGAAAGCAGTCTTCATGTTTTAAGCAATAATGTAAATTTATGCCCTCATGAACACAGAACAGTAAAATAATTTAAGGAATTAATGACTAGCTCAAAAAAAAGTAAACTGTGTTGTATTTTGTGAGGAAGATGAAAAACCTTTTAAAGAAGAAGAAGGTATTGAATTTTGACCCTGTCCAAATGAAAATGGAAAACTAAAATCATCTTTTCCAGCTCCAAATGTATGAGTTGAAGTGTCTGATGGAAAAGAAAATGTAAAGCCATCTTCTCCTTCTGGCTTCTCAAGTAAGTTTCCTAAGGAAGATAAACATTACAATATCATGCTCTTCATATTATATAAAATTTTTATAACCTACTGAATTATAGCATACTGCATACAATAAATATGGTAACACTGAATCAGTGTTACACAGGAATACAGGTATTTAATTGTATTCCTCTTAAGTGCAAGGCATTGTCCTTGGTACTATGAAGGTTAAAACAGACTCAAACTTAAACCCTGTTTTCAAGTAATTTGAACTCTAGTATATAAAGAACTAGTATAAAAAGTAAAAAGTAGAATAAAACACCTCAAATGAAGAGACTGATACAGAGGCACAGAAACAGACATGCATAGGATGCATTAGAGTAACAGAAATCTATTCAGCTTAGCAGGAGCAGTGAGAAATAATAAAGATGTATTAAGTGGAAATTAATGAAGATGAGCTTGGAAAGATTGCTGAATATCCCACTATGGAATCTGGACTTTATTTAGTAGATAACAAGAATTCATTGAAGATTTTCAAGCAGAGATATGACATGATTTGAACTGCTTTGTAAGTATTACTCAGGAGAGAATAGGTATAAAGGCTGGAACAGGAGAGTCTAGAAGTGGGACTAACCAAAATAAAATAAAAGTCTATTGTCCAGTGAAGACATAATGAAATGTTGACCTTAGGTACAATCATAGTGATGGTAATGGAGGAAAAAATGCTGAATCTAAGAGATACTGTATAAGTTAAACTTATTCAACTATTATTTATTGAGTCACTACAATATACTGCTCATGGCATTGTTCAAGGAAACTGACAGAACATTAAAAAGAGTTCTAAAAGGAATTTTTAAAATAAGCTTTAAATGTAGCTCTGGTTGATGAAGCCCAGAATTGCCATTAAGGAAAAATACTGTTTTTCACTTATTATATTACTTATTAATAAAATTATAAATATACAAATATATTTTCAACATCCTAATTCTAATTTAAAATTAATTATCATTAAATAATTTTAAGTCTATAGTAATCAAATATGTACTTGAAACAAGTCTTTTTAAATATCTATTTTTATATAGAATTAATCAAATAGCATATTAAGCAAAATAATTTGCATCACTTTGAATGTTTCATAAATTTTTTAACTTTCATATATTTAATAACTTTATTTTTATTTTTAAACATCTCAATTATTTCACCCTAAATAGAACCAAGTCAACCAGCAGTAAGATGGGTGGATGGATGGATGGACAGACAGATGGATAGATGGACAGACTGACTACCAGATACTTGTGTTCTTCCCCTCTCCCTTTCTCACTTTATTTTTTTGACTATGTGTATTTCTCAGTACACAGCCATATGACTTAAAGAAAAATAGGTATAATGTAAACACGGATCCAAAAAGAGCTAAAATCTTGAATTTCCCTTTGAATAAATGAATTTGATTTTGTTTTTAATTTCACAAGAAGTTCATATGAAGTCTTCATAAAACTCATATGATCACTGTAAATAAAAGAACACATTACTGTGCAAGGCAGCATTATAGGTGCTATGGGGAATTCAAAGGTACATTTTAAAATCCTTGTCCTCAAAAAACCTGTGATCTAGAGGAGATTTTATATCTATTTATAAATAATGATGGTAGAATGGTAAAAAGTATAAAAAAGAAGAGATATTCAGAAAAGAGAGGGAGAGATCTTTTTGAAAAAGAAGATTGAGGGGATAAATAAAAGGTTTTATGGAAGAGAATTCTATCTCGAAAGATAGAAAGAGATAGAAGTTGGGGATTGCAAGAAGTAAAAAGCAGGTAAGAAAGTGTGGGCATACTTGAGACACACTGAGTTCCAGAGTCTGGCCAAAGCACAGGTTACCCTTATAAGATAAAAGCCTTAAAAGGTATGTTGGGGGATGAATAGAGACTGGTTAATGAGTATAAAAATACAGTTAGACAGAAGGAATAAGTTCTAGTACGGAATTTAAGAATAAGTTCTAGAGTAGTAGTATGGTTTACAAGAATTTATAGTGTATTTTGACATAGCTAGAAAAGAAGATTTGGAATATTCCCCACACAAAGAAATGATAAACGTCTGAGGTGATGGATATTCCAATTACCCTGATTTGATCATTACACATTGTATGCAGGTATCAAAATATCACATGGACCCCATAAATATGTACAACTATATACCAATAAAAAATGAAACAGGTAGTTGGAGCTAAATTAGAAAAGTAGAAGCATAATTTGATAGTCAGTGGGGGAGTCACTGAAGGTAACTGATTAGGGCAGTGACATGGCCAACATTATGGGCACTGAAGATTAATTAAGCTGTGATCTATAGGTAAGCTGAAAAATGGAAAACACCAATTAGGATGATATTGTAACAGTCCAGGTGAACAGTAAGACTGAAATATAATGGTTTCAATGAAAATAGAAAATAAAAATAAATATTTAAGAGAGAGAACTGATAAAACTTAATGACTAGTTGAATGTAGTCACAGTCACAGAGAGAAGTTAAAATTGTTACCATGCTCCAAACCTTAAAAGCCAGAATAATGGAGATACCATCAGGGACGTCAGAAGGAGAGCAAGTTTCATTTCAGCTACACTGAGTTTTTAATGTCAAAAGATGTCTAAAGAGATTTAAACTGTACAATCAGAAATAAGGTCCTAGAGTTTAGAAGTCAGTGCAGCAAGATATAAATTTGTTCATTATCTGTATGTATTATATTTGAAAACACTGAAGTGAATGAGTGTCAAATGAATGAGAATGTCAAAAAAGAGGATGTGGGCTGGGTACGGTGGCTCACGCCTGTGATCCCAGCACTTTGGGAGGCCGAGGCGGGTGGATCACCTGAGGTCAGGAATTTGAGACCAGCCTGGCCAACATAGTGAGACCCCGTCTCTACTAAAAATACAAAAAATTAGCTGGGCATGGTGCTGGGCGCCTGTAATCCCAGCTACTCGGGAGGCTGAGGCAGGAGAATTGCTTGAACCCAGGAGGCGGAGGTTGCCGTGAGCCGAGATAGTGCTATTGCACTCCAGCCTGGGCAACAAGAGCGAAACTCTGTCTCAAAAAAAAAGAGGATGTAAATAGATTTAAATTTTTAGATGGCAGACATTTAATAAATACAATTGGTAGATTCATTCTGATCTCATAGCATTAAATACCATTTATAAAAATTCCAAAATCTGTGTCTCCATCTCATTGAATTCGAAATTCATATGTACAATTTCCTACTTTACTTTCACTTACGTATCTAATAAATAGGCTTTTCAATTAAAACACTTCCTAAATGAAACCCCTGTCTCCTCAATCTCAAATTACGCTTAGAGCCTTCCATATTTCTATAAATGGCAACTCCATTCCAAGTTATTCATGTCAAAACCATGGCACAATCTTTGTTTCTCTCTCTCAATCCTTATATCCAGTCCATAAGCAAATTCTTCCAGCTCTATCTTCAGAAAACTTTGTAACCAAAATCTGACATGTTCTCACCACTTCTACTACTACTACTCATCAATTCTCACTTTGTATCATTTTATAGCTTCCTGACCTTTCCCTGCTTTTGCCCTTGTTTCCATACAGTCTGTTCTCCACATAGCAGCCAGAATAATTCTTTTAAAACCTGTCAGATCATTTCAGTCCTTTACTTAAAACCTTCCAGAGGTTTCCCATTTCACTCAGAAAAAAAACCCTAAGTCCTTAATGATCTACAGGTCCCACATGATTTGCTCTCCATCCACCTCTTGGATTTAATCTCCCACCAGTCTCTCCTTCCTTATTCCATAAATCATACCAATTTAACTAATTTTCAACGAACATACTGAGTATGTTCCCATTTCAAGACCTTTTTGCCCTTTGCTTGGAACACTTTTCCCAGTAGCTTGTATATGCACCTCCTTCTGCTCAATGTTGACTTTTAGTGATGCCTTTCCTGACTCCTTGCAATACGGCAATCACCTTCCCAATCCAAGTATTCCCTATTTCCCTTACTCTACATTACTTTGCTGCATAGTATTTATCACCAACAATAAGTAAAAAATTAACATCAAGCCTGGGAAGATTCGGGCCCACCTGGAAAATGACCTTGGAGCCTGACTTCCCACAGCACTGTTTTCACAGAATTAAGGTAAACACAGAATGTTTTATCTATCTAGTCTGCTGTGTGAGACTGCACCTGAATTAGAGGAGCTATGAGTTAGCATACAGGCCTTGGGCCTCATGACTAGAATAATATAAAAGACTGGTGTGAAATTGAAGTTACAGCTCTTGTGTTTCAAGGTGACCTACATGCAACATGCCTTTTGTCCATAGCAGCCTGACATGTTCCTTGGGTGGCAGTGGCAAAAGAAGGTGTATTACTTGGGTAGTTGGTGATCCTCTCAATGAAACAAGGATGCTGTACCTACCATTATCTCTTATCTTGTATCATTCTACAACATAAAGGTAATATTAGATTTAAAATCATAATATGTGAGTCTGACTATTCAAGCCCATAACAACTGTTGTTTAGTGTACTATCTGATAAATTATACATTGATTTATTTGACTATTTTCAGTTTATCCCACTGGAACATAAACCATATGAGAATTTTTCATTCTTGTCCACTGTCACCACAGCCCAAAAGCATACCTGATATAAAATATAATACACGTACATATTTATATTAATATGTTGAATGAATTAATCAATCAAAGGAAAAATGAAGAAAGAATATCCAATAAAAAGTATCAAAGAGAGAAAAGGAAATCCAAAAATTACAGAAAAAAGATGGAAATAACCAATTATATCAGATGTTGCAAAGAGTCTTAATATGATAATAAATACAAGATACCCATAATGTTTGATAATTGGGAGGTCAATAACCTTGGAGAAAGTAAGTTTTAATAGAGTAGTGAGAAAAGCTAATTGCTTGAAAAAGAAAGAAAAGAATATCAGTGAGTAGTGCAGAAGTAACAGTAATTTCTAAAGAATAAATTGAGCACCTAAGAAAATAAGTTAGAGAAACTAAATACTGTACTAATGAGTTAACATGTTTTTAAAGGTAGCAAACTTCAAACAACTTACCAATCTCTTGCTCTGATGACAGAGGATTTAGATTTCTTGCAGAATAATGTTCATTAAACTGGAAAATAATTTCCATTAAATATTACTTGTGAAATCAGTAGGACAGTATATATAGTACATATATTTGAATCTAAAGCTTAGTTCTTCTAACACACAGAATTAAAGTAGACATATGGTACCTTTATATAGCACACTCTTATACTTAAAAAGATCTATCTTCAAAACCTGTCATTTACTTATATTAAAATAAGGTCTATTGATTTGATTCAGGCAAAATACACTGTACTAAAGATAGCTCTTACTTTAGAATCTTAATATGATATTTTGCTTTATTCTGAAAGCTTTTAACAAATCAGGTTGTTGGTATTTTTTTTGCCTATAAAAGTAACAGGAAGTGGATAGCTTCATGTCAGTTGAGATCAAGTTTTGCTGCCAAAAGTCTATTTTATCAGTAAAACAGGCTTTTAAAAAAAATGAGATCATGACAGCATAGTTTTCTGTGCACCTTTTTCCTCTTCACATTGCATTGTGAGCATTTGTCCATGTCATTATTCTTCTAAAATCTGACTCTTTCCATGGCTCTATAATATTCCTCCACATAGACAAACCAGACAGTTTCAACCATCCTTTAATACTGGACATGTAAGTTGTCCCAACTTTGTTTTTTATATAGAAGTCACATGTGAATAAACACTGTTATGCACAGATTTATGTTTCTTTGACAATTAATAAGGAAAGCTGTTTTCTCATAGATTTTATAAGCCACTTGAATTTCTTTTTCAGTGAATTATCTCTTTGTCAAATGGACTTTGCTCATTTTTCTATTGAGAAAGTAATTTTTTCCTTATTGGTACATATAAGCACTTTATAGTCTAGAGACGTTAATTAACTATTTGCAATCTTATTGCAAATATTTTACATCTTCGTCATTTTGCCCTTAAGATTTTTTAACATATAGAAGTTTAGATTTTGGGGTCGCTTCCAAGATGGCCAAATAGG
Source organism: Homo sapiens (assembly GCF_000001405.40). Lineage (NCBI taxonomy): Eukaryota > Metazoa > Chordata > Mammalia > Primates > Hominidae > Homo > Homo sapiens. The sequence continues at coordinate 60,443,073 of NC_000014.9, forward strand.
AAGAGCTCTGGTCTGCAGCTCCCAGCGAGATCTACACAGAAGACAGGTGATCTCTGCATTTCCAACTGAGGTACCTGGTTCATCTCAATGGGACTGGTTGGACAGTGGGTGCAGCCCACAGAGGGTGAGCTGCAGCAGGGCAGGGCGTCCCCTCACCCGTGAAGTGCATGGGGTTGGGGGATTTCCCTTTCCTAGCCAAGGGAAGCTGTGACAGACTGTACCTGGAAAAACAGTACACTCCCGCCCAAATACTGCACTTTGTCCAAGGTCTTAGCAACCAGCAGACCAGGAGATTCCCTCCCGTGCCTGGCTCGGTGAGTGCCATGCCCAAGGAGCCTTGCTCACTGCTAGCATAGCAGTCTGAGATTGACCTGTGAGGCTGCAGCCTGGCAGGGGGAGGGGTGTCTGCCATTGCTGAGGCTTGAGTAGGTAAACAAAGCAGCCAGGAAGCTTGAACTGGGGGAGCCCACCACAGCTCAGCAAGGCCTACTGCCTCTATAGACTCAAACTCTGTGAGCAGGGCACAGCTGAACAAAAGGCAATAGAAAACTTCTGCAGACCTAAATGTCCCTGTCTGACAGCTCTGAAGAGAGCAGTGGTTCTCCCAGTATGGCATTCAAGCTCAGAGAATGGACAGACTGCCTCCTCAAGTGGGTCCCTGACTCCCATGTAGCCTGACTGGGAGACATCTCCCAGTAGAGGCTGACAGACACCTCAAACAGGTAGGTGACCCTATGGGACAAAGATTCCAGAAGAAGGATCAGGCAGCAATATTTGCTGTTCTGCAATATTTACTGTTCTGCAGCCTCCACTGGTGATACACAGGCAAACAGGGTCTGGAGTGGATCTCCAGCAAACTACAACAGACCTGCAGCTGAGGGGCCTGACTGTTAGAAGGAAAACTAACAAACAGAAAGGAATAGCATCAACATCAACAAAAAGGACATCCACACCAAAACCCCATCTGTAGGTTACCAACATAAAAGACCAAAGGTAGATAAAACCACAAAGATGGGGAGAAACCAGAGCAGAAAAGCTGAAAATTCAAAAAACCAGAGTGCCTCTTCTCCTCAAAAGGATTGCTGCTCCTTGCCAGCAATGGAACAAAACTGGACAGAAAATGACTTTGACGAGTTGATGGATGCAGGCTTCAGAAGGTCGGTAATAACAAACTTCTACGAGCTAAAGGAGCATGTTCTAACCCATCACAAAGAAGCTAAAAACCTTGAAAAAAGGTTAGACGAATGGCTAACTAGAATAAACAGCGTAGAGAAGACTTTAAATGGCCTGATGGAGCTGAAAACCATGGCACAAGAACTTCAGGACACATACAAAAGCTTCAATAGCCGATTCGATTAAGTGGAAGAAAGGATATCAGTGATTGAAGATCAAATTAATGAAATAAAGCAAGAAGACAAGATTAGAGAAAAAAGAGTAAAAAGAAACAAACGAAGCCTCCAAGAAATATGGGAATATGTGAAAAGACCAAATATACGTTTGATTGGTGTACCTGAAAGTGACGGGGAGAATGGAACCAAGTTAGAAAACACTCTTCAGGATATTATCCAGGAGAACTTCCCTAATCTAGCAAGGCAGGCCAACATTCAAATTCAGGAAATGCAGATAACACCACAAAGATACTCCTCGAAAAGAGCAACCCCAAGACACATAATTGTCAGATTCACCAAGATTGAAATGAAGGAAACAATGTTAAGGGCAGCCAGAGAGAAAGGTCGGGTTACCCACAAAGGGAATCCCATCAGACCCACAATCCCATCAGACTAACAGCAGATCTCTCAGCAGAAACCCTACAAGCCAGAAGAGAGTGGGGGCCAATATTCAACATTCTTAAAGAAAAGAATTTTCAAGCCAGAATCTCATATCCAGCCAAACTAACCTTCATAAGTGAAGGAGAAATAAAATACTTTACAGACAAGCAAATGCTGAGAGATTTTTGTCACCACCAGGCCTGCCTTACAAGAGCTCCTGAAGGGAACACTAAACTTGGAAAGGAACAACCAGTACCAGCCACTGCAAAAACATGCCAAATTGTAAAGACCATTGATGCTATGAAGAAACTACATCAATTAACGGGCAAAATAACCAGCTAACATCATGACAGGATCAAATTCAAACATAACAATATTAACCTTAAATGCAAATGGGCTAAATGCCCCAATAAAAAGACACAGACTGGAAAATTGGATAAAGAGTCAAGACCCATCACTGTGCTGTATTCAGGAGACCCATCTTACATGCAGAGACACACATAGGCTCAAAACAAAGAGATGGAGGAAGATATACCAAGCAAACTGAAAGGAAAAAAACCAGGAGTTGCAATCCTAGTCTCTGATAAAACAGACTTTAAACCAACAAAGATCAAAAGAGATAATGAAGGCTATTACAAAATGATAAAGGGATCAATTCAACAAGAAGAGCTAACTATCCTAAATATATATGAACCCAATACAGGAGCACCCAGATTCATAAAGCAAGTCATTAGAGAGCTACAAAGAGACTTAGACTCCCACATAATAATGGGAGACGTTAACACAACACTGTCAATATTAGACAGATCAACAAGACAGAAAGTTAACAAGGATATCCAGGACTTGAACTCAGCTCTGCACCAAATGGGCCTAATAGACATCTACAGTACTCTCCAACCCAAATCAACAGAATATACATTCTTCTCAGCACCACATTGCACTTATTCTAAAATCGACCACATAATTGGAAGTAAAACACTCCTCAGCAAATGTAAAAGGACATAAATCACAACAAACTGTCTCTCAGACCACAGTGCAATCAAATTAGAACTCAGGATTAAGAAACTCACTCAAACCCCCACAACTACATGGAAACTGAACAACATGCTCCTGAATGACTACTGGATAAATAACAAAATGAAGGGAGAAATAAAGACGTTCTTTGAAACCAATGAGAACAAAGACAAAACGTACCAGAATCTCTGGGACACGTTTAAAGCAGTGTGTAGAGGGAAATTTATAGTACTAAAAACTCCCAAGAGAAAGCAGGAAAGATCTAAAATCGACACCCTAACATCAAAATTAAAAGAGCTAGAGGAGCAAGAGCAAAGAAATTCAAAAGCTAGCAGAAGGCAAGAAATAACTAAGATCAGAGCAGAACTGAAGAGCTAGAGACACAAAAAACCCTTCAACAAATCAATGAATCCAGCATTGGATTCAACAAAATTGATAGACTGCTAGCAAGACTAGTAAACAAGAAAAGAGAGAAGAATCAAATAGATGCAATAAAAAATGTTAAGGGGATATCACCACTGATCCCACAGAAATACAAAGTACCATCAGAGAATACTAAAAACACCTCTATGCAAATAAACTAGAAAATTTAGAAGAAATGCTTAAATTCCTGGACATATACACCCTCCAAAGACTAAACCAGGAAGAAGTTGAATCTCTGAATAGACGAATGACAGATTCTGAAATTGAGGCAATAATTAATAGCCTACCAACCAAAAAAAGTCCAGGACCAGACGGAATCACAACCAAATTCTACCACAGGTACAAAGAGGAGCTGACACCATTCCTTCTGAAACTATTCCAATCAATAGAATAAAAGGGAATCCCCCATAACTCATTTTATGAGGCCAGCATCATCTTGATACCAAAGCCTGGCAGAGACACAACAAAAAAAGAGAATTTTAGACCAATATCCCTGATGAACATCAATGTGAAAATCCTCAATAAAATACTGGCAAATCCAATACAGCAGCACATCAAAAAGTTTATCCACCACAATAAAGTTGGCTTCATCCCTAGGATGCAAGGCTGGCTCAACATATGCAAATCAATACACGTGATCCATCACATAAACAGAACCAATGACAAAAACCACACGATTATCTCAATAGATGCAGAAAAGGCCTTTGACAAAATTCAACACCCCTTCAAGCTAAAAACTCTCAATAAACTAGGTATTGATGGAACGTATCTCAAAATAATAAGAGCTATCTATGACAAACCCACAGCCAATATCATACTGAATGGGCAAAAACTGGAAGCATTCCCTTTGAAAACGGGCACAAGACAAGGATGCCCTCTCACACCACTCCTGTTCAATATAGTGTTGGAAGTTCTGGCCAGGGCAATCAGGCAAGAGAAAGAAATAAAGGGTATTCGAATAGGAAAAGAGGAAGTCAAATTATCTCTGTTTGCAGATGACATGATTGTATATTTAGAAAAGCCCATCATCTCAGCCCAAAATCTCCTTAAGCTGATAAGCAACTTCAGCAGTCTCAGGATACAAAATCAATGTGCAAAAATCACAAGCATTCCTATACACCAATAACAGACAGAGAGCCAAATCATGAGTGAACTCCCATTCACAAATGCTTCAAAGAGAATAAAATACCAGAAATACAACTTACAAGGCATGTGAAGGACCTCTTCAAGGAGAACTACAAACCACTGCTCAATGAAATAAAAGAGGACACAAACAAATGGAAGAACATTCCATGCTCATGGATAGAAAGACTCAATATCGTGAAAATGGCCATACTGCCCAAGATAATTTATAGATCCAATGCTATCCCCATCAAGCTACCAAAGACTTTCTTCATAGAATTGGAAAAAACTACTTTAAAGTTCATATGGAACCCAAAAAAAGCCCGCATAGCCAAGACAATCTTAAGCAAAAAGACCAAAGCTGGAGGCATCACACTACCTGACTTCAAACTATACTACAAGTCTATAGTAACCAAAACAGCTTGGTACTGGTACCAAAACAGACATATAGACCAATGAAACAGAACAGAGGCCTCAGAAATAACACCACACATGTACAACCATCTGATCTTTGACAAACCTGACAAAAACAGCAACGGGGAAAGGATTCCCTATTTAATAAATGGTGCTGGGAAAACTGGCTAGCCATATGTAGAAAGCTGAAACTGGATCCCTTCCTTACATCTTATACAAAAATTAACTCAAGATGGATTAAAGACTTAAATGTAAGACCTAAAACCATAAAAACCCTAGAAGAAAACCTAGGCAATACCATTCAGGACACAGGCATGGCCGAGGACTTCATGACCAAAACACCAAAAGCAATGGCAACAAAAGCCAAAATAGACAAATGGAATCTAATTAAAATAAAGAGCTTGTGCACAGCAAAAGAAACTATCATCAGAGTGAACAGGCAACCTACAGAATGGGAGAAAATTTTTGCAATCTACCCATCTGACAACGGGCTAATATCCAGAATCTACAAAGAACTTAAACAAATTTATAAGAAAAAAAATAAAAAAGTGGGCAAAGGATATGAAGACACTTCTCAAAAGCAGACATTTATGCAGCCAACAGACACATGAAAAAATGCTCATCATCACTGGTCATTAGAGAAATGCAAATCAAAACCACAATGAGATACTATCTCATGCTAGTTAGAATGGCAATTATTAAAAAGTCAGGAAACAACAGATGCTGGAGAGGATATGGAGAAATAGGAACACTTTTACAGTGTTCGTGGGAGTGTAAATTAGTTCTACCATTATGGAAGATAGTGTGGCAATTCCTCAAGGATCTAGAACTAGAAATACCGTTTGACCCAGCAATCCCATTACTGGGTATATACCCAAAGGATTATAAATCATGCTGCTATAAAGACACATGCACACGTATGTTTTTTGTGGCACTATTCACAATAGCAAAGACTTGGAACCAACCCAAATGTCCATCAACATCAATGATAGAATGGATTAAGAAAATGTGGCACATATACACCATGGAATACTATGCAGCCATAAAAAGGACGAGTTCATGTTCTTTGCAGGGACATGGATGCAGCTGGAAACCATCATTCTCAGCAAACTATCACAAGGACAGAAAACCAAACACCGCATGTTCTCACTCATAGGTGGAAACTGAACAATGAGAACACATGGACACGGGGTGGGGAACATTACATACTGGGGCCTGTCAGGGAGTAGGGGGCTGGGGGAGGGATAGCATTAGGAGAAATACCCAATGTAGATGACAAGTTGATTGGTGCAGCAAACCAACATGGCACATGTATACCTATGTAACAAACCTGCATGTTGTGCACATTACCCTAGAACTTAAAGCATAATTTAAAAAAAGAAGTTTAGATTTTGTATGTAATCAAACCCAATTATTTTCTTTTGCTTCTTCTTCCACCGTTTTCATGCTTAGAGAATCCTTCCTCCTAAGATTTGGTAAATATTCACCTATATTTCTTCAGAAATATATTGTTAACATTTTCTTATATAATTTAATGCATCTGTAACTTCTATTGACGTACAGTGTAAGATGAATGCGTAATTTACTCCTATTAATTTGTAGTCTATCATTATCACATTATAAAATCTTTGGTTTCAAGATTTTCTAGCCCATACCATTGATCAATCAGTCCTTAAAACCGTTATCATGCCCTTTATTACTCTAACCTTATAGGATGTTTGAATATTTAGAAAGTAAGTTTCCCTCACCAATCTGTTTCATAATATTTAGGATTTATAATTACATCCTCTCTTTCATTCCTAATATAAGGATTTTGTCAATTTTGTCAATTATTTTCAAATAATCAACTTTGACTTTGTTAATTTCCTCTATTGTTTGTTTTTCCATTTCACTGATTTCTCTTATTTTGTTTCTTCATTTTACTTCAGGTTTGCTTAGTTCTTCTTTCTCTAGATTCTCAAAATGAAATCTTAGGTCACTGATTTTAGGCCTTTCTTCTTTTTATTATGTAATTATTAGCTAAATTATTTAAAGCTATTTTTTGCTCTGGCTTTTGCAACATCCCATAATTTTTGATAGGCTGGATTTTCCTAATGCAGTTTAAAATCCTTCCTAAAAGGGAATCCACTGCCTTGAAGGGAAGGACCCAGTCCTGGCAGAATTAATCACCCACTGACTAAAGAGCCCTTGGGCCCTGAATAACCAGGAGTGATACTCAGGTAGTATGCTGTGGGCCTTGGGCTCTGAGAGGTGCTGGCTTCAGTTGTGACCCAGCACATTCCCAGCTATGGTGGCTATGGTAAAAGACCCCATCTGTTTAAGAAAAGCAGAGGAAAAAGTAAAGGGCATTTTATCTTGCACACTAGGTACCAGCTCAGCCACAGTGGAGTAGAACAAGCATGATCTTGGGGTCCCTGAGTTCAGGCCTAGGCTCTTGGACAGCATTTCTGGACCTTCCCTGGGCCAGAGGGGAGCCCACTACCCTGAAGGGTGAGATCCCATGCCTGGCATCATTCACTGAAGAGCCACTGGGCTTCGAGTGGATATCAGCAGTGTCCTGGCAGACCCCCACCATGAGCTGATGGTCGTGGGGGCCACAGGGAGAGGCTCCTCTGCCTGTGGAAAGGGAGGGAAGAGCAGGAAGGACTTTGTATTGTGGTTTGAGTGCCAGCTTAGCCACAGTAGAGTAGAACATTGGGCAAATTACTAAGGTTTTTGACTCCAATCCCAAAATCCTAGACAGCATCTCTAGACCTGCCTAGGGCCAGGGGAACTAGCCACCTGAAGGGATGGACACAAATCTGGCTGGCTTCACCACCTGCTGATCACAGAGCTTTAGGGCCTTCAGTGAACACAGCGGGTAGCCAGGTAGTGGTTACAGAAGGCCTTAGCCAAGACCCAATGCTATGCTGGCTTCAGGAATGGCCCAGTGCAGTCCTAGTCGAGATGGCCACACCTCCCCCCACTCCAGGCAGCTCAGCACAGAGAGAGAGGCTCCATTTGTTTGGGAGAAATCAAGGGAAAATAACAAGTCTCTGCCTGGTAATCTAGAGAATCCTTCCAGATCTTATCCAAGACCACCAAGGCTGTACCTCTCTGAGTCTGCAAACAGCACAGCGTTATTGGGCTTGGAGCCCAAGTCCCTTTGAATACTTGGAAAGCCTCCTCAAGAAAGACAGGCACTACAAGCCCAGACTGTGAAGACTACAGTAAATACCTAATTCTTCAATGCCTAGACACCAACAACAACTACAAGCATCAAGATCATCCAGGAAAACATGAACTCACCAAATGAACTAGAAAAATCACCAGGGACCAGTCCTGGTGATTTCTAACACCAGTCAGAAAGGCAATCATTAAAAAATCAGGAAACAACAGGTGCTGGAGAGGATGTGGAGAAATAGGAACACTTTTACATTGTTGGTGGGACTGTAAACTAGTTCAACCATTGTGGAAGTCAGTGTGGTGATTCCTCAAGGATCTAGAACTAGAAATACCATTTGACCCAGCAATCCCATTACTGGGTATATACCCAAAGGATTATAAATCATGCTACTATAAAGACACATGCACACGTATGTTTATTGCGGCACTATTCACAATAGCAAAGACTTGGAACCAACCCAAATTCCATCAATTATAGACTGAATTAAGAAAATGTGGCACATATACATCATGGAATACTATGCAGCCATAAAAAGGATGAGTTCATGTCCTTTATAGGGACATGGATGAAGCTGGAAACCATCATTCTGAGCAAACTATCACAAGGACAGAAAACTAAACACCGCATGTTCTCACTCATAGGTGGGAATTGAACAATGAGAACTCTTGGACACAGGATGGTGAACATCACACACCAGGGCCCGTCATGGGGTAGGGGGTGGGGGGAGGGATAGCATTAGGAGATATACCTAATGTAAATGACGAGTTAATGGGTGCAGCACACCAACATGGCAAATGTATACATACGTAACAAACCTGCACATTGTGCACATGTACCCTAGAACTTAAAGTATAATAAAAATAGAGAAATTTTAAAAATTAAAAATAAAATAAAATAATGGGTTAAAAGATAGAATCTCAGGCTGGGCATGGTGGCTCACGCCTGTAATCCCAGCACTTTGGGAGGCTGAGGCAGGCAGATAACGAGGTCAGGAGATCGAGACCATCCTGGCCAACATGGTGAAACCCCATCTCTACTAAAGTACAAAAAAAAAAAATTAGCCAGGCATGGTGGCACACGCCTATAGTCCCAGCTACTCGGGAGGATGAGGCAGGGGAATCACTTGAACCTGGGAGGTGGAGGTTGCAGTGAGCCGACATTGTGCCAACTGCAAAGACTCCATCTCAAAAAAAAAAAAAAAAAGATAGAATTTCAAGCCTCATGGTAACCACAATCGAAAAAGAGACAATGGATACACCAAAAATAAAAAGCAAGAAATTAAATCTCACCATCAGAGAAAATCATCTTCACTTAAAGGAAGACAGGAAGAAAGGAAAAAAGGAATGAGATCCTGTCATTTGCAACAACATGGATGGAACTAGAGGTCATTATGTTAAATGAAATAAGTCAGGCACAGAAAGACAAACAACATATTCTCACTTATTTGTGGGACCTAAAAATAAGAACAATTGAACTCATGGAGATAGAGAGTAGAAAGATGATTACCAGAGGCTGGGAAAGGTTGGGGGCGGGGGACTGGGGACAGGTGGGAATGGTTAATGGGTACAAAAACATAGCAAGAATTAATAAGATCTAGTATTTGATTGCACAATAGGGTGACTATAGTCAAAATAATTTAATTGTACACTTTAAAATAACTAAAAGTATAACTGGATTATTTGTAGGACAAAGAATAAATGTTTGAGGGGATGGATACTCTCCCTTTCTATGATATGATTATTTCACATTGCATGCCTGTATCAAAATATCTTAGGGAGCCCCATAAATATATACATCTACTATGCACCCATAAAAATTAAAAATAAATAAAATTTTTTTCTGATTTATCTCATGATTTCTTCTTTGATCTATGGCCTACATATTTAGGATTTTCTTAGATATCACATTGAGTTCTAATTTAATTCTGCTGTGGTCAGAGAACATACTCTGATTTCAATCCTTTTAAATTCATTAAGACTCATTTTATGGCCCAGAATATGGTGTATCTTGCTGAAGGTACCATCAGAACCTGAAAAGAATATATATGCTGCAGTTGCTGGATGTGATGTACTATAAAGGTCAATTAGATCAAGGTGATTGATGATGTTATTCAGATCTTATTAAAGATCTTTACTGATTGTGTTATCTAATTCTACCAGCTGCTAAAAGAGAAGTATTAAAACCTCCAATATGTTTGAATTTTTGTCTATTTCTCTCTTTAATTCTGTTACATTTTGTTTCATGTATTTTGAAGCTGTTATTAGGCTTTACACATTTGTGACTGTTATATCTTCCTTATGAATTGACTTTTTTATCTTTATGAAACGTCCCTCTCATTTCTAGTAATATTCTTTAAGACTACCAGAAATGATATTAATATAGCTACTGTGACCTTCTAATGCTTAGTTTTCATGATACATCATTTTCCATCCATTTACTGTCAACCCGTCTTTGCCTTTATATTTAAAGTGTGTTTCTTATAGATAGCTTATATTTGGGTCTTGCTTTTTTTTTTTCCATTCTTACAATCTTTGTCTTTTAATGAGTGTTAGCCCATTCACAAAATATAATTATTAAAAAGCACATTATTTGGTGTAAAGTTTATTTGTTTTATGATTTTTTTACTGTGTGTATTTTTTTATTGTTTCTTTTCTACCTTGTGGGGTTGAATTTTTTAGAATTTCGTTTTAATTTATCATCAATCTTATTTTTCAATATTTTCCTGATAGTTCTTGACCACTTTCCCCCAGGACAGTTATTAATTATTTTGCCAATCTCCTTCCCCAATCCCACCACCATAAAAACAAAACAAAAAATTAAATACAAACTTGCCAGGATTATAATTAGATTTGAATTGGACTATATTTATAAATTATATTGGGAAGAAATTTATCTTTACAATATTTTTTCCTATGCAAGTATTGCATGTGTTTATGTATTCATTAACTTTTTTCAGTAGTTTTGTAGTTTTCCTTATTCAAAGTGTACATGTTTCCTATTACATTTATATACATGCATTTTGCATTCATGTTATTATTGTAAATGAGAATTAAGTAACTATAGTCTACTTTCATGCCTAGCATACTCCTAGGAATTACTTGTTTTTAAAATAAGCATTTAAATAAAAAATGAGACAAAAGTTGAAGATGTAAAATACTATAACATGTATAGTACTATATCATCCATCAATAAATTTGTAATTTCAACAATTTAATGTCAGATATATGCAAATAAAATATTCTAATCCACATAAAATTGGCTAAATGTAATTAACTTAAATGAGCAATAACAATATTACTCATATCACATTAAAACTTATGTAGGATTATTAAGTGGTTGGTACTTTTCTAAGTGCTTTATGTGTATAAACTCTAATACTCACAAACCCTATGATAATAGTTATTATTTCATTTTACAGATAAGGAAACCAAGCCACTTACCCAAAATCCCACATCTGGTACACACCTAAGTAGTCTGGCTTCAGAGTCTAGTTTTAACCACTACACTGTAATGTTTCTACTTTTTGAATAAAGCATGTCTCAATTTTCAGCTTTAATTTCTAAATATAGAAATAAGCACTTTATCATGATTCATATCACTGAACAGTAGAAACCAATATTAGGTCTTTTAAAATTAACCAGTGATAATGCTACTATGTATACACATGTAGTTGAAAAGACCCATTTATAATATGGAACATTTTTTATGTTGAGAATTCTAGTTTGTCTGAAAGTTAGACACATTAACTATAAAGTCAAATTCATTTTTTAAACTGCCTTTAGCTGATTTAAATTATCCCTATCCTGAGATCCGTTTTTAATGAACAGATGTCAATATGAGGCATTCAAAGTTGAAAACAAAAAGGTAATAGGGAACTTTGTCATACCATCAATACTCAGAATTTTTTTAAATGCTTCTGTTGATAATCTGCCCCAAGACAGTTTTGTATTAAAGAACTAAAATTACTCAAAGTTTCACAGCAGAATTTTTAGAAATAAAACTTTTGGCTTCTCATATTACCTGATCTGATGAGATTTCTGTATCAAATACAGAAGAATCAAATAAATTCAATCCAGGTGATCTAGAAGTATAACTCATAAGAAAAGAAAGTCCAGGGGATTCCTTTTCTGTTTGAACTTCAGGTACTGCATTTCTATTTCTGTTACTGAGAAATAAGAAATTATCAAAATGTTAAAAATCTATTATTAAACACTGAATACTGGTAAGCATCATAAGCAACAGCATAGAGGTGAGAATTAGCATAGTAGGGAAATGTAGGAAGTAGTTATTGAAGTGACAATCCTATCGAGAAAGGATTGTATGAGGTGGAGACTAATGTTAAATAAAGTTAAATAAGGCATAACTTACTTATTCTTCACAAGAACCCTATGAAATAGGTACTATTACTATCATTTCCATTTTACAGTAGGGAATTTTGAAGCATAGAAAGGTTAAATGATTTGCTTAAAAGAATAATAAGTGCCAAAGGTGGCAGGTGAATGCAGCAATCACGATTCAAAGTCCAAGCTCTTAACCTTGACACTATACTGTCTTCAAGATTTTGAATGCCAGTTACAAGATTTTAGTGTTGATGAGAAGCCAGCCATTACAGTGATGTATAAGGAAGTTAAATTATAATATGATTTGGGAAAAATAATTAGACAAGACAGTTTATACCAGTGGTTAAAAGCATGGATTCTAGAGCCAGAACGGCCTGGGCTTAAATTTCTATTCTAATGTTGATTAGTTGTATCACCTGTGATTCTGTTTCCTCTTCTGTAAAATAAGGATAATAATGTACCTACACCTAATAAGGCTGTTGTGAATATTAAATGAGCAGTATTTATAAAATGTCTAGAGCAGTGCCTTGCACAGTTTGTTGTTTGTTAAATTTAATAGAAATCTGATGATACTGCCATAACTATCTCTATTACCATAAATGAGTCACTTAACTTTACAGATGATAGTTTTCTCATCCATGGGGAGAGGTCTTAGCGTATGAGCTCACATTATTTTACAGTTCTCAGGTTTGATGATGAGTTCCATTTCGAATGTGCTGTGCTTGAGTCAACAGCATGACATTCAAATCCATAACTCTTATTAGCAATTTAAAATACGGAAGTAGAGTACAGGTCTGATGCAAAACAACCCTGATGCAGTGAATTCTGCTTGACATATGTTTTAGAGAAACCTCAGGGTTGTTAAGGAAGATAATGGACTAAACATAAAGGTTAAGTGCAGCACTATTTTCTTGGCTGCAAACTACAAATACGTGGTTTCCAAAATTTAATAATCATGTTAGAGATATTTATGCCTAAAGAGCTTGCTTAATAAAAATGGCAAGTCTTGCTTCAGACACTACAACATATGAAGAAATGACTGATGGAATATTAATTGATGATAAGTCTACAATCTACCATATGTGACAACAGCTTTTTAGCTTGACTTTTTTTTTTTTTTTAATAGAGTCTCACTATGTTGCTCAGGCTGGATTCAAATTCCTGGGCTCAAGGGATCCTCCTCCCTTAGCCTCCCAAATAGCTGGGACTACAGGCACATGCCACTATGCTAGGCTTAGCTTGACATTTTAAATTTTCTTTATCCTTTGGAAAAATCTCAAATCTACACACTATTGCTTTATAAGTACGTGGGATTTATGCCATCTTCAGCTAAATGTTGCAGGAAAAATGGGGAAGAGGGTCTATGAAACAGGAACAGCAGAGTATTAATAATTGTTAAAACAGGTATTAATAATTGTTAAAACAGGGTGATGGGTAAATGGAGGTGTGTTATATTAGTCTTTCTCTTCTTTGCATGTCTGAAATACTACATAATAAAAACTTGTTAAAGGTACTAAGCATTTTACTATTCCTATCAGTTATTTATGTAATTCAACATACAAATAATTTAACAATAGTTATTAATTAAAATCCTACATTTCGAACGGGGGGGTTTTAGGGAATTTTATTTTCTCCAATGACTCAGGTGCTTTCACAGCTTTGGGAGTTCCTAAAAATATAGGAATTTCAGACGTTCGTGGAAAATTCTCAGCTCTCTCTTCTACTTCATCACTATCATTTTCTACTGACTTCCCAAAATGTTCAGTATATATAGCCTGCAAATTCAAAGTAACAGAAAACTATAAAACAAATGCTGCTGCATTAATGACATACATAAAAATGCATGAGGTGGAAAATACCTTATTAATCCATGATGTTAACATTGCACAGACAAAATAACTGAAATAAGAATAACTGGTGAAAGTAATACTAAAACATATATCAAAATATAGAAAAATAAATATTTATCCAATTTTTTCTTTTCTTTCCAGTTCCATCTTCCACTTCTACCTGAAAAAGTAAATGACAGCCAGAACATATTGGAATTGATGAAAAAAAAGACTAGGAATGATTTTTCTTTTAAAATTTCCACAATATGCTCTTTGGGTGAACAATTACATAGGCTATCTCCTTGAAAGTGAAAAATGATGTACTTTTAAGCAATCTTGCTCTCATTGATTAATTACATTTTCACACTTTTTTTGACCCTATAAATCTGTTATGCTACTTTCTCTACAATAATTGAGAATCTGAATACTAATTTTCCTTTATGTCATTTTGTAGAATAGTGATATGATTTCTCAAATATGCTTGTTATGCCAAATCCCATTACAGAAATAATTTGGGTCTCTTCATCAAAAAAATTAAAATGTGCTTATTACGTGTGTTTTTTACAGCAAAATACTACTTGCTGTTTCTCTTATTTTAACCTTTAATAGTTAGACTGAACTTGATATACATTGTTTACATCTATCATCAGTAAAGTGTTCCACTATTTAAATAATGCTTTCAAGATACTTTTATGGCAACCACTGCTCTTGAATTGTCGTGGCGAATCATTCAATCTTACCAAACAAAATTATTTTCATCAATCATTATTTAGTTATAGTCAATATATATTGTCACTTACTGATGATAACTTTTTGTATATGTTTTTTTAATTTTTAAAAAAATTTATTGATGCATAACTGTACATAGTTTTGGGATACATGTGATAATTTAACACATTCATGTAATTTGTAAATATCAAATCAGTGTACTTGGGATATCCATCACCTTAAATATTTGTCTTTTCTTCATGCTAGAAACTTTGAATTATTCTCTTCTAGCTATTTTGACAGGTACAATAGATGGCTGTAAGCCGTAGTCACCATACTGATCTAACACAAGGCCTTATTTCTTCTCTCAAACTATATAGTTGTATCCATTAATCAGCTTCTCTACGTTCCTTCTTCCCCACTACCCTTCCTGGACTCTGGTAACCACCAATCTATCCTGTATCATCTTGAAACCCGCTTTTTTAGCTCCCACATATGAGTGAGAAGATGTGATATTTGTCTTTCTGTACTTGGTTTATTTTGCTTAACATAATGACCACCAGTTCCAACGATGTTGCTGCAAATAACTAAATTTCACTCTTTTTTATGGCCGAATAATATATTTTTGTATATTTTCATATAAAATTTTTGTGGCTTCATCTTTTAATCTGAAAAATAGAATCTGTAACTCTCTAGAAACCTGATCACCAAGCTAACAACATCTCACATAAATCACTGTACTAAATCTGAAATTTAAATAGACATAATATTTTAAATTGGAATTTTTGCTTAGAAATTAGAGATCAAACATTTGACTTACTTGTGAAGTACATTTTGATTCTCTTACTTGTCTTACTGTCCCTTTATCTCCATACTCAGCATCTGTTGTCATATGAGAACAAACTATTTTTCTTTTTGTAATTTTATTGTAAAATAAAACATAGTCTCGCCATTTGAAATTGCTAATATTTAGCTGTTTTAACCTACAAAAATGGCAACTTCATATGGTTCAACATAATACATACAGATAAGAGAATAAAACATAATATGAACAGTTTAACAAACAAAATTATAAAGAGAATACCCATGTTTCTTTACCCAGGGAAAGAAATACAACATCATGAGCACTCTAAAAGGTTTCATATTCACCATGTCTTGCTCCTCAGAGGTAATCACTATTCTGACTTTTGTGACAATCATTTCCTTAGTTTGCTTTATATTGTTTTATCATCTAAATAATATAGCCTATTTTTCCTGTTTTAAATGTTATATAATAAAATAACATATGTATGCTCTTATGTTTTGGTTTTTGTTTTGCATATGCTTGTGAGATGCATCCATATTATTGCACAAAGACACAGTTCTCTTATTTTTACTGATGTAAAGTATTCCATTGCACAAACACAATACATCTATCCATTCTACTGTAAATGGATATTTGAAGTGTTTCTGCTTTCATGTACAACCAAAGATATTATGAACATTCTTTTACATATATCCTTGCATGTATGTACTTCTATTTCTCTAGGTATATACCTAGGATCGGAACTATGAGGTATGGGGTATGTATATCTCTCATTTTACTAGATGCCAAATTTTTCCCAACGGTTGTACCAATTTTTCGTGGTAATTTGTCATTCTGAATTACTCCAGGAAATCATTCATTATCACCAGACAAAATGATTAGCTCCAATTATAATTTAGGTATGGTCTCAATATGTAATTTATTAATGGAGTTCCCACCAATAGTTTATGGAGAATTCCTATTGTCCTACATTCTCCTACTTAGTATTGTCAGACTTTTTTAATTTTGCTAATCTGGTGGATGTGTAATGATACCTCACTGTAGTTTTATTTTGAGTTACCTGATTTTCATATGTTTATCTGCCACAAAAGATTCTCTTTTCTAAAGTGTATGCTTTTATACTTTGCACATATTTTTAATTGGGTTGTCTGCTTTTTTGTTCTTCATTTGTAGAAGTTCTTTACACATTTTGGAAACTACTCTATTGAAAGTTTTACGTACTTCAAATATATTATTTGCCCTTGTACTCTTTTTATGGTATCTTTTGATAAACAGAAATTCTTAATTTTAATATTGCCAAATTTCTCCATCTTTCTTTCATGATTGGACTTTTTAATGCTTGAGAAATCCTTTCCTATCTTGAAGTCATGAAGATGTTTTTCTATTTGATCTTCTGAGAGCTTTATAGTTTTTGTCTCTTACATTTAAGTCATAGGTATTATTTTTACCACATATTAATTCTTCAAAAGCTGGGTTTGAAAATTATTGAAAAAAATTTTAAGTTCCAAAATAATTGTATTCATTCTTGGGTATGAAGCCTCACTATACATGCTCAACAGCACGTAGGGCTATGTGAGATATATTCATTTCCCCATGTTCCTAGAGATTAGCTATTCCTCCTTGTCTAACACTCTGTCAGTTTGGCATATATAGATTATAAACAAGTAAAACAGATCACCTGCACATGTAATATATAATTTTTTTCTCCCAGAAGGAATATCTGTGTGGAATAAGCATATTGTGTTGGATGAATCCTATACTGAGTGAGAGAAAAAGACTCATAGTATATTAACATTCTAAATATATATCTATTTCATGCTGTCAGAATAAGGCATTTTTAAAACTTCAAAACAAAAGTCAGTTATCAGACAAAAAGAGATGTAGACTTTTATATACTTTAATAGAGCAATTGTTATGCATTATTAGTTTACCAAAAATATATATCCATCTGTGTGGTATACATTATATATACATTCACTCACATGTGATTATGTTAATATACATATACATACATGTATACACATGTGTGTGTATATACATAGAGAGAATGAGTTCATATTTTCAAGGGTGTGCCAAAGTTAGAAAAGCTAGATGACTTGGGGATGATAAATTCATATATATATCCTGTGATCCTTCGGTAACTTTATTCAAAGAAAATAGTCCAAGGTATTAAAAGATTAATGTAAAAGAATATAGAGGCATTATTTATAATAGTAAAAGAACTGAAAAAAAACCAAAATATTCCACATGAAAGAATGACTAAGTAAATTATGGCATATCCACACAATGGAACATTATACAGTCATTACAAATAAAACCTATTTACTGACATAGAGAAATAACCTCAACAGTATATCAAGTGGGAAAAAAGAATAAAAAATTATGTATATGATTCAAACTTGGAGGGAAAAAGAATAAAAATGCATAGAAAAAAATGGTATGCACCAGTATTTATGATGTTCAGTTATGTCTGAGTAGTGATATTTTTGTTTTCTTTATATCTTTGTTTTCCAAATATTCTACAATAAAATGTATTTGTTCTATATTTAGGGAAGATGTATTTTAAAGCCAGGCGTGCATGGTCAGTTAACCAGAGATGCAAATAATCGAAACAATTTATTTGACTAATGTAAAAACCTGATATAATTTGTTACCCCGACTTCTTAGAAGAAAAATATAAACGGCAAATACCTTTATCCCCTTTTTCCGACCACTGATTGGAATTTGATTGTTTCTGTGGGGTTAACAATCTAAAATGGAATAAATATAATTTTTGTATTTTTTCTGAGTTGATATCTATAAATTATTTCAGAGATTAAAGCATTTTCTTATTTTAAAAAGTTACCTGACTTGCATAAACTTTTGTGAACTTGTGATAGTCGTAATATGTGAACATTTTGAATGGTTATCCACAGCAGAGTCATTAAATATCTGAAAGAAAGAAATTAAGCATCTGACTTGGCTACACAAAGCAATAAAAATTTTTTGCTTGTCGTTAGCAACTCAGAACTCTCATTTCATTAGTATTTCATCCTTTCCATCATTACCATCATTATCAACATCAACAACTACACACATTAACTGAAACCACTACATACAAAACATTAAGTTGAATATTGAGAAACAAAAAAGTTTAAGAAATTAATGTTTTTGACAAGTATAGTAATGATTTGTAGTAGTATTTCTGTATTTAAGATAAACCTTTTAAAATTTATACCACCCATATTCATGACTCATCAACTAAATGTTACCATTTTCTCAACTGATTATCTGATTTCTGTGTCCCTCCATTCTCTATAACCTCTCAAATTTAACACAGGAAAGCAAAACAACAGATTAAAAGATTAAAAAGCTGAAACTTTCCTTTTTATATACACATAAAAGAGCTATTATTCCATTTTAACTTTAAATTGTTTAATATTAACATCTAGCTGGGAGTGGTGACTTATGCCTGTAATCCCAATACTTTCAGGGACTGAGGCCGGAGGATCACTTGAGCACCAGGAGTTCAAGACCAGCCTGTACAACATAGTGAGACCCCATCTCTACAAAAAATTAAAAAATTAGCTGAGTTTGGTAGCCTGATGTCCTAGCTACTGAGGGGAGAGGGGAAGGGAGGGTGGGGTTGAGGTGGGATGATCCATTGAGCCCAGGATTTCAAGGCTACAGTGAGCCATGATCGCGCCACTACACTCCAACCTGGAGGTGACACGGCAAGACTTTGTCTCAAAAACAAATTGTTTAATATCAATATCTAAACCATTATTTTATTAACGTTTCTTTCAAGCCTTTTGTTCTCCTTGAATCACTCATTTTAAAAAGTCCCTGCTTTTTGTTATTTGACTCAAAATCAAAATATAGTTTTAACAGAAAAGTTTATCTCATTTATTTTTGTTATAACAGACATTGATCTTAATTCTGTCATCTTACTGTGCTCTTCAACTATAAGAAAAAGTGTCAACCTCCTTTAAAGAACAAGTGATGCTACTGTTTTGATGTATGCTTTAAACCAAGCTTGTTCAACCCACGGCCTGCAGGCTGCATGCAGTCCAAAACGGCTCTGACTGCGGCCCAACACAAATTTGTAAACTTTCTTAAAACATGAGATTTTTTTCAAGGTCTTATTTTATTTATTTATTTATTAGCTCATCAGCTATCGTTAGTGTTAGTGTATTTTATGTGTGGCCCAATACAATTCTTCTTTTTCCAGTGTGGCCCAGGTAAGCCAAAAGATTGGACACACCTGCAAGGAGAATACATGTCTCTATATGTCTCCTGGTACAAATACCTGTATAAATATTTCAAATATTTCTTTCGAGTAGATGTCAAGCAGTAGAATTGCTAAGTATATACATTTTTATTTGTAATAAATTTATACTGTGAATCAGTCCTCCAAAGTGCTTGTACCAAATTACACTTCCACTATTCTTGACCTCACTAAATGTTACCAAGCAAATATTTTAAGTCTGCTAACCTGATAGGTAAAACCAGGCACTTCAGTGGTTTAATTTGCATTTCCCCATACTCCTGGGGTCTGGCATCTTGTTATGTTTAGTGATCCTTTGGCTTTCCTTTTCTATAAACTGCCTTCTTATTTTTTGTCCATTTTTATTATCTCTTTATTAATTTGTAAGAGTTACTATGTACTTCTTTATATAGTATACATTGTGGATACCAATCTTTTGCTCATTCTGTTATTGTCTTTTAACTTTGTTAGTGTCTCTTATCATATATGTTTTTTATTTTTATGTAGTCCATTGATCACTTTGTCTTTTTCCTTCACCACACTGTTATAATTACTATGTTTTGATAATATTTACAAATGTTTCGGGTGATGGAAATATTCTGGAATTAGAGTGATAATGGTTACACAACCTTATGATATACTAAAAACCACTAAATCTACACTTTTAAGTGGTAACTTTCATGGTATATGAATTATACCTCAATGAAAGAAGAAAAATAATGAACATTTTGACATATGGACATACAGATCCCCCTCTTTATCTTGCTAGTTTTTTGGGAGAGGGCTATCTTTGTGTTTGACTTGTATTTTTTAAATCATGGTAAGTGAAAATAGCACTTTTTAGAATTTGTTGAGATATACTTTTTATTCTAGTAATGGGTCATTTTTGGTGAATATTGCAAATAAAAACTTAACTGTATTCTGTGTATGTTGGGCACAAAGTTTGCTAATTGTGCTATTCAGATTCCCTAAATCCTTATTTATTTTTCCCCTATTTGATTTACCTCTGTGGCAGAAACTGCCATTTGCCTATCCTATCCAAAATCTAATTTCTCCTTGTGTTCTACTTTAAAAAACAAAGAAACAAACAAAAAACCCTGTTTCTCAACCTCTCCTGCAGATAGAGGTACCCAAATGACCAAGTTCTGGCCAATGAAATGATATCATAAATTGTTTACGGAGCTTCTAGGAAAAATCCTTAAAAATGGGGCTGACTCAGCTAGCCCTTCTCCCCTTTTTCTTTCCTGCCTGGAAGGCAAATTTACATGGTTACCTTCTGACCATGAAGTGACCTAGAGGTAAAAGCATAGCATGAAAAATAGCAGGAAAAGAAAACATAGATGAAGCTTGAGAAATAATGGCATTGTTGAGATGATGCTATCAGTCCTGAATCTGAATGACCTACTTTAGAATTTTATGGCAAGTAAGAGAAAAACAAACGTTTATCTTGTTTAAGATGCTATTATTTCACTGGTTTGGTTTTGTATTATTTCACATGTAGCCAAACTCAACTCCTAAACTCACAATCAGTACTCTTTTTGGAGAGAGCTATATTCAGCTTCTTGTTTTAACTGTGTATTCAACCATTTCTTTGAAAGTCTGTCAAACTCTGCTTTACATATTTTGAAACTTGAAATAATTTAGTGTATTGTGGTTTTTATAATTTCTTGGTAAATTGTTCTTTTTAAAAATATGAAATATATTTACCCCATTAATGCTTTTCACCCTGAACTCTATTTCGTACAACATTGTTACATCTGCCTTGTTTTCGTTTGCATTTGCCTGATATATTTTCTTCTTTTTTTCAGCCTCAATGTCAAGTTGTTTCCGCTCTTCTGCTTTAATAGCATATACCTGTATTTGTTTATATATCCCATAGAAGTAGTTCTGTCTTTTAATGGGAGTTTAAACCAGTCACATTTTTGTGGTTACTAATTTGTTCAGAACTATTTCTGGCACCTTATTCGTTTTCTATTTACAATGCTTTCTAACTGTTTTATTTTTACCCCCATTACTGTCTTTGTTGGTCTAATTAATTTTGCCTTATCTTTTTTCTTCTACTGTTTTAAAACTAACACATTCCATTTCTCTTCTGGTGGTTACCCTTAAATGTTTAATATGTATGCATAAATTTACATTTTTCCAACAATGTATAGAGTTCATCAGCGTTCATATCTTCTCCCTACCTCTATCCTTAAATAAAAAATAGAACTCTGGTAAACTTTTATTTTTCTCATTTATCTTTCCACCCTTATCACATATTGACATCATCTGGAATTTCAGTACCAGATTTAAAAATTTTTATAAGTTATACATATTTACACTTGAGTTTCACTAATTACTTTGGTCACCACTACCAGTGGAAGAACAATTATATTTTTCATTGAGGCTTTCCCTCTGGACTATTTTCAGGAAGAATGGGGAAAGATAAAAAAGTGTGCCACCAGCAGTTAGCTCTCTGGGTGGTATGCTCCTTGTTCTTCATGGGCATCAAGAACCACCCAGGGGACCTGCCTATCTCTCTCACCTAAACTTCCATATTCACTGCTTCCACCTGGAGACAGTCATTCCATTGCTGATGCCTGGCCAAAGATACAGTGGATATAAGATGAACAGGGGGTTAAGTAAACTAACTACCACTGAGGTAACGCAACCAATTACCTTACTCATCATCCGTATACCTTTATCTTGTAGAACGGTATTCTCCTATGCATGTCCTGGGCAATAATTTCCCTCTTCAATCCAATCCTGCTATTTTCCTTCAGGGATTTCTCACAGTTTTGGATCTACTATGTACAGAGCTTGGTATTTGAAAATATCTTTTTCTATTATTTTTAGGGATAAGGGGACAGGTTACAGTATATAATCAGAATGCCATATTGAAACACCTTTAAATTTTTTAGACCTTGAGTTTGCACTAATGGCTGATTTAATAAATTTATAACACACACACACACACACACACACACACACACACACACACACGTCTGTGTCTTAAGGGCAGTACATTCATTATTACATTTAATGCAAGCAGGTATTTAATTTATACTACTAAAAGTGAGACACCTACCTGTGTATCATTTTCTTTTTGTCTAAAGTCAATATTGGCAAGCTTTGACTGCTTCGCAGAACTTTCTTCTTTTATATCTAGATTATTAAATAGTACTACTTTAAATCAATGCTGGAAACAGAATCAAGTATCTTCCCCAATGTTTAACCTAAACTTGTAATTTAGAAAATCAAGTCTACATGAATTTTTAATTTAAATTAAAATACGGAATTATGAAATTATTTTAAAACTCTTAATTCCTTACTATATAATAGCTTTACAATAACTATGAAGATGAAATGACAAAAGGCCAACTGACAAAACTGTACCTTTATAATGGGTTACCAAAGAAGACAGAGTGGTTGAGAAGACAAAGAAACCAGCCAATGTAGTTAATCTAATATAATGTATTAGGTTGGTGCAAAAGTAATCATGATTTTTGCCATTACTTTTAATGCCAAAACCATTATGTAATGGTAAATGCCATTAAATTTTAATTAAACGCAATGGCAAAAACCATGATTACTTTTGCACCAACCTAATAGTTAATTTAATCTGCAGAGCCACTGAATGAAACTTGATTCAAATATCTCAGTGACTAAGTTATAGATACTATTAGCATAAGTCTTTTACCTGCCTAAGTCACACATATTGATAATCAACTCCTCAAATGAAAAATATGTAATTTTTCCTCCTCCTCTAACAGCTGTGCAACCAGGCCAGAACACTTTTTTTGAAATTTATTGTGTGAATAATTCCTTTCTCAAAGAGAAAAAAGTTACGTATAGAAGACATATTTTGTTTGCTCTCAGAAAGATTCAAAGCAGTACTCTCTTGAGTTTATAGGTCTCCAGTATTGTTTTTACTTACACCAAATGATAAATAAAATTGCTTCCTTCTATTTCTTCTGTGTGTTTGCAAAAAAAATGATGTTTTTGAATAACAAACAGATATTATACCTGCAACTCTTGGTTCTGAAGAATGCATCTTTATTGGTCTTACTAATTTCTGAGATTCATAAGGAAGAAATAATTGACTGCTTTGAGTTTTATTCAATGTAAGTACATGCTCATCTTTTCCAAAAATTCTAAAGAGAAAGGTGAATTACATTAAATATTAGATAAGTTAAAATTAACATATTTTAAAGCTAGGAGGCATATTTAGATACTATATAATAAAACCCCTCGTTTTGCAGATAATAAAACTGAGTTCCAAAGAATTTAATAGACTTGCCCAAAATGACTGAATTACTTAGTAGTGGTGTCAGAGCAAAAACACACTTCCCCTGATTAAGTTCAATGCTCTTCTCAATATAGTCCACTCTTATTTTTAAAATATAATCATTGCAAAAGACTTCCTACACATGTCAAAAACATTTTAAGCCAAAACTTGTAACTACAAATAGCATGCTTCAGATTTCATGGTACTTTAAACTTTAAAAAGACATATTCAGAAATAAATCAACCAACATGAATACAGAAATTGTTAAAACAGTATTATAATCATAAATGGGTCTTTTAAGTTTTTTACTGAAAGAATAGTTTTCACTAAATTTTATCTAAATTGAAGAAATAGAATAAACAGTGTCAGAATATATATTGAGTTAAAAATGACTAAATATTTATATGTTTCTGTCAATACATGGAATTTTTCTTAAAGGCGGTCAATAAAGTAAAATTCTGTCTATTTACCTATTTTTTCAATTAACTTCATTATAAAATTAAAGACACACTTGCACTGAATGTGGTACATGGGAGTGGAGGAATCAAGAAAATAACACATCCAAAAAAAGTAGGATCAGGGAAATTAACCCGACAGAAGAATGTGTTGAAAAATCAGATTAAGGGCCATGGAACTTGAGGAAAGGAGTTTCAGAAGAATGAAAAAGGATATAAGTAGGGGGAAAAAGTAAAAGCTGGTCAGAAATAGCAATAGTAATACATCTATTTTTCTGTCATATGATAACAGGCAAAGTCCATCTATTTTTTTTTTTGGCCTCTATCACTGATCTCTATTTTATCGCCATTAAAACAAAAGACAAGGAAATATGATGCCACACATTTAGTAGCATGCTTTGACTCATCTTCACTCTATAGCAAAGGAAGAACTGGTCAAGGTGGACAGGGTGATAAAAAAGTAAATACCTTGCTATTCCCACCATTGTTTCTGTTTTACTCCTATTGCTGGCCCATCATGGAAAACACTGGATGAATTATACAACTGACAGGTTCTAGAACAGCAGATGTGCTGCTGCTACTCTATTTCTCTTTACACATTATCCTCAGCCTTACTAAATAACAAGCAGATTTTAGTATTAGCTCATAATATTTAATAATATTTTTCATAAGAAATTAATAGAAAATAGCCTGCACAACAAAATTTACAGATACTGTGTAAATATTAGTGGTTTGGGATGGAATATAGAATCAAACTTTTAGATGCAAAATATCTGTTCACATAAAATTTAATTTTAAAGGTTACCTATACCTTTCTTTCAGTTCTTTTCTGTTTTCTGTATTTTTGTTCTTTTCTTCCAGAGTTTCTGAAAGAGCCTTAGTTTCATTATGCCTAGATATCTGCTAAAAAGACAATTGGGAACACAAAACAAAATAATTACTTGCAAAGCAGTAAAAAAAGATATGCTTTATCTTATGTTTTTTCTATATAATCATAAGATTCATATTTTTGATAGCATTTACTATCTTCTATTTACAGTTATTAAAACAAAAACAAAATTAACAATAAATCACACCCGTTTAACTTTTCCTTACAATTCCATTGGCAAATGTAGATTTTAACAAACTCCCATCTTTTTAAAAACAGATAATTATAAGCAAAGTAGACATTGATTCCTTACATTAAGGACAGTTACCATATATTTTAAAGGAAATGGCATCTACTTTCTTCTGTTTACTAAAATGATATTACTGTTATTTGGTACCTCATACTTAATGAAAGATAAGTATACAGTATTTAACATAATTTTCAAAAATTTAGAAAATCAGGTATCATAGTCAAATTTTTCTCAGAATTTGGAAGCGACTTTGATGGGTTATCATAGCTATGTAAATAAAAGCCACAATTTCATGGATGACATCCAAATGTTTCCAAGAAAAGTTTAAAGGCTAAACTAGTTCTAGCCTAGCTCGCTAAAGATTATAGTCATATATTTTTCAAGTTTAAATTCTTTATTTACTACCTTTTTAAAAAACACTGGCGTAGATCTTTTAATGCCTTTAAAATCCTGTTACTATGTTGCATCTTATTCCTTCCTCATGTTCTCTCCTCAGACCTCAAAGAAAGCTAAACTATTCCCCAAAATATATTCAGTACCTAAATATATATATTAAATTATATACAAATTAATATAAAATATATTAATAAAATTAATAAAAAATATAAATTAATATATTCAGTACCTAAAATACCTTTTGGCTCCAAAGGTAATCTAAATTATCTTAAACCTTTCTCCACATTAGGCTCTCTTAAAAATAGCTCTTCTAAAACTGTCAACTAACATACCATTATACTTATACATTAATACACATATTAGAAATATATAACAAAATATATACCTGGTTTAAATAATTAATTTCTATTTCCATTTCATCTACTTCTTTCTTCAATTCGGATGAACTTTTGGTAAGATTGCTGGCATGTTTAAGAATATCTTGTGTTTCACATCTCAAATTAACACTTTTTATGTTAAGGAACTATGTCATATAAGTAAATTTTATATTTATAATATATGTGCCATATCAGAAATGATTAATATTATGTGACATCATTTATATGTATGTTTCATATAAACAGTAAGCAATATTAAAAACAGTATCTGAAAACAGGAGAATAATATAAACATTTGGCAGACTAACAGATAATTTATTGTTTATGTTATATACTGAGCTTAAAAAAACATTTCATACAAAATATTTGTTAGGATTATTTCAGTTAAGTATTTTCACAGGGTAGTTTTTTTTTTTTTTTTTTTGCTTTTTAAATCAAAGTTCATTGTGTCACTTGGCATAACTAATAAAACATAATTCAGGCCCAAATTTAACTTCTTATGCTTCCATTATTTATTTGTTCAAAGACAATATTTAAAGTATACCCATTTCAAGCCAACAACAGTATGCTGGAGAAAAACAAAATCGACCAAATTTCCCTTTTCTTGCTCTGTAAGGCTCATCAGTGTACCCTACAGAACTCAAAAGACAGGCAGATCTTCGACTTGGACTTTCTACTTGAACTGGATTTGTGCCCAATTTCAAGTAAAAAATCCTCAGCTATTAATACATTCCACGTGGTTATTAGCTAATACAATGTCCTAAATTATAATCCATTTAGGAGAATTTGAAAATGATAGAATAGTGACAGTTAACAAGAATTCCAGAGAAGATTAATCAGGGCTTTCCTATTCTGCCTTAAAATATGCATGATTTATATGCTAGAATATAAAATTTCAAGTGAATCATGATTTATAAGTCTATTATTATCAAGTTTCCATTAAAATGTTAGGTACAGATAATTAAATCCTAATCTTCAAATCTTCCTACCTCCATTCACCTCTTCCTGTTTGTCATGCAACCTTATATGTCATCCCATTCCACATCCAACTCCCTAAACCCTTGCTATACCAGCGTCTACTAACTTTGGCCCCTTCCCACTGAGAAGTTAAAGCGCAAATGGGCAGCAAATGAACAACAAAAAACAGAAGAGACTAAAACCAAAACATGGAAAAAGCTAGCAGCAGAAGAGTTAAAAGGATGGTTTAGAATGAAGCAGACAGAAAGCAAGGTAGGATGTGGGGATAAAGAAGACTTAGTACAAACAGTGGAGTTATAATCTGATAGGAAAGCATATGAAGGATTGTGGAGGTTGAAAGAGGATTAAAGTTTCAAGTTCATCATCAGGGAAGATCTCTCTGACAAACAGGTGAGACTTAGACCAATTAAGAATTACTTAGGCATCTATTACAGTGGTACTGTATTAGAATTATTTATTTACATGTCAGTCTTCCCTACTAAACCCAGAGCTCCTTGGAAGAGAGCTCTGTATCGTCTTCAGTATTGCCTGGCATAAGGTAGGTTTCCAGTGATGAATGAATAAATGTAACTCACCTCCTTTGCACCTTCCATTCTAACAAGTAATAAGCAATTTAACTGGAATTTTCTTTGGTAAGACAGACCAATATAACATTTTCATTGGTTTGGTTCCTAAGACACGCCACTTAAACCCAAATACATATGCCATTTTATTCTCACCAAAGTTGCTTGCTTCTGATCACATGAATATACATGAAAATGAATCCAAGATGACCTTTAAAATTACTTTTTAAATATTTTAATTAAACACAAAACAAATCCATGTTATTCTCACAAAGGAAACACAGTAACAATTAAAATACAAAATAATGCTTATCTAATAAAAATTATAAGTACAAATACTATTGTGGATACATGTTTAAAGTCCATTTAGTAAGTGATGGAAAGGGAGCAGGCACTGAAAAATAAAGTCACAGCATAAGCTGATTATTATATTCTTTTCATTACAAAGATATCATAATTAAAACAATATAACAAAAATATTAATACCTCGAAATTTCATAAAAATTGTTTCATTCATTTTTAATTGTTCAGTACATGCCAACACTCTGCTTTGAATTTCTTCATGTTCTCTTTTCTTCTCATAATATTCACGTGAAAAGGGTGTTTCTGAGTATTTTAGTTGGTACTGCTTCAAAACTTCTTTATACTGACATATATAATCATGATACATTTCTCTGTTAAAATTAAAAGAAATGATGTTTATATAACAACAACAGATCTAAAAACTTTGTGAATACACTGTTAAAGTCTACTAAACATAAAAGGCAAATCAAATGTCTTCTTATTCTTGCTTCCCTCAATATTGTCTGCCCTTTAGACTTTCCTTAACTCCACCACACTTCTCAACTTGACTCTTTTTCTTCATTACCTGAGTGATTCACTTCTTAATTCTATTCATTTTAACTCCTACTCCCACTATTTTAATGACGCTATTCTTCCCAAGGTCACCAATGATCAAATTTGTCCAACTGAATGATCTCTTTTTAGCACTCATCCTAATTGACACTGCAGAACCTGGTTCTTCTGATCACTTACTCCTTGTGGAACCTCTATCTTCCCTGGCTTCTGAGTCTCTACTCTCCCAAGCTCAGCTACTTCTAAAACCATATCTTTTTAATCTTCAATTTTCATTAGCTAAAATTATCACATGAAGTCATGTTCTATGTATTAGAACTCTTGTGTTCACCATCAAATGTACCCCGTAACTATTTTATGAAGAAAATTTTATCACAGTTTAGAAGAACTCTACTCCAGCTCCAATAGTAGTGGATGGTCATCTATTTAGGCACAAATCTTGAGTGAGACAGTTAATTCTTGAAAAAGGACATTAACCTTTTTTTCTTTTTTATTATACTTTTAAGTTTTAGGGTATATGTGCACAACGTGCAGGTTTGTTACATATGTATACATGTGCCATGTTGGTGTGCTGCACCCATTAACTCGTCATTTAGCATTAGATATATCTCCTAATGCTATCTCTCCCTCCTACCCCCTCCCCACAACAGGCCCCGGGGTGTGATGTTCCCCTTCCTGTGTCCATGTGTTCTCATTGTTCAATTCCCACCTACGAGTGAGAATATGCAGTGTTTGCTTTTTTGTCCTTGCAATAATAGTTTGCTGAGAATGATGGTTTCCAGCTTCATCCTTGTCCCTACAAAGGACATGAACTCATCATTTTTTATGGCTGCATAGTATTCCATGATGTATATGTGCCACATTTTCTTAATCCAGTCTACCATTGTTGGACATTTGGCTTGGTTCCAAGTCTTTGCTATTGTGAATAGTGCCGCAATAAACATACGTGTGCATGTGTCTTTATAGCAGCATGATTTATAATCCTTTGGGTATATACCCAGTAATGGGATGGCTGGGTCAAACGGTAATTCTAGTTCTAGATCCCTGAGGAATTGCCACACTGACTTCCACAATGGTTGAACTAGTTTACAGTCCCACCAACAGTGTAAAAGTGTTCCTATTTCCCCACATCCTCTCCAGCACCTGTTGTTTCCTGACTTTTTAATGATCGCCATTCTAACTGGTGTGAGATGGTATCTCATTGTAATTTTGATTTTCATTTCTCCGATGGCCAGTGATGATGAGCATTTTTTCATGTGTCTTTTGGCTGCATAAATGTCTTCTTTTGAGAAGTGTCTGTTCATATCCTTCACCCACTTTTTGATGGCGTTCTTTGTTTTTTCTTATAAATTTGTTTAAGTTCATTATAGATTCTGGATATCAGCCCTTTCTCAGATGAGTAGATTGCAAAAATTTTCTCCCATTCTGTAGGTTGCCTGTTCACTCTGATGGTAGTTTCTTTTGCTGTGCAGAAGCTCTTTACTTTAATTAGATCCCAATTGTCAATTTTGGCTTTTGTTGCCATTGCTTTTGGTGTTTTAGACATGAAGTCCTTGCCCAGCCTATGACCTGAATGGTATTGCCTAGGTTTTCTCCTAGGGTTTCATGGTTTTAGGTCTAACATGTAAGTCTTTAATCCATCTTGAATTAATTTTTGTATAAGGCGTAAGGAAGGGATCCAGTTTCAGCTTTCTACATATGGCTAGCCAGTTTTCCCAGCACCATTTATTAAATAGGGAATCCTTTCCCCATTTCTTGTTTTTGTCAGGGTTGTCAAAGATCAGATAGTTGTAGATATGCGGCATTATTTCTCAGGGCTCTGTTCTGTTCCATTGGTCTGTATCTCTCTTTTGGTACCAGTACCATGTTGTTTTGGTTGCTGTAGCCTTGTAGTATAGTTTGAAGTCAGGTAGTGTGATGCCTCCAGCTTTGTTCTTTTGGCTTAGGATTGACTAGGCAATGCAGGCTCTTTTGTGGTTCCATATGAACTTTAAAAGTAGTTTTTTCCAACTCTGTGATGAAAGTCATTGGTAGCTTGATGGGGATGGCATTGAATCTATAAATTACCTTGGGCAGTATGGCCATTTTCACGATATTGATTCTTCCTACCCATGAGCATGGAATGTTCTTCCATTTGTTTGTGTCCTCTTTTATTTCATTGAGCAGTGGTTTGTAGTTCTCCTTGAAGAAGTCCTTCATATCCCTTCTAAGTTGGATTCCTAGGTATTTTATTCTCTTTGAAGCAATTGTGAATGGGAGTTCACTCGTGATTTGGCTGTTTGTCTGTTATTGGTGTATAAGAATGCTTGTGATTTTTGCACATTGATTTTGTATCCTGAGACTTTGCTGAAGTTGTCTACCAGCTTAAGGAGAGTTTGGGCTGAGACAATGGTGTTTTCTAGATATACAATCATGTCATCTGCAAACAGGGACAATTTGACTTCCTCTTTTCCTAATTGAATACCATTTATTTCTTTCTCCTGCCTGATTGCCCTGGCCAGAACTTCCAACACTATGTTGAATAGGAGTGGTGAGAGAGGGTATCCCTGTCTTGTGCCAGTTTTCAAAGGGAATGCTTCCAGTTTTTGCCCATTCAGTATTATATTGGCTGTGGGTTTGTCATAAATAGCTCTTATTATTTTGAGATACGTCCCATCGATACCTAATTTATTGATAGTTTTTAGCATGAAGCGTTGTTGAATTTTATCAAAGGCCTTTTCTGCACCTATTGAGATAATCATGTGGTTTTTGTTGTTGGTTCTGTTTAGATGCTGGATTACATTTATTGATTTGCATATGTTGAACCAGCCTTGCATCCCAGGGATGAAGCCCACTTGATCATGGTGGATAAGCTTTTTGATGTGCTGCTGGATTCGGTTTGCCAGTATTTTATTGAGGATTTTTGCAGGGATGTTCATCAGGGATTTTGGTCTAAAATTCTCTTTTTTTGTTGTGTCTTCACCAGGCTTTGGTATCAGGATGATGCTGGCCTCATAAAATGAGTTAGGGAGGATTCCCTCTTTTTCTATTGATTGGAAGAGTTTCAGAAGGAATGGTACCAGCTCCTCCTTGTACCTCTGGTAGAATTCAGCTGTGAATCCATCTGGTCCTGGACTTTTTTGGTTGGTAAACTATTAATTATTTCCTCAATTTCAGAGCCTGTTATTGGTCTATTCAGAGATTCAACTTCTTCCTGGTTTAGTCTTGGGAGAGTGTATGTGTCGAGGAATTTATCCATTTCTTCTAGATTTTCTAGTTTATTTGCATAGAGGTGTTTATAGTATGCTCTGATGGTAGTTTGTATTTCTGTGGGATCGGTGGTGATATCCCCTTTATCATCTTTTATTGCATCTATTTGATTCTTCTGTCTTTTCTTCATTAGTCTTGCTGGCGGTCTATCAATTTTATCTTTTCAAAAAACCGGCTCCTACACAAAAAACCGTTCAAATAACCTTTTTTTCTTATTTGACCTGTGCTCGATTCTACAAGAATCAAAATTATGATGGTCTATGGGCCAAATCTAATCTGCCACCTATTTTTGTACAGCCCATGAACTATGAATGATTTTTACATGTTTAAATTATTGAAAAAATCAAAAGAATATTCCATAACACATTAAAATTATATGAAATTTAAACTTCAGTATCCATAAATAAAGTTTTATTAGAGCATAGCTCATTTATTTACATATTATCTGAAATTCTCTCGTGCCATAATAGGAGAGTGGAGTAGTCATGGCAGATGTTGGCCCACAAAGGTTAAAATATTAATACTTACTATCTGGTCCTTTACCAAAAAAGCTTGCCAACTCTAATCGAAAACATTGAAAATGTTAAATCCAGTTCTTTATAGAAAATATATTCTTAAATCTTCTTTTTCCCCAATTCTTATCAAATACTTAGTTTCAAAAAAATTCGTAGAAAAATTTTTGAAAATATATAGTCCTTACATTCCTCAAGATTTTCTCATTTCTTGGATCAAGGTATACTCTATGGGGGAGTTTCTTAAAAGATACCCTGAGGATTATCTCACCTTAGCAGATTAGAAAAGAGCAAGTTTCAAAAACTGCACACATGAGAAGAAAAGTAAGGATAACAGCCCTGTGCTAGTCAGCGGGTCTGAATCTTAAGAAAGTTTTAATTTCTGAATATTACTAAACTGTCCCCTTTAGCAAGGAAAAGCAGTTGAGCCCCAAACAAGCTCCTATTCCTCTAAACGCATATTTGCTAATTAAGACCCACTTACTATTTAATCGCTTGGGAAAAATGGTCCAGGGAAGAAATACCTATAAGAAAATTAAGCCTGGGTCACCAGTTCCAGGTGAGATGACTATGCCACATCCACCCTATTCATACTGTATATTCATGCTCACTCTTCTAACATACTCCATATAGAAACTCTGGCAGAGCCTAGCATAGCTAAGTCATAGTTAAACAAGAGCCATTATTATCTCATCTAAGCCAGCAATACTGTTTTTCATGAATGACTTGAACAGGGATGGGAGATTAGGAGAAACAAGTAATTGGTGCCTCTACTTCCTCCATTATCCATGAAACCAACAAATGAGTTATTTTCCATTTATAAATGCCTGGTATTGAAGCATCAATTCAATTAAGCTATGTAGCTGGTTTAAGAAAGAAACAGACAACTGTTTTCACTTTAATACCTTCAGTTAGCTCACAGAAGTCCTCTATAACAAACACTGTTAGAGAAGTACATATTTTAACTGGTTTGCTTTAGCCTCTCACAGAATCATTTTTAAGAATTAATGTTTTATAGTCATGACTTACATTGACAGATGCTATAAGAAGCAGTTATATATACTGTGTTTGGGGCTGGGGGAGGTCACTGAAGCACACTGCACAATTTCCCCTTTAGAGGACCCAGAGGAGAAATTTCTCTCAAACCTCAGGAAAAGCCTCTACTTATCCTAAGCAATTGACCTGTTTTTTTAAATGAATATTATGAATCCCACACTGATTATATTTCCACAATGCCTTGACTACTAGGAATTTGAAAGCTTAATTCGTGCCTATATCTAACAAATGTGCGGGATACATAGTATGAATTTCTAACTTCATCAAAGGCTTCAACTTCCTATATTTTCCTTACTTCCCTGCAGCCTTGATTTTTAATCTAGTTTCTTTAAACACTATCCTTTCAAGATGATTATTTAGTCAAATCATCTAAAATTCTTTTTTAAATGAAGCAGGATGTATAAATGACAAGACAAGTCTCCTTCACTGATCCCACCCTCTGCCTACCCTCTAGATGATGGCGTACTCCAGCTTTCTCCTCTTTTTGCTCCATACATTTCCATGGGCAATCTCATGTATTTCCATGATTTCAAAATGAAGTCTATATCTATAACTTTAGTCCCTACCTTTTCTTAAGACTTGTCTTTGAATATATAGAGTATTGCATTCTAGATTTTGCACGTTTTAGTTACAATATAAAAATAGATACTGTTCTCATCCAATTATATTAAAAATAAAAACATTTCAATGTCTTATATTAGGTGAAATTTTTATGCTATATAATGTGTTCAAAGTCTCTTGTCTTGTTTCATTACATTCACTAATTATATTTAATCCCCAAGACAATGTGATTATACATATAATAAAATAAATTCATACAATTATTGGTGTTTCTCTATTAGAATATAACCACTCCATTAAATCAGCTGTCTAAAAAACAGAAGTTTGATATAAAATACCATTCAGAAATCAATATCCCAAATTTGTTATAAGCTAATTCTACAGGTAACTATTCCCCGAGATGTTTGCCTAAACAGTTCACTCATAAAGACCATTAATTGATGGACTCTGCTATAATAATTGCCACTGAGAAACAGTTTATATCTAAGGCCATATCTAAATATATCTAGGATTAGAGAGAGCTTTACAACAAGTAGGTAGATGTTCCACTGCACCCAAGGAGTCCAAAACACTACATTTACTTAAAAACAAAAACTCCTGGCTGGGCATGGTGGGTCATGCCTGTAATCCCAGCACTTTGGAAGGCCGAGGCGGGCAGATCACGAGGTCAGGAGATCGAGACCATCCTGGCTAACATGGTGAAACCCCGTCTCTACTAAAAATACACAAAATTAGCCGGGTGCGGTGGCGGGCGCCTGTAGTCCCAGCTACTTGGGAGGCTGAGGCAAAAGAATGGCGTGAACCCGGGAGGCAGAGCTTGCAGTGAGCCAAGATCATGCCACTGCACTCCAGCCTGGGGGACAGAGCGAGACTCCATCTCAAAAAAAAAAAAAGAAACTCCTTGAGTACAAAATGTCTACATTTTTCAACTGACATTCTTACACACCATGTCCTAATAATACAAACTTATAGAATTGATAAACTTCATATAAGTACTATACTTGTCTTTTTCAACAGTTCCTTGATAAACAGTAAATTGGTCCTGCATATAATCTTCATGTTTACGAAAAACATCACATGTTGGCTTCCAGCTATAGAAAAAAATATATTTGTAATTAGCAACTCAGAATGATAAACAAATTGATAGAGATAATAAAAAAAAGAACATAATTATTTAAAGAGAAACGAATCTTTCTCTTCCTGGAGAAAACAAGCTTACATCAAGAAAAGTATTTCCATCTCATATCACTCCCACTACCTCCATTCAAGGACTATTATGCTCGAATATCAATATTCATGAATTTTTATATTAAACTTGTTTTTGAACCATTACTAGGGAAGGAGCAAATGTGACATGGCTGGATTGTGTATTGCTATTGCATTTCTATTATACACTCTGTAACACTCCAATATCAGCCTTTCTTTCTCATTACATTTCTAAGATTTTGGTCAAAAAAATTCTTTTGGAGTAAGCATTCAAAGAACTAGAATAAGGGCTAAAGAGAGGTTTTTTTGCTCCTTTAACACTTAGAAAACAGGTGTCACATCATCCTGAATTACAAAAAAAAGAGAAACCAGAGCAAATGAATTACAAAATCAGACAATAGGAATATAACAAATATTCATCTTATACATTTTTTATTATGTAACTTGAAAGAATATTACCAATACAAAAAAATATAAAATTAATATATACCATGGCGGCTTCCAGTGTAAGTATTTTTCAAATATTGCCTTTTTTCTAACTTTTTTTTCAGATTCAAAAAGTATACATGCCCAATTTGGAAGCACAGAAAAGTATGTGTAAGAAAATAACTATTAATCATATTCTCAATATTGAATAATGACTATTATTGTTTTAATAAATTGTTTCCAGATGTTACTATAATTATACATTTTAACATCATTGAGAGCTTATCCTCCTTTATCACTTAGTAACAGAACTTGTACTTAAATATATCTGAATTTCTGATCATTTCCTTAGAAAATATTCTCCAAAATGAAATTAGAAGATCAAAAATTATACATACATATATTCTCAATATTTTTAAATGTCATAAATACTCATGGTCATAAAGATAGCAACAGTAGACACTGGAAACTAGTAGAGGGGGAAGAGGTGAAAAACTATTGAGTACTATGCTCTCGCTACCTGGGTGATGGGATCAGTTGTACCCCAAACCTCTGCATTACACAATATAACTATCTCATAAACTTGCACAAGTGCCCCTGAATCTAAAATAAAAATTGGAATTATTTTAAAATTCCATAAAACATACATGTTCATTGAGAAGGCATTCACTATAAGCCTTTTGATGTACATCCTTCTAGACTTTTTGTAATTATATATAAATATACAATTACTAAATTAGCTTAATATTATGAATATTGTTTTTTAATCTGCTTTGACCAATTTGTAACTTTAAAAAGCAAGTTGCAGACCTTGCTTTTTAAAAACCTTCCTTTACTGTTAACATCTTCCCATATCCATAAATATACACCTATATCACAATTTCACTGGCTGCCTAATGTTCATTCATATGGATATACCAAAACTCATTTAACCAGTTCCCTAATGCTGAACATTAGAGTTGCTCCCAATATTTCCTATCATTATAAAAAGGCTGAAATGGAACTCAACTTAATAGAAAAAATAAATAACCTGACATTTTCAATGGGCAAAGGATCTGAATAGACATTTCTCAAAGAAGAGATACAAATGGCCAACAGATATATGAAAAAATGCTCAATGCCTCTAATCATCAGGGGAATTCAAATTAAAACCAAAATAAGATATTACCTCACTCCTGTTAGAATGGCTGTTATCAAAAAGATGAATAAGGCTGGGTGCGGTGGCCCACACCTGTAATCCCATTACTTTGGAAGGGTAAGGCAGGCATATCACCTGAGGTCAGGAGTTCAAGACCAGCCTGGCCAATATGGTGAAACCCTGTCTCTATTAAAAATACAAAAATTAGCTGGGCATGGTGGTGCATGCCTGTAATCCCAGCTACTCGGAAGGCTGAGACAGGAGAATCACTTGAACCCAGGAGGTGGAGGGAGGAGGTCGCAGTGAGTGAGATCGCGCCATTGCACTCCAGCCTGGGTGACAAGAGTGAAACTCCATCTCAAAAAATAAAAAAGGTGAATAACAACAAGTGTTGGGGAGGATGTGGAGAAAAGGAAACTCTTGGACACTGTTGGTGGAAGTGTAAACTAGTACAGCTACTTCAGAAAATAGTATGGCAGGTCCTCAAAAAACTAAAAATAGAATTACCATATGATCCAGCCATCCCACTTTTGAGTATTCGTCCAAAGGAAACGAAATCAGTACATCGAAGAGATATCTGCCCTCCCATGTTCATTTTAGCATTATTCATAATATCAAGGTATGGAAGCAACCTAAGTGTTCCACAAGAGATGATGGATAATGAAAGTGTGGCATAGATACACTATGAAATACTATACAGCCTGAAAAAAAGTAGGAAATTCTGTCATTCAAGACAACATAAATGGAACTAAAGGATGTTATGCTAAGTGAAATAAGCCAGGCAGGTAATGGCAAATACTGTATGATCTCAGTTATATGTAGTATCTAAAAAAGTCAATCTCATATAAACAGAGAGTAGAAAGGTGGTTACCAGAGGTGGGGTTGAGGTAAAGAAAAAATGGGGAAAGGGAAGATGTTGATCAAAGAACACAAAGTTTAAGTTGGAGTGGAGGAAAAAAAATTAGTGATCTACTGCACCGTATAGTGACTACAGTTAAATAATATATATTTCGAATATGCTAGAAAAATGAGCTTTTTAATATTCTCATCACAAAAAAATAAGTTGGTAAGGTGATGAATATCTTAATTAGCTTCTTTCAACAATGTACACATAGATCAAAATATCACATTTTGATCTAAACATACATAATTATTTTTCAATTAAAAATAAATTGTAAAAATGTTCTGTGTATGGAAAAAAAAGACTGACATAAACATTTGGTTGTACATTACATCTTTGAGAGGATCTCTATTTCCTTATGAAAAATTCTCAGAAATGGAATCACTTAATCAAAATTTATGCTTGGGCCAGGCGCAGTGGCTCACATGTATAATCCCAGCACTTTGGGAGGCCGAAGTGGGAGGATCACTTGAGTCCAGGAGTTCGAGACCAGCCTGAGCAACATAGTGAGACTCCATCTCTATTTTTTTTTAAATCATGCTTATTTTTAAAGCTTTTAAAATATATACTGGCATGTCATCTAAAAGATTTATACTACTGTACACTCCTACAGTGTATGCGAGTTGATATTCTTATTTCTTGCCAGTGCTAGGTGTTATTTTTTTAAATCTCAGCAAAACTCAGAGGCAAAAATAATAGCATTTAATTATTGCTTTAATTTAGATATTTCTGACTATTAGCAAGATTGAGCATTTCTGCACATGTATTAGACTTGTGTATTTTTTTCATTTTGGTATTTACCCGTTTACCTTCTTTGCTCATTTTTCTAATAGGACTTTTGCTTTTTCTTATTAATTTCTACAAGTACTTTATGTTTTTAAACAATCCTTATTTGACACTTTTCCTAGCTTATCCTTTTGTCTTTTATATCATTATAGGGTATTTTTCTTTTTAATTTGTGTGCAGTCATATTTATCCATCATTTCCTATGTGGTTTCTGATTTTGGTGACATATTTAGAAAGACCTTCCTCTCTCAAAGATTATATAGCACTTACATTTTTCTAGTACTTTCATAGATTCTTATTTCACATTTAAATCTCATAACCAGTATGCTGAAACCATAAACTAGAGGTATTCATGAATTTAGACATATTAAAATCAACAGATCCTACTGACTCTCCTCAGACCTAGCAGAAATTAAGCTTTTACAAAGTACAGTGTATCTAGGACACGGTAGGTTCTACGGGGAAACTATTAGTACTTTTCCACAACCCAATGCAGCTAATTGAGGAAAACCACTGGTAAAATCTACTACAATAAAACCCAAGTCAAAATAAAAGAAAATGGTCAACAACATGTAAGTTTTGGCTGATCAGATTACCAAAATATTTAAACACTGACAATTCCAGTGTTGGCAAGAGTATGAGGAAATAGGAACTCTCCTACACTGTTTTTTAATAATTCATTTTCTATTTATAAAAGTAATAGTCTTTATAATAAGTCAATCAATGTGTTACTGCATAAAATTTTGTTCCCATACATTGTTGGTGGGAGCACAAATTGGTATAAACTTTTTGGAGAGCAGTTTGGTATTATCGACCCAATGTTTAAATGTGCATACTCTTTAGCAATTTCACTTCTAGGAGCCCATTCTATAGCAATAGATCTCTATATGTGGAAGTATATCTGTACATGACTGGAAATAACCTAAATTTCCATTAATAGGGGAATGGCTAAATAACAGGCTACATCAATACCAGAAATACCACGGAGCTGTTAAAAAGAATGAAATATATATAAAATTACATGCACAGTACCATTTACATTAGGTATTGTTAAATGTTAAAAAGCAAGTTGCAGAATGAAGTGAGTCCATTTTTGTAAAAAGGAAATACAGCTATATAGACAGGTGTGTGTGTGTGTGTGTGTGTGTGTGTGTGGTGTGCATAATAATGATGTTGACTCTTCAAGATCTAAAAGGATGTGAGTCATTACCTATGCAGAGGATGACAGGGTAGGGGACGGGAACTGCAAGCAGGGAAAAACTATTTGCACCATATATGTGTATATTGCTTGAACATTTGTATTTGGTATATGTTACTTTTATAATTTCTTAAAACCAGTGGGAAAAAACTAATGGGGGAAAAACAAAAAAGGCTTATTAAAATTTTGAATAACAAAATATTTCAAAACAAATATGATCCTAAAATACAGTACTTACTACAATGTCCATATAAAACTAAGTACAGAAAATTTATATTTGTAATAAGTCTTTGTTGTTTTTATGTATTTGTTTCAAAATGTCTAGAGTTAACTAGTAGAATCCAGAACCTGAAGCCATGTTGAAAGAATTCTTAACGTATTAAATATTTTTATTTTGAAAAACTTCAGGCCGTATTCCCTCACACAAAAATAAGATCTTGAAAATTCAAAAATGGAAATTGTTTCAAATATATTTAATAGGAATTTTATATACTGAGCTTATTCAAAAGTTTATAGTTAGATTAAGTGGATCTGAATTAGTGAGCTCTTATAGCTGTTTAGTTCTATTTCTCTTCTGATCCTCCTATAATCCCTTTACATAGTGGCATAACAAGGCACATTAAGACTTGATTCATTAGCTAATACAGAATACTACTTTGAAGGAAGTATCTTCAACTGTAAACTCAAAAACCCTAAATAAAAGAATGCAATGAAAATTGATTCTTTCAAATACTCACTTTCTACAGTTGTCTTTAATCTCCTCACTATGTTTACAGTAATGATCAATTTCCTCATCTGTTGCATTTATAGTTTCGTGTATCCTACAAATAGTTACTTTGTTTTCCTTAATATCTTCACAGCATTCTACAAAGAGAAAATGTTTATTTTCTTAATGTAGAAATAATAAGTTCAAAATAAACAAATAGAGAAAAAAAATGGGTATGGCAGCTTACCTAAAAGGAAGAGAGCCAGAGAATGGAGAGGAAACGAGGCTTGAGATGGGTGGGACCGTATACTAAAATGCAGAGAACCAGGGCCAGGCCTGATCCTAGAGCCAGAAGCTAAGAAGATTTTCAGTTTGGGAATGATGAAAAAATAAATGTCCCTTGTACCTCATCTTTAACATAAAAGGGCTAGATTCAGTGATATCTAAGGTCAATCGTATCTTAAGATGCTATGAATTCTTGCAAACATTTATTCGTTAATGACACTAATAGAAGCCTTCTGTTTTTGACAAATGTGAAATTTCTATTCATCAATTCTATGTCAATTATTAAACGCACTTTCAACTCACTTATTTCTGTTACTAGTGATTAAATAGAAGATAAAATGGACATAATTTCTTAAAAAGATTAAAATAAATTCTTAATATTCTGTATTCTTTTTTGATTGCAGAAAATATAACCAAACTCTACCTTTTCAGAACGATGAAGAAATTTAGAACTCTATTTTTTATAGTTGTTTTGTTGGATCTTAAAATACTATACAGTATTTGTGTGATTTGCCTTGCTATTTCTCTGATAACATTATTTTTCAGAATTATTATTCCTGAAAATGTGGCATCTATCGATTTTGATCCCTGATTTCTGGTGGTTTCTATAAAGATAAAAAAAATTTCACTCAACTATTTGAAATAACTTGTTATTAGAGAAAAATAACATCTTTTCCACTGCACCTAAGGGGTCATTTCTACTTAAGACAAAATTCTTCATAAAATAATTAAATGCTGAATATAGAAGTTTATTATCAAACAACTATAGTTAAGTCACATCTATTTCGTCTAGGGTAAATAGTTTATTTGTCGCTAGAGAGAACTGACACAAAAGTTATAACGCCAACAATAAGTTGCCCTAAACAGAGCAATTGTATGTTATATGCCATAAGGAATTAAAAGACTAAAATATCTTGATCATGCAAAGCTACTTACTATTAATTCTTTGAATCATCTCTTCTTTAGTACTTATGTCTTGCTCATACTGGAAGACTAAAATAAATAATTATCTTGTGACTTCAATTCATTGTTAAA
The DNA here is from genome assembly GCF_000001405.40 of Homo sapiens. Classification (NCBI taxonomy): domain Eukaryota; kingdom Metazoa; phylum Chordata; class Mammalia; order Primates; family Hominidae; genus Homo; species Homo sapiens. The sequence continues at coordinate 60,484,980 of NC_000014.9, forward strand.
ATATCAAATGATCATACAAAAAGCTACCTATTTTTTCACTTTATACCTACCAAATTCTAGCAAAAGTCTGTCCAAACTGACAAACAGGCTGTCATTCATCTTGGATACTATGTTAAATGAAAAAAAAAATTATAAGATTTTCTGAAGTCGTATGCAAAACAGGATATATTTCGTAACGACCTTTTCAATATAGCATTCTTCACAGGAACATGTGGGCAGAGCCAGAACTGGAAGACGAGAGGCCCCCTTGAGCCCATGGCGACATTCCCAGCCCCTTCCCGGGCCAAGCCCAACGAGCGCTTCAGAAATCGTTGTTGAGTCGGGGCACGACTTGAAGTTTTGGGGATGGGGTGGGAAGCACCCGCATAACCGCTTATGCGTGGGATTGCAACAAGCATCCGGATCTTCCAGGGTTCACGGACACCCAGATTTCTCCACAGGATATGCCCTTTAAAGTAAACGCTCTGAATATGTCCCTTGGTGGCGTGTGTACAACCACGTGTAGCAAAATTCTAACGAAAGCCCTTCCCCAACACCCGGGTAAACCTAGAGAAACAGTGCGATTTCGCATTTACGAATTTACCACGAAGAATAAAAAAATTGGAGGTTTTCACAGAACAGCCAATTCGCATTACGGCATACGCCTGAGGCGGGGTTCCTGTCTACCGTGCCCCTCAGAGCCCAGGAACCACAGCCCGTGCGCCTCCCGCAGTGGGAGTTCGCCGGCCGACTCCCACCCTCACAGCCTCCTGTCCTGGCTTCCCCTCGCCCGAGGCTGCAACACCGCATCCCCCCCATCCCCCGCCGCGCCCTCAGCCTCGGGCCGCACCAACCCAGGGGATAAGGCGACTCCGGTCGCTCTGAGGGGCAGGGCCAGCCAGCCCCCTCCCACCCACGCACACGCTCCCCCTCAGAGCCGCCGGCCCAGAGAAAAACCGCCACATGCAGCTCCCTTCCACACGCACCTAAACAGCTCCTCTGGACCCGAACGCCCACACCCTCCCTCCCTGGGGTCCCAAACTCCACTCAGGACGCCACAGCGGATCCTAACTACAAACGGTCCCCGGAGCCCTGGGCTGGACTCGCTCAGCCCCGCCCCCACGCCCCTGGTACCAGCCCTGAGAGACCCCGCGGAGCACGCCGCGGGAGCCGCAGATCGCGCTGAAGAGCAGCGAGATCGCGCTCTGGACGAGACCTGCGCGGCTGCAACCGCTCCTTCTTCGCGGGTGGAAGCGCGGAATAAGCCCCGTAAAACCACAGAAGTGGGTGCTGGAGTTAGAGGACCCTCAAAGAAGTAGAGACCTGTCAGAGACTCTCCTGTTTTCTTGAAGACAAGTGTTTTTTAAAGCCTATTTATTCCTCTTGTAACAAGTTTTTAAAAATATTTTGGAGTACAACAATAAAATTGATATTAACTTTTAACAAGAGTAAAAAATACTCAATTCAATAATCAAAATTCAATTCTGAATTCAGCATTTTTCAAAACATCTTAAAAAGCAAGCACAACTCAAATACATATTAGTTGAATGGACATTTTGAGACTGACTCATTTGCTCAGTTTCAAATAAAGTACATTTTCTGCCCAAAATGCTGTCTTTAGGTAATTTATGCTCTTAGGCTTTGTCTGCCTATCCAAAGTGAAATAAAGAGTGTAAACAAAATCATTAAGCAGTTCAGTCCTCCAAAGTGCCTCAATCCTTTGTATATTTCTCGTAGAAATGTTTTTAACCGTAAATGATCACAATAATTGTCTCAAGTCACCAAAACCTAAGCTGTTTCACGGAATATTTAAGTGAAAAAGAAGGTTTCAGAAGTTTTTCTTCCTTAAGTGCCTCAGATCAGATATGCATAACCAATTTTATTATAGTGTGCTGTCATATTGCTCACTAGTTGGTATTAATATTCAACAAAACTAACATGTTTTGATAATGTAACAATTTAGCAGATTTATTCTTTTGTGTGTGTGTGAAAAATCTTTTACTTAGTTTTTCCAGCTTTATTGAGGCATAATTGACAAATAAAAATTGTATTTACCACGTACATGATATTTGGACGTATACATACATTGTGAAATGATCACCACGATCAAGTTAATTTGTATAACACATCCATCACCTCATATAATCATTTTTGGGTGTGTGTGGTGAGAACCTTTAAGATCTACTCTCTTAGCAAGTTTCAAGGACACAATACAGTATTATTAACTATAGTCACCATGCTGTACATTAGATCTCCAGAACTTATTCAATCTGCCTAACTGAAACTTCGTACCCTTTGACCAACATATTTCCTCATTCCCACCTCCTCCCTCCCCCAGCCACTGGCAACCACCATTCTACTCTCTGCTTCTATGGGCTCAGCTTTTTCAGATTCCACCTACAAGTGAAGTCATATAGTATTTGTCTTTCTGTGCCTGACTTACTTCAATTAGCATAATGTCCCACAGGCTCATCCATCATCCATGTGGTCACAAATGACAAGATTCCTTCTCTGTTAAAGCTGAATAAAAGTCCGTGTGTGTGTGTGTGTGTGTGTTTATCCATTCATTGACAAATGAATGGATAGGTTGAGTATATATCTTGGCTATTGTGAATAATGTTGCAGTGAACATGAGAGCACAGACATCTGTTCCACAAAGTGATTTTATATTCTTTGGATATGTATTCAAAAGTGGGATTGCTGGGTCTTATGATAGTTCTATTTTTAAATTTTGAGAAGTCTCTTCACTGTTTCCCTAATGGCGGTACCCATTTGCATTCCCGCAAAGAGTGTACAACTTTTCCTTTTTTCCATATCCTTGTCAACACTTGTTGCCTTTTTTATCATAGTCATTCTAACAGGTGTGACGTATCCTATTGTGGTTTTGATTTGCATTTCGCTATGATTATTGACGTTCAGCATTTCTTTATATATCTGTTGGCGATTTGCACATCTTCTTTTGAGCAATGTCTATTCAGGTCCTTTGCCCATTTTTAATCAGATTGTTTGTTTTCTTGCTTAGTTGAGTTCCTTATTTAGATATTAACCCAAATTTACTCTTATTACATTTGTTTATATTTATTAACTACTTCTTTTTAGGAAAACATAGGAAAGCAAATATAAAGTGTAAATCTATTTTGTCTTACTGGCACTACATTGCTATGACTGTCAAGAAAATTTAGTAGGTAAAAAGTTAGTCTACTTCAATTTAACACTAGATTTTCTTATGAAAATTTGTAGAAATCTAGAAACACCACCTTACTGAGATCTGAAAATCAATTTATTTGCATTTAAATTCACATCTATACATATCCTAATTACCCTCATAAAAATATACCTAAGTTCTACCAACACCACTACCATCTATCTTATTCCATTCCAAAATTTTCTTCTGGAAAAGCAATGAAGATGCTCCATCTACTGGAGAGTTTTAAATAAATTTTATTTCCCTCTCTCCCTATTCCCTCTCACTCCAGTGAATTACAGTGCTCCATTTGAAAAATTATAGAACTTTGACTCAGATAAACATTTATCTTAACAAATCATTTTCTGGGAAAGTACTCCCACAAGATAAAATTTTCCTTATCTATTATTGACACCTTTGCCTCTTGATCCATAATCAACAATCTGAAGAAATCCATTACTTAAACCTGCTGCTCATTCTAATTGCACGGTATTCCTTTTCTTCCTTTTATTGCTTAATTTATCTAATAGGAAGCTTGTGTTTCCTACCTACAATTCCTCTCCACTCATTTCCTAATTGACCTTTTCAATTTAACTACTATCTCCATCACATTTAACTACTTTCTCAGGTAATCAAGACAACATTTTAATTCCAAATCTTATGGTCTTTTCTCAGTCTTATCCTCCTCCCTTCCTTTTTTTCTTACTCTCTTCCATACTTGGTTCCATTTAAACTCTCTGCAATCCTGACTTCCAAGACACTACTCTCTTCTGGTTCTCCCACCTCTCCTATCTGCCCCTCAGATTTCATCTTCTATTTCTTTCCCCCTCACCATCACCATGGACTCTAACCAAGATTTTTTTCCTTAACTCTACCCTTTTCTTTTTTGGGGGTCATGCATCCATAGTAACTTCAATTATCACACCTGTGCTTATGAGTCCCAAATCTTTACTTCCAGTCCTATCCTATTATCAGGGAGTTATCCAAATATTTATCTTTATATGCTTTCCATCAATCTTGATTTAACCTGATCTAAATCCAAAGTCATCTCCCATAAATAATTATTCACAAAGTCTTGCTGATTTTTTCTTTGATATTTTCTTTGTATGCATCCAGTCAACTCTATAAACAATCTTTGCAGTCAGGCAGATATGGATTTAACTTCTGGATCTGTCATTTGTTAAGTCAAAACTTTGGGCAAGTTTCTAATCCAAGCTTTCGTTTCCTCACATATAAAGTGGAAATTGTAATAACTCCAACATCATGGAATAGTTATGAAGATTAAATAAAATAATTTCTATAAAGCCCCTAATATAATGCCCAGCACATAGTATATAGAAAATATAGAAGACATTGGAATGAAACTTCTTCAAATTCCAGCTATCAAACATATGATCCTACTTAAATCTTCATTAATCTATCCTCCTTCTGTTCTGTTACAATAGTGGAACTCTCTCTCCTCTTACCTAAAGCCAATTCCTCCACCTGTATTTGAGTACCATCTCCTCTTACCTCCTCAGAAGCGTTAAAATATCAAATATGCCTTTTCTCTTATGTGTATTCAATCTCTTCCATTTAATTGGATCCCTCTCATCAGCTTTAAACATGGTCAAGTCTATACCAGAAAATGAAAGAGAGAGAATCTTCCCTAGACATTAAAGGTTTTATGAGTCAACATCATATTTCTCTCACAGCCAACCTGATTTCTAAACAGTTGTCTAAACTCACAGTCTCCCTCCTCTTTTCTTACTCCAATCTGCCTTCCAATGCCATTATGCCATAAAATTTGTTCTAAGATGACAATGACCTCATGACACTGAATCCAATGAACATGTTTCAGTCATTAACTGACCTGACCTCTGCATTATCACTTTTCCTTCTTAAAACACCGCAGTAGCTGCATGATTTTTCTCCCATCTCTCATAATTTTCTCTATCTTCTCTTTCAGCCTCCTCTCCTTCCACTCAGCCATTAAATGTTGTAAATCTCAGATTCAGTCCTAGGCCTTTTTTCATCTGTACTCCATGTGCATGGTTTCTAATGCAACCACTATACAGGTGACTCACAATGTGTATCTCTAGCCTAGACCTCTAGTATCAATCCAAGTCAGTAATTGCAAACAACAGAAATTAATTCTGGCTGATTTAAGCAAAGGTGAAATTTGTTTGAAGAATACTGGGACCAGGCATGGTGGCTCACACCTGTAATCCCAGGACTTTGGGAGGTCAGGGCACAAGGATTGCTTGAGCCCAGGAGTTCAAGACCAGCCTGGGAAACACAGAGAAAACCCATCTCTATAAATAAATAAATGAATAAATAAATAAATAAATAAATAAATAAATAAATAGGTGCACACCTGTAGTCCTAACTACTTGGGAGGCTGGGGCGGGAAGATCACTTGAGCCCAGGAATTCAAGGCTGTGGCGAGCTATGATCGCACCACTGCACTCCAGCTTAGGCAACAGAATAAGATCCTGCCTCTAAAAAATAATAATAAAGTAAAAAATTTTAAAAATGTTACTGTGTAACACAAAACTCCCCAGAATAGCTAGAGAACCAGACTCATGTGCTATACAGCAAGAAGCAAAAACCAAACTCATACCACAGATTTGGTAGTCGAGACACCATCACTACAACCAAGCACTGAGGACTGCAGCTCACATCACTATCATGAGCACTACCACAACTGCCCTACAAACTCTATCTTACTTTAACTGTCACCTATTAACAGATAGGATTCTTTCTAGGGCACACTTGCTGGTGTCACTCATTCCAATTCAAAATCTTGGGTAGATATATTTCATTAAAGAAGCCTATGACACATAAATCTCTTCTTCCTCCCAGACTGTTAGGGTAAAATACTTTCCAAACATAAGAATTGGATTTAAATGCTGGGCAGTCAAAAGGAAAAGCAACTGTTCATGACACCTATCCTGAGTTCCAGACCCACGTATCTAATTGCTGACGTGATAAGCTATCTTAGTCCATCCTGCACTATAACAAAACACCACTACCTAGATAATTCATAAATAATAGAAATTTATTTCTCACAGTTTTTGAGGTCAGTAAGTCCAACACTGAGGCACTGGCAGATTCAGTGTCTGGTAAGGGCACACTCTTTGCTTCCAAAATGGTGTCTTGTTGCTGTCCTCCGGAGAGGACAAATGCTATGTCCCAACATGGTGAAGAGGACAAAGTCTTTCCCTCAAGCCCTTTTATAGGCACTAATACTAAGCCCTCATCACGCCTCTTAATACTATTACATTAGGGATTAAGTTTCAACATGAATTGTGGAGGGACACAAACATTCAAACCACAGCACAAGCTCAAACACAGCTCATGTATTTCCCCCACTAATGCTGACCTCCTTCATCCTTTTCATTAATGAGACCAGAATCTATTTGTGCATACCAGAAACCTAGACCGTGACAACCTTCCTCTCCTATCATCCCCCACATCAAATCCATCATAAATCCTACCAATTTTTCCTCTTAAATATCTTCCATCCATTTTTCTCTATTTCAGCTGCCGCCATCTAAATTCATTCTCTCACCTGGATTATTGTACTAACTTCCAAACTGGTTTTGCCACATATCTACTCTAGCCCTCTTGCCCATTCTCTCTCCATCCTGTGACAGAGCAATTCTTAAATGTAAATATTCTCTCTCTCTTTTTCTCTCTCTCTCTCTCTCTCACACACACACACATCCCTATGTTAAAGCATGTTAATGACTTCCTATCATTCTAAGAATAAGGACAAAATACATTTTATTGGAAAAAATTCAAAATTTATTTTTCAACAGACAGCATCACCAGGTACAACTACAGGTGCTTCCCTATTGATCATGTATTTACAAGCCATTACTAGCTCAACAGTGAGAAAGCCACTTGGGTGTTTTCTGCAACAATACCCACTTCACAGTGTGAACGGGTACTATTATTGTGTTCTCTTAAAATTTCAGAAGGAAAGGCACAACTTGGCAAAACTTTAAAAAAAATTTTTTTATCCTAAAGTCAGGCGCAATAACTAAGAGACAAAACTTGGAGTAACATTCTGGCCTTCAGTAAAGACCTTCCACAGGAAGAGAAAAGACTTCTCCACCCTAAAGTTATGGCCTTTTTCTCTCCTTCCTTGTTAAACCATTAGAGCATTGTTTCATCATTTGCTCAATATTAACACATGTACAAAAGTGAATTTTTTAAAAAGAAATAAAAATATCTTGAATGTCCAGCTGTTCCCACCAATATATCAATCCTTAAGTTTAAGACAGGGCCTGGGAATCCTTCAGTAGTTATAAAGTAAGAAAATAGAGACTATGGCTACAAAAATAAAAAATAAATGAAGTACGGGCCCGGCGCAATGGCTCATTCCTGTAATCCCCACACTTTGGGAGGCCAACACAAGTGGATTGCTTGAGTTCGAGACCAGCCTGGGCAACATGGCGAAACCTTATCTCTACCAAAAAAAAAAAATAATAATAAAATAAAAAATTAGCTGTGTGTGCTGGTATGTGCCTGTAGTCCCAGCTACTCAAGAGGCTGACGCAGGAGGATGGCTTGAACCTGGGAGGCGGAAGTTGCAGTAAACCAAGATTGTGCCACTGCACTCCAGCCTGGGTGACAGAGCAAGACCCTGTCTCAAAAATAAAAATAAAAAATAAATGAAGTAGATAAATTAAAGCTTTCACAGCCAGGACTTGCCTGTTCTAACTTTGCAGCCTCCAAGAAATACTTAGGAAAAAAATCTTCATAATTACATGGCATCAGTCTCACTAACGAAATTTTTTTTAAATTAGTACGTGAACCTGTGATAGAAAACATGCCTTTCCATGAGTTTTATCTCTAGAAAAAAAACTCAGATTTTCAATAGAGTAGGCACTGGCAAACTGAATTATGTCACCTAATATTCCCCACTCAGGTGCCCACTTCTTCTAGCATTCAGGAAGATGAAGGCAACTGGGAAGTGTGGGAAAGGCATTGGCATACTTGGGGCTTCGAATGAACTGTACTTAAATAAGCAGCAACACACACATTGACTCCCTAAGGACTAAAATAAGCCCATATGAGGGTATTCTACTTAAGTTTCTAGGGTTGAAGAAACTTTGTAATTCTACAACCTTAGTATTTTGGAGTTTTTTTTAAGGTACACTCAAAACAAAACAAAATGAAAGATAGGTACATGGTTAGCTGGCATATAAAACAGGTCCCTAAATATATGACAGATCTTGTCCGTTTACCCAAATATAGTTACCTTTTAAGTATACAGTACCCTTTCCCCCAGTTAGGCTAAGCAGTTATGTTTTCCACTTGGTTCAATAAGCTCCAACTGTTCTACCTTGAAATAGGTGACAGACTTTGGAAACAGTCACTCTAGGGGTACAAAGTTTCTATGTGTACTTTGTCAAAAGAGGCAAAGCTACTTTCAAGGCCCACTTCTTCCAAAATTTAAAAAAAAAATCTAGTCTGTATTTGTGTTGGTATAAATTTTTATTTCATGTTTTGTTTTTATTTTTTGCAAAGCAGCATAGCAACAATGGTGATTGTAGGACTGCCTGAGGTTTCAGACACAACTGTAAACATCATTTACATATCAGTAAGAAAAAGGAAAACAGGAAAAGGAGACGAGTTTCTTAAGAAAATGAAAAAAAAGAAAGAAAGCACAGATTCTAGAGATTTCACTGGCTGCATTCGTCCCTCTACACAGGTTCCCATTTGGCTTAGTTGACCACAGTCTTGTTTTCTTCCAAGAAGTGAGGGAAACTGGTGTTTAGGAACACTGTTAGTAGCTCCTGGTTTTTCCAGATTAGCACTGATACCTGATTGGGAGCTATCCATCTTGGAGACAGTACATCATTCACAATGAAAAGAGGGACACTGGAAGGGTGTCAACACTGGCGCTCTAGACCACGGAGATTTCATTGTTCTTCATGGCAAGGCCACCATTGAGCATGCTGATGTACTGGTTCCACACGACAGGGTCCACATTCATCAAAGGGGCCAGAATTTCCTTGGGAAACATTTCTGAGACTCTTTCCATTCATATCTAACATCCATGGTGAACAAAAACAAGAACATCCATGGTGTTCTTGATAGGCAGCTTCTTTCCATGGCATGTCTAGTTATTGTTTACCTTGCGCATCATATAGTGGACCTTCAAGTTGCATTTGGTGGCAAAAGCTTGCCCATATATGTTGCACACAAAAGGTTTCTCTCCAGTGTGAGCTCATTAATTAATCTGAAGGCACTAGCAGACAAGAAATTCTTCCCACATCATGTGCAGCTGTGTTGCCTGGCCTGTCTGCATGATTGGGCTGCTAAAAAGGTGTCAGCCCAAGAACATGGCCAAGGGTCTGATAAATATGTTAGAAACTTCAACTCTGACATAGGTTGGCTGTGCTTGTATAAATATTAACGGGAGACTGCTCCGACCTTCCATCTTGGTGCAGCTATTGTCAGAGCTCTCAGCTTTGCCCTAGCATTGGGAGACTCTGATGTGATAGCTTCTGCTTGGTTATTGGCTGGGTAGAGTGCCTGGAAGGCCATGGTTTCCACGGCATCTGGACTTTGGCTCTCCACTGGACCATTTTTTCAGTTGCTCTACCACTGCAGGCTAAAATGGGCAGAACCCACATCTAGGGAAGCCATCATGTAGTTAGAGTAAGTCATGCCAAGTGGATTCTAGGGGGAGGTGCAAGGACCTTCAAGGAGCTACTGGGAGCATCTTGGCAGCTGACCTTGTCTACATCAGTGCTTTCTACAACATCATCATGACAGATGGCACTTACATTGCCATTCTCACTGGCCATCATTGGCTCAAGACCAGTAAAATCACCAAGATTCTCCAGCATGTTAATATGTTGGTACAACATGGCCACACTGGTAAATTTCTTTTGACTGATGAGACACAACTTTATTGATGTGTTGGACTGGTGAACCCCAAGGTGTGTCTTCAAGTTGCCTTTGGTAGAAAAAGCTTGGCCATAGATCTTACATTGGAACAGTCTCTCCCGAGTGTGGGCACGGTAATGCATTTTGAGGGATTTATAGCAGCTCAAGATTCAGTGGCAAATGCGACATTCATTGGGGTTGGTGGTGGACTTGTCAATGTTCTCCACCAGTTGCTGCAATTTCTGGGTCTCTGACCCTGGCTCATGGATTCCACTCCGTTGGAGGCCACCAATCCTTGGGGAATTATAGTTTGGTCCCACCCCAGGTTGTGTGAGTCTACCCTTACATTCTGAAGAAGATCTGAGCGGCAGGTCATCAAGCAACAGGTCACTGATGAGGTCCTTGAGCTCAGTACCCGAAGGGAGATTTTGAGGTACACCTATGGAGAGCATCCCTGTTACAAAGACAAGTTGGCTGCCTAAAGAGAGACTCAATTCATCTATGGGGACAGGTACAGAGAGTACATGGGAATGCCATTGCCTGCTCCCATTTTGTCCTGGAACTTGGCAAACAGCTGAAGGTTTGCCTTTACCTGAAAATATCTATGAAAGCACACCTTGGATTACCCTTGGTGGTGAAGCCATGACCACAGACAGAAAACATGAAGGGTTTCTCTCCAAAGTGGGAGCGGAGTTGTATCTACAAGGAGCTATCAGTCCCCAAAAGCTTGCTACGATACTTAAATTTGTGCTTGTAGACGATGGTTTTGTCTTTGGCTTTGACATCCACCTTGAGGTGTTCCATGGCTTCCTTTTCCCTTTCTTGGAAAGGTCTAGCACTACAGTATAGAATATAGAAAGAACTCTGGAAGAGCACAGAGTCCAGGGTGTGAGGTAGCAAAGTACTCAGGGGGCAAGACATGACATTTGGGAGCACATATGTCCCACTTTAGGACGAAGGGTATCAGTCCCAGGGACAAAGAGCTAGTTGTGAAAGGGATTTTGGCATGAGGTAGCTTGGCTTGTTTCAAGGCATCCAGAGACAGACCTTGGCTTCCAGTGTTCTGACTGAGCAAAGCCACAGCTGCAGAAACCTGCTGGAACATGTGGCTGTCCAAGTTCTATAGAGTATCACACTCCTCCCCTGATGTGAGTACAGGAGATTCACATGTTCATCTGAATTCAGATCTGCTGGGTGAGCTGGATCTGCTGTAGCTGCTGCAGAAACAGGATCTGCTCAAGGACCCACTGGATACTGTTGGTGCCAGCCACAGAAGCTGATTCATCATACCTTGTTGCCCCATAGTGCCTGAAGAGTCACATTTGTGTTGGCCACTTTCCCTTTGGGTAAATAGCTTATGTTCTGGGGTGTGGGTGGCAGGGCAGTGTCTGTCTCTAAGTACATGACAGACTCTGCATCCAGCTTCTCCTTTATGTCCCCTTAGCTGCCACCATTCTCCATGTGACCATTCTTACTGCTTGGACTGGGTGGCTGGTGGCTCAGTACAGCTCCAAAGAAGTCTTCTCAAGGCACTGGCCTCTTGCTGTCATACATGATGAAGATAGGTGGATTTTTTGTACAATTTTTCTTATGTTTCAAGAACTGAGAGAGGCTAAAGAACTTTGCACAGCATCTCTCAGTTGTTAGCCTCTTCCCAGTGAAGCTGCTTTACCGTTGCTTCATTCTCATTCAATTTATCACCATTTCCTAGGTGGGTCATTGGAGAACCTGGCTCCCCTGCCACTGGTGCCACTAGGTTGCATCTGCAAACTCCGAGTCAGCTCTGCAACTACTGCTCACCCTGGCCCTTCTCCAAGGTGATGTGCTGTGGTTTCACCTGCTTGTTCAACAACATGGTGCAAGCACTGGGTGCTGGGGGGAGCTGCAGTTATTTGGCCTCCAGCACAAGTTATTGGAGCTGGGAAAGTTAGCTTCCTTCAGCTGGAAAGCACATGTCCAAGTCAAGGACAAAATTCTTATCATGGCCTACAGGGACCTTTACGGTCCTGTCCCTACCTATCTCTCCATCTTCATATTATACTAACTCTACCTTCCTCTGCAATCCATCTTTATGAACTTCTGTCAGTTCTTAACATGCTCTTTCCATCAGGGGGATATTGTACTTGCTGGCTCCTCTGCCTGGAATGCTCTATCCTTCTTTATTTAATAACCTCCTTCTCATTCTTCAACTTTAAACTCAAGTATCACAGACTCAGCAATGTCTGTTATAAACTCTCATAGTTCATGCACTTATCCTTCATAGCAATTAACACAGTTTTAATTCTCTATTATTTGTGTAATTATCGTATAAATATCTATCTCATCCACTATACTGTAGTCTCCATGAGTACAGGCCCAATGCACACACACACACACTCCTTGGCATTCGAAACAAATAGGTTACAGCAACAGTTTGTCATAATGACTATAATCCCAATTCAATTCATAAGCACTTCTGACAGAATAAAGTCTAAGAAGTGTCCTTATAAGGAAAACAGTCACAGATGAGGAAGAATCTGCTACCTCTAGACTTTCAGTTCTGCAAGTCAAAAAATTCTCTTTGAGTGGGACACAGTGGCTCACACCTGTAATCCTAGTACTTTGGGAGGCCGAGGTGGGCCAATCACTGGAGGTCAGGAGTTCGAAACTAGCCTAGCCCACATGGTGAAACCCCATCTCTACTAAAACTATTTTTTTAAAAATTAGTTGGGCATGGTGGCGGGCGACTGTAATCCCAGCTACTTGGGAGGCTGAGGCAGGAGAATCGATTGAACCTAAGAGGCAGAGGATGCAGTGAGGCAAGTTCGCACCACTGCACTCCAGCCTGGGCAACAAAAGTGAAACTCCATCTCAAAAAAAAGAAAAAAGAAAAAAAGAGAAAGAAAGAAAGAAAAAAGAAAAAAATTCCCTTTGTACTTATGGTAGTCTAAGTTGGGTTTCTATTGCCTGCAGCTACAGTGTCCTGGTAAATACAGAAAAGTAGAGATAATGAAATTTTGTGTCACTGTATATGCCACTTGAAAACTTACTTGCACCACATTTCTAAGTATCAAAGTCAATTAAATTTTCTTTGTTTAGTTTCCATGAATTTATTGTAATGAAGCATGTTTTAGTATTTTTCATATTTCATTTATAATTTCTTATACAGATTTTGTTTTCCCTGGAGTTTCTAATTGCACTTCTATATTTCTATACACAAAATAATGCACATATTCTTTACTATATCATTAAAACTCTTGGGCTCCCTTACTAATGTTGAATGAGCTAACATAATTTCCAAACTCTAATTAAGCACAGACATTTCTCATTGAGAGGTCTATACCTTTCCAGGCTAATCACTCAATTTCATTAAAGACTGTTTCTCAGGCTTCAGCCTGGGTGCACTCATAGGATTAGGGAGATATAGGAAAGGCCAGTTATCACCACCCTGCTCCAGACAATTTTCCAAACTCTAACCTCATTTTCTGCTCCTCTTCCCCTCCAATTATCTATATCTACAACTCAGGGAATTCAGTGGAAAAACTTTTTCATTTATTTTAAACAATGCTAAATGTTAATTATTGTACTACTCTGTAATACAATGATGTCTTTGTAATCTATGGACTTCTATAGGACTTAAGGCCCTTACAATAATAACCTCAATCCTTGGTGCATTTTCAAATCTCATGTCTGCTTTTCCTACATGAGGAAACGATAAACTTTTACTGAAGGACATTTTAAAAAACATTAGAATAAATGACAGTCATTTCATGTATTTGAACTGGAACATTCAACATTGCAAAGATGTAATTTATCACAAATTAGTCTATTTATGTAATACAATTCTGTGAAAACCCCCACTGGACTCTGAGATAGTGAAAAAACATTGACAAACTGATCTTAAGGTTCATCTGGAAGAAAATATCCACAGAACAGCCAAAGAATTTTCTTAAAAATATTACTGAAGGGCCGGGCACGGTGGCTCACACCTGCAGTCCTAGCACTTCGGGAGGCCAAGGTAGGCGGATCACCTGAGATCAGTTTAACACCAGCCTGGCCAACATGGCAAAACCCCATCTCTACTAAAAATACAAAAAATAGCTGGGCATGGTGGTGGGCGCCTGTTATCCCAGCTACTCAGGAGGCTGAGGCAGGAGAATCGCTTGAACCCAAGAGGCGGAGGTTGCAGAGAGCCGAGATCACACCATTCCACTCCAGCCTGGCCGACAAGAGCAAAACTCCGTCTCAAAAAAAAAAAAATAATACTGAAGAATAACTCGCCTTACCAGATATTAAAATGTACTTCAACTGCAGTTGTGAAACAATAGGAATAAATACACATATCGATGAAACAGAATAGAAGATCCAGAATAATTTCTATGTATATAAATTTAGTATGTGATACAGGTGGCGTTTCAAATCTGTGGAAAAAGAATAGATCAATCAATAAATAATTGTGGTAGAATTAGAAAATGATTTGAAGAAGAAAACAACGCTGTTAGATTTCAAATTTACATAAGACCACAAAATAAATCCAGAAGTATTAAGCAGTTTTAAAATGTTTTTAATCTAAGAATAGTAGGAGAAGGAAATACAGATTATTTTTATAACTGGCAAGGTTGGCAATACTAAGTATGGCCCCTAAGGCAGAACTGGATTTGATAGATTCAACTATGTAAAAACTATAGGTGATTGCCTGTAGGGCAATCAACTTGATAAAGTTAAAAGGCAAGTGAAAAACTGTGAAGAAATATTGGCAATACACGACAAGAAAAAATATATATCCTTAATATTTGAAGTGACCTTACATATGATTTTGAAAGAACAAACATCCCAATGGAAAATTCTCCAAAGAATAAATACAAATTACCCATAAATATATTAACATGTATAACCTCATTAATAATCAAAGAAATGCCCATTTTAAAAAATGAGAAATTATTTTTCATCTATCAAGTTGGGAAAGATTTATAAGAAGATTAATGACCAGAGTGTGAGGAGGGACTAGCACTCCTTTTTTATTTTTTATTTTTTTGAGATTGAGTTTCGCTCTTGTTGCCCAGGCTGCAGTGCAATGGCGCGATCTTGGCTCACTACAACCTCTGCCTCCTGGGTTCAAGTGATTCTCCTGCCTCAGCCACCCAGATAGCTGGGATTACAAGCATGCGCCACCACACCTGGATAATTTTGTATTTTTAGTAGAGATGGGGTTTTACCATGTCGGTCAGGCTGGTCTCGAACTCCCGACCTCAGGTGATCCACCCACCTCAGCCTCCCAAAGTGCTGGGATTACAGGTGTCAGCCACCACGCCTGGCTGGGAATGACACTCTTATACAGAGTGGGTAGAAGTAAAAATTGGTAAAAGTCTTTTTGGATGGAAATTTGGAAGTATGTATCAATTGTTTAATGTGTATACCTTTTGACCCATCCATTTCACATCCAATAATTTGAAGGAAAAAACTGGACAATACATAAACATGTTCCTTGCTTCATTGTTATAATGGTGAAAAAATGGAATTTAAACATCAATAGGGACTGGTTAAATAAGTTGTGGTATTTATGCTGTAGAACACAATGTAACCTTCAAAATGATAACATATTTATGGTCAAGAAAAATGTTCACGAAATGTTATCAGGAAAAGGCTATAAAACAGTATGGATAATATAAATACTTTCATCAAAGGGGAAAAAATGTGTGTCTCTGTGCATAGAGAAAAACGTCCATAAGGATATGCACCTAGCACTAATAGTAGTTATCTCTAATAATAGTACTACGAGAAACTCATTTTTGACTCTATATAACCATAGTGCTTGGATTTTTATGTCAATGACCATGTATTGCTTTTATAAGAAGGAAAACGAACAAAAAAAAAGACATTTCCAGTAGGAAAAAAACCTAGCACTCCAGATGAGGACAATACATGAGAAAAGAGCACAAATAGCAACAAATGAACTAGAGCAGAGGAAAGAATAGAGAGGAATGTGTGTGTACATGTAGGTATGTGTGTGTGTGTGTAAGTGTGAGTGTGTGTAATAAGAATAGACTGTCTAGGGCCAGGTGAAGGAGGGTCACTTGAGGCCAGGAGTCTGAGACCACCCTAGGCAATATAGAGAGACCCTGTCTCTACACACACAAAAAATTATTAATTAGCCAGATGTGATGCCATGTATCTGTAGTCCTAGATACTAAGAAGGCTGAGGTGTGAGGATGGCTTGAGCCAGGAGTTCGAGGTTGCAGTAAGCTATGATTGTGCCACTGCACTCCATCCTGGGCAACAGAGCAAGACCCTGTCTCCAAAAAAAAAAAAAAAAAAAGCAATCACATGCATCCTTCTAAAATACAGGCAGAAAGAGTTTTCACATCCACACATCCACACATAGGAGAGAAAGTAAGGCAAAGAAGGAGGCAGAGATTGGAGAGATGCAGCCACAAAACAAGAAATGCCAGCAGCCACCAGAAGCTGGAAGGGGCATGAAGAGGCTCCTCTAGAGCCTCTGGAGAGGATATCGCCCTGTCAACACCTCGATTCAAACTTGTTGCCTCCAGAACTGTGAGAGAATAAATTTCTGTTGTTTTAAGCCACTCAGTTTGTGGCAATTTCTTATGGCAGCCACAGGAAACAAATACAGAGGGCATTTGGGGAATTTCATGTAAGCTATCTATTGACTTCTTTAGACTAATTTATTGCAACAACAGTGGTCCACAGAATAGGAAGGCCTACTTCAAAATAACCTATTGCTTGGAAAGTTTCGAGAAACCTAAGGCAGGCATCAAAAGATTATGAGACCCAGGACAAGATGGAAAGTGAGACATCATTAAGACAATATGGCCTAATTGATATATTAAGTGGATAGTTGCCCACAAGAGGGGAACTAACACTTGTTGAGAATTTACTATGTGTCAGGCACTGTGCAAGGAACAGTCATTCATAATCTCATTTAATCCCTACATCTATCCCATAGGATAAGAATTATGCTATCA
This sequence comes from Homo sapiens, assembly GCF_000001405.40. Classification (NCBI taxonomy): domain Eukaryota; kingdom Metazoa; phylum Chordata; class Mammalia; order Primates; family Hominidae; genus Homo; species Homo sapiens. The sequence continues at coordinate 60,501,993 of NC_000014.9, forward strand.
GATAAGGAAACGGGGGCCCAAAATCATGTGGTTATTGCAATGATTTAAACCTAAAATATTGGAAGTCCTTGCTCTACTGCTTTATCTGCTTCTATAAAGTTTAGTTTGAGAAACATCATTGCCCTAAAATACCATTATAGTGACACTATTTCCCTTTTCTATGAAAACCACTCCCCATCCTCCCATCTACCTTCAGAAATTGAGTATTGTATCTTTATCTATCTCACAGTTTTAACAAGGCTTAGTCTAGTGAGGAGGTCCTCAGCAATGGGGAATAGGAAGGAGTAATGGAGTCAGAAGAAACACAAAGGAGAAAAGGGAACATAAATATGAATTATTACAACACAGAGAAATACAATCATTGGGAAATAAGAAATCTTTCAGAGACCACAAAAAGGATAAAAAGGTAAAGAAACAGAAAGGAGATGAGAGGGATAGAAAGAAAACAACTAAATGAAAGATAAAAACTAAATACTAAAATTCAAAAAAATCAGTTCAGCCCCCAATTTTAATAGCTGTAAAGACATATTATCTTACATTAATTTCACCAAAACCAAGGCATAACAGAGAAAGTAATAACAGATAAAACACTAAAACAGAAAAAAAGATTAAAATTTCATAGTTTGAAAGATCTGAGAACAAAAATCTGCTGTTAAAGGAAATATGCACTCATTTCTCTGTCCCTTAATTTTTTTCTAAATCTACTCCCACTGTCTGCCTGTATAATTCCCTGCCAGAGCTTTGCAGCTGGTCCCCACTGGGGCTTAAGCAGCCTCCTCTCTGTGTTTCCATTTAAAAATCTTTATTTCAATAGGTGGGCCTAGAGCATCTGCACTTCCAAAATTACCACACAACTGATCCAAAATGATTGAAACAAAATTGGTTTCAAAAATTGCCCTTAGGCTGAAAAGAAGATGAAGGCTAACATTTCAGACCTAAAGAAACATTTATGACAATTCTGTGGTCTGTAATAGACTTCTGTAGTTGTAATAGAAATGTTGACAGCTTGTTAATTATAGAAATGCTTGTGAGCATCACTGTTATTCTTTTGGAAGACCTGACAAAAGAGTTCAGAGGGTTTTGTTTACTTAAACCAAGCTTTACGACACCTCAAGTCCAATCTCTTTTCCTTAGAGGCTGCATTCAGTTCCATTTTTCCTGCCAATACACAGTGTGCTGACTCAGAGAAGGGTCTTCAGTAACACCAGACTCCACCAGTTTCCACCCCCGCTCAAAAAACAACAAAAATCCCAGAGACACATTTTTGATTCAAGGGTTTTTAGGGCTTGCAAGGGTTATACCACCTGACAAGACCCAGAAGTGTAAGTCTCTCTGAGGTCCTTGAACTAGAGTGCACCAAACTCTGAAAGTCACAACAGCATGAAATAGTACTGGACCTTACACACGGCAGGCATTAACCACTATTTGTGTGTGATACAGAACTGCCCTCAAACTCAATTGGAATTAAATTATTTTCCTTGAGTAAAAAAAGTAAGGTATATAATGGATACAAGTTTGAGTCTATGTTTTAAACCTATCTCTGCCATTAACTAACTGTGCAATATGGGTAATCATTTAACCTCTGTGGTCCTCATAGTTTATTCATTTATAAAATAGAGAGACACTGAACAATAACTTTCAACCATTGTTCTCTGTCCCACTAATTATTCAAAGAACATAGATCCTAACAAGATAGAAGCAACCCCACCATTCCCACAGATATTTACAAGCTTTATAAGTATTTGGTTATCCTAAGTATCATTTACAGTAAATTTTAAGAAAAAACAAAATTACAGTAAGCTCTTAGGAACAGATTTTATTAACATGGCCTAGACCCAAGATGAAATTGAAAGTGCTCTGAGTCCTTTGTAAATGCTTCAACTCCACAATAAACCAAATTTTAGCAGGTTTTGTATGTCTGTGCCTTGTTGATCATTTGGGGCAAGATCCTTTGGGTCAAGGTTTCTTAACAGCAGTGTTATTGACTTTGTTATTGTGGGGTCTGGGGGACCACTGTTCTGTTCATCATAAGATGTTTAGCAGCATCTCTGGCCTGCACCCACTAGATGCCAACTGAGACTACCGAAACTGTCTCCAGATATTGACAAATGTCCCCTGGAAGTGGGGAAACAGCGGGAGGGAAACAAAATTCCCCTCAGTTGAGAATTGCTGCTTTGAAGGGTAAGATGTCATGTGACTGTATTTTTTATAATGCAATATTTAATAAGCACTTTTTGCTAACTAGCTGGATCAACTCAAAGAATTTAAGGTATTTGTTGAAGGCTGATGCCTCTATTTGACTTTATAGTACTTAGAAGGAAATTATGATTTACTACACATGTAATACAAACAGTTGATACAATGTATGACACATACAGTTTAATGTGAATAATATTTGGTGCATCCGAGAGGACATTAAACAAACTTACATTCTTTCACATCATTGAATTTTAAGTTTCTATGTGTATTTTAGAAGGATATTTCGATCTTAGATTTGAAAATTGTCAAAAATAACCTGCTGCTGTGAAAAAAGTATGTCCCAATAGAGAACCATGAATTAATCATTCTTTCAGTCATTCAATAAATGTTTCATTACTAATAATGAAAAGTGTTTTTAAGTGACAAGCTGGCTACATTTTTTAGCACTAATCCTTCAGACAAGAACCCACTGATATGTAGCTCTAAGCAAGTAATGCAGTGATGTGGTTAGTGCTGTAAACATTTAGGCTTGTCCTAAAGAAGTAGACAAGAGAAAAATGAATTTAAGACCACAGTTTATATTACAAAGTGTATAATTTGTCATCTACTCTTTGGCTTAGATACAAATTTTTATCCAAGTGCCTAGGATCAACCACTAGCTAGAAGTCAAAACACAGTTGAACAGGTAGCCTAACATTTTTTAAGAAAACATTAGGCTAATTAATCATCACTGTGAAGTAGCACATTGTCCCAAATTTAAACTTATACAAATTTCCTCCACTTAACAATATAAACAATTCTGCATCACTTTAAAATGTCATTTAAAAATAGCTGATGAAGAATAATAACAAAATATACTAATCTCTTAAAATTAGGTCAATATTTTAATTGTAATACTTTTTTGCCAATTAATTTAACAACACTAGGAAATCTACAAACATTGCTCAAATGGTGTTTGTTCTCAGAAATATACAATTAAAGAGCCTTCTCTGTTCTTTGTTACAAGGTGCACAATGGCAGGGGAGGAATGCATGAAATAGTGCAATCTACCTTGGCAGTTTATTAGTATAGTTAGTAGTACTTTAAAAGTAGGATATTGAATTCATTCCAAAATCTGAAGGTCTGTACTACCAAACACATAAACAAACACACATCTATATTTATGCATATGATATACCTGAAAATCAGAATGCCAAATAAATAAATGTTTGAAAGTGTAAATTTTTAATAGTGTAATTTCAAACTCGGAAAAATGCCTTTTAAAACTTTCTAGATTATTTTATACTTTTTTAGAAGTAGAGTTATAAAACTAAAAGCCAGTTGTCACCACCAACACTCGGCTTTGAGACACAGGAAAGGGAAACCAAGATCTCTTCCAAAGTCCAAATCACACAAAAGACTGGGGACCTCATTGTCTTCCAGTCTGTGACTCTCAGATGCAGCACAAATGTCTTTATCAAGGAATTCAGATGGATTCAATTACCGCATTCTTAAAATAGCTGATTATGTGAAATTGTGTGAGAAAAAAACAAAAACACAACATTTTAAAAAAGACATTTGACTTAGGAAAAGTCAAAGAAAAGATAAGATTGGAACCCAGAGGTAGGAAAGTATTGACTTCTAAGCACTGCTCTCCTCTGGCAAATGTGAGCAGGGTGTGACCAGGATTCCACCTGTCCTCTACTCTAGAGAGGAAAATCAGTAGGGGCAGAGCGAGGAGTGAGATCCCCATATGTGCAGAAGTCCCACACTGAACTCCAGATATTTCCGGCATGAGCCTCAGAATTCCCTGGGGGCACTTTGCCTAAATCCAGCACGAAACAGTTAGCTACAAAACCAGCCCTTGGACATCATCTTCTACATGATTTTTTTCTCCATATTTGCCCCACAAAATGCAACTCTAGAGAAAGCTGAGTAGACGTCTATGGATTCCCGGCAAGACCCGAGCCTTTGTCCAAGACCTCATGTCCCAATCTACTAGCTGCAAACCACCAGTAGCAAGCTGCAAAACCACCCAGACAGGCCCAAGGCCAAGGGCTGCCACTGTACTTTCTCGATTTCCCGGTCAAATGCAAAAGAAAAATGAAATGTGGGATAAGAAGTGAGGGGTTGCCTGGAGGGTTGGCACAAAACCTCAAAACTGGTAAAAGAAAAAAATATATACCCTTCTGTAAAATTAAGAAAAGCCAGCCCGAAGTCACAGCTTTCGTCTGGCAAACTTGGGAGAAGTACACCTTAAAGGTGGGGTGAGGGTCACCGCCTTCCCCAAAAGAGGGTTATTCCTAAGGAATCCCGTGGAGCTTCCCTCTTTCCCAGGGGGCTCGGCTCACATACTTCTTCCTGTTCGTCCCTTCCCCTTGTGAAGCTGGTGAACAAATAAGTGATTCCAAGGTGCCCTGGCGCAGTCTATTTCCTTTGGGTTAATAAAATTAAATCAAGTCCCTTGCGATGGCGAAGATGGATCTCCTGATAGTAGTCCCCAACCTCCAGGCACTTCTCAGTCCCTTCCTGCCAAGCCACCAGACAGTGCTCCTACTCTGCCACACGCAGCCCGCACCCTTCTGGCGGCTCCCGCGAGGCCAACTCAGACTCTCAGTTCCAGTTGCCCGCGAGCCTCAGACACGCAGAAGCTAAAGCGCCCTCATCTAATTATTTGCAGAACTATTATCCAAGAAATGGGCCATGGGATAAATATTCCCATTTCCTGGATGGGGCCCCTAGACTGTCCACTTGCTCACAAAGATTAAGGGTAAGAAACCAGCTCTCCCCGAATGTGCCGCTTCCAAACTGTCCAGTAAAAGGGCGAGAGGGAGACGTGTGGTCTCCTGGGGCATGGACAACCTCTCCCACCTCAGCAGCTAGGCGCTGGGATCGGGGTCGGCTCTCGGCTCGGCTCGCGGGCTGTAAGGTCTCCGCGGACCCCACCGCCTCTTCTGCGCGCTAAGGGTGAGCGCCAAGCAATTTCGCGAGCAATAGCCGGCAAAGTAACCACCCCGAGAGGGAAAATAAACCTCTGCAAACTGGAGCAAGGGGGTGCTTTCCTCCCCTGGCCAGAAGCTCCGGGATCGCAGCCCTCCCGGGTCCGGCTTCATCCCTGCCCGGCCACCGAGGCCCTCTTTTTCTGCACCGCGGATTCTCCTCCGCCTGCGTGTTCGGGGCCCTTGTATCCGATGTTTCTTTCTAAAAGTTGTCCTTCCGGCTGATTCGGAAGTCGCTCCAAGGGAAAGAAGGTTTATGCTTTGTCATTATCTTCATCGCCCTCTTTATTTTGCCCCTGCCTTGTCGTATTTCAAGAAAATGAACTCTTAGAAAAGAAAGCCTCTCCGTTGAGGCGGTTGGCAATCTCACAGAAATGATGTAAATGGTTTCAGGGCTTTTTTCTTCCCCTCTGCTATTTTTTTCGAGTGAACTGTGAAGATCTGTGAAAATAATATCAGGGTTTTCCGTCAGAACGAGCTTTGCCCTGCACTCAGGCGTGGCGTGATCTGACCCGACACCTCCAACCATCTGTGCTATCTATCTGCCTTCTGATTTACCAGATCTGTACAAGCCGCATACAAATTGTACTTGATACTAAAGAAAAGACAGTCGGGTCCAGTCCAGTTCGGCTGTGAACGTTCTCACCTGATTTCTGTCTAGGGATGGACCTCCCCAAAACGGTTTTCCTGGCGTTTTTGTTATACAGCCCCCTACCAGTTATTTTCTTCAAACTAAACAAACCCCTACCACAGGCCCAGATGAGATCATGGTTTCTTTGACCCAGGCCTCAGAAAATGGTATGATGTGGACTGCCAATTGGGAATCAATAAAAGTTGCCAATTCACTCCACTAGCCCAAAGTCAGAGCCACCAAGCCACTCCTTCCTCACTACAGGAGGGGTCAATAATCAGCGGCTTAGGAAGTGCTTTCTGGGCCCCCGCATTGTCGTGGATGCCCTTCTGTATTGTATTTTTACTGAATTGTTTTTGAGCTAAAATGCCAAGGTTAGAGTTGTTATCCCCAGCTCAAGAGGTATAAGTTCTAACACAAGGTAGGGGCAAAATAAGCCTACAAGGAAAGGAGTTAAGTCGATATTTTAAAAAAGATCTAGGAAATAAGCTTTTAAGTTGCTGTCCTGACCTACCAATGACTTCTCGGCTCTAGATGTGGCTATGCTGCACTTTGTTCAAGTCCATTAAACTGGGGGAGGGGGAGAAAGTATATTTCTCCCCCTTTATTTGGAGGTCCCTACAGCCCACCCTTCTTTTCTTAAAGTGTCTGACTTCGTGGTCTGCATCTGCGTTATCAGACGTGAACATGTCCTTGTTGGCATTTAAAATTATTTTAGTGGGCTTTGAAGGGAGTAAGGCTAGAGTTCAAACTGACCTCTTCTACAGATCCCTGGTCCTGTTCCTGCTGCTCCAGATTTGCTTCCCACTCAGCTGCTTTGGCAACTGGAAAGGGGAAGAGGGAGGCATGCAGAGATGGGTACTTGGGAAAAATGAGAAGATCGCTTCCCCCCACCGGCTTCCTGCTCCCACCGCAAGGTTTGCTGTTTCGTTACAACTAAACTTGCGAATTCTCGGAGCATTTCAGTTTGGCCCAGTCCTCTTTGTCCTCTGGAGACCTCTCGACCGAGACAACGCATCGCCCCAAAGTGAATTCCTGAATTCCTGTGGCATCACTGCCTATTTGGTGGGAAAAAGGGAGGGAGGGGTAGAGCGGGGTGGGGGAGGGAGGAGTAGTGAACGCTGCCGCACTCGCCTCTCTTTTTCTCCCAGACACTCGCATGTCTTTTCAACCTCCAGGTTCTGCAAAATACTGAAGAAAAGTCCAGGAGCTAACGGCGGGCGCTGTCGAGCACGGGGAGGTGCTGAAATAGTCCTGGCGTGCTGATTCAAGCTTTGATTGGCAGAGCCACCCGGTGACTGACAGGGGGTCTCCATGGCGCCCGCGCCGCCAATCCGCCCACCCCAATAGCGGAGCCAGCTCGCCTGCCGGCGTGCCTGAGCCGAGCCGAGCCCGAACCCCAAGCCGCGGAGCCAGCACCTCCTCCAGTCGGGGTCGTCCGCTCCCGGCCGTTGAGCCACCGCCGCCACCCGGTAGTGTGTCCCGCTGCCCCAATCCGCCTCATCAACAAGCGCCTGGCACACTCAGCCAGGCCCGCGGGCATCTGCTGCGTGTCCCGCTCCGGGCTCAGTGCCCTCGCCGCCGCCGGCACTGCCTCGATGTTCCAGCTGCCCATCTTGAATTTCAGCCCCCAGCAAGTGGCCGGGGTATGTGAGACCCTGGAAGAGAGCGGCGATGTGGAGCGCCTGGGTCGCTTCCTCTGGTCGCTGCCCGTGGCCCCTGCGGCCTGCGAGGCCCTCAACAAGAATGAGTCGGTGCTACGCGCACGAGCCATCGTGGCCTTTCACGGTGGCAACTACCGCGAGCTCTATCATATCCTGGAAAACCACAAGTTCACCAAGGAGTCGCACGCCAAGCTGCAGGCGCTGTGGCTTGAAGCACACTACCAGGAGGCTGAGAAGCTGCGTGGAAGACCCCTGGGACCTGTGGACAAGTACCGAGTAAGGAAGAAGTTCCCGCTGCCGCGCACCATTTGGGACGGCGAACAGAAGACACACTGCTTCAAGGAGCGCACGCGGCACCTGCTACGCGAGTGGTACCTGCAGGATCCATACCCTAACCCCAGCAAAAAACGTGAGCTCGCCCAGGCAACCGGACTGACCCCTACGCAGGTGGGCAACTGGTTCAAAAACCGCCGACAAAGGGACCGAGCGGCTGCAGCCAAGAACAGGTCGGTACCTAGAGGCCTCCGCGCTTTGAGCGCACCGGGGAGGAGGCGGGTGGAGGCACCTCTGGCGCCCTTACCCAGTCCCTGGCGACTCCAATTCAGCAGGAGTTGGGAGCGCGGTCTGTCTTGGGTTAAGAGCCCTGCGTTCTGGGCTCCTGGCCGGGAGTTCCCTTGCCGGCTCTGCTTCCCCACCCGCTGGCTCCCCACGCCTGCGGGCAGCTGCAGCAGCTGGTCCCGGTCACCAAACCAAGGCTTCACTGGGACGGAGAGGGGAAGAGAAATAAAAAATTAAAATCCTACAAACAGTTAGGGACCCCAAGACCCAAAGCTAATTCTTGTCAGCCTGGGCACAGGCTCCTACTATTAATCGAAGCCTGGCTTATTAGCAATGTGTCGGTTTCATGTTAATTATCATTTTCAAAGCCCAGGTATATCCCTCCCTAATGCTTTGAAAACAGTTTTCAATGGACTTTTGAGAAATGGGAAGTCGAGTTTTCCTCTTCCCATGCGCTGCCTGCCACTCTTGTCTCAAAACAGCAAACTAGTCCGTGGGCCGAGGCTTTTCGTTTCCCGGAGTGTGGATCTCGATTAGCCAAACATTTTGCGGAAGAGCCCGGCCTCATCCCCCAGGCCCAAATGCTCCTTACAATCCTTTTTGCCTTTAGGTCGGGCCGACCCGATCCAACGCGATCGCGGGAGCACTTGCTCAGGCGTAAGCCCCAGGCAGACGCACCGTTAGAAATGGTATCCCATGTCCCTGGGACCGATCTGTCCTTGTCACCCACACTTCGTTTATTTCCTGACAGTCCTGTAAATCTCCCAAAAGTGCACAACAAACAGGGAGGACACTGCAAGCCCAGTATATAAAAGACCTGGGAGCTGCGGCGCTGAGAAAGGGCGCGAATCATGGTGGGGCACAACAGTAGGGACCCGCGGAGGGGCGGCCGCGGACTCCTGCCCGACCTCTGTCGCCTTGCCGAGTAATCCTCGCCTTAACTGCTGGGGTCTTCGGAAGAACCTCTAGCCGCCGGGCTGGAGGGACGCAGGAGGTGGTGGGGGCGGGCGACGGGCGGCTGTGTTACGAGCTGTGACCCGTGTTCCCTTTCTTCCCCGTAGACTCCAGCAGCAGGTCCTGTCACAGGGTTCCGGGCGGGCACTACGGGCGGAGGGCGACGGCACGCCAGAGGTGCTGGGCGTCGCCACCAGCCCGGCCGCCAGTCTATCCAGCAAGGCGGCCACTTCAGCCATCTCCATCACGTCCAGCGACAGCGAGTGCGACATCTGAGTTGCCCATCCAGGATGCTCAGAAGCAGATTCCAGTGTAAAAACGAGAAAAACAAAATGAAAGAGGGGAAGAAGATGAGAGACCTGCAAATCCAGCGCCACAGAAGCCAGGTGACCAGGGACCCGCGGGCTCGGGTTGCCGTTTCCCGCCCCACCCCGCGGCCGGCCTGGCTTCACTGGCGCCCTTTGGCCGCGACCACGGGAACCAGCGGTGAGGCCTGACCCAGCACCACGTTCTTCTTGCTTTGCTTTTTCCTAAGGATTTTGCTGCAAAGTCTCCTTCGGAACCCGAACTGCAAGCTGAGCGCCTGCCCAGATTCTCCCATGGGTATTTCACGTCGAAAGGACGCTGTTACATATGTATAACTTTCGCTTTAAAGTTTTTTTTTAACAAAACATATATATGCTGTTTATTTACTTATTTAAGAGACCGCCATGGTAGGTTTCTCTGTAGCTTGGGGAACTTGCTGTTTCTAAACATGCAGGCTGGTGGTGATGGGTTCTGTGTGGAGAAGCCAAACAATAAAACAACCTAGTGGGCAACCTTCTTAATTAAGGGAGCTGCTCTCAGATTCCTTTTCTTCTTATTATTATTAATATCATTCCCTTCACCAGGCATGCAGGGACCCTTGAGCAAATGGTCTCCGGAAGGTCTTACCTATATATCTTTTGCCTTCTTTGGTGCTTCCTGGTATATGTTTTAAACAACCTATGGTAGGTCTATAACCACCTCCCACGTCAAATTACACGTATGTGCATATATGTATGTACCTATACAAACATATGTATGTACCTATACAAACATATGTATGTATGCATACACGTGATATATTTAAGGCTAGAAATTGGCAACATGTGAGCGTCCTCTCTAAGGCAAGTCCCCGCATCCCCAGCACAGGTAATTATGGCTTGTCCACTTGACACTCGTTTACATGAAGTGTCAACAGCTTTCAGGAGCAATTTAGGAAGCCAAACTATGGGACTCAATAAGTGAGTCCTATTTTCTAAAAATGCAAAACTATCCTGACTCAGGCTCTGCAGCAAGAAAGGCTTTCTGTCTCCTTCAAGGCCCCCTCCAATACAAAAGCAGCAGGCACCCATGATCATGCTAGAGTGAGCATATACTGCATTTAGGATTGAGCTATTATTAAAATAAGACAAAAGATGATAGAAGAGGTTGTAAATAATTAGACTAACATCTTCTTGCTGCAGAATTTGGTTTTAATCAAATGAATGGTTTTTAACAAGAGGGATACTGAGATGGGGGAAAGGATGTAATCATGTCACATACTGAGGGTAAAACAAGGCTGTAGAAATAACTGGCATTTTAAAAACCTAATCTCCGAATTAAGCATAGAACAAGTCATCAAGGGCCTCATTGTCCTGGTAATGGCCTCGATTAAAACATAAAATATTTTTAGCATTTAATTTTTCCTCGTGCACATGCATGTATGCACCTATACATGAACAAATGCATGCATATACAACGCAAAAACATCTACCATCTTTGCACTAAGAAAATAAATGCTAGCCAGAGTCTCTAATTTTGTTCCTAGTGAAACAGATTGCATATTATAAAATTTGACATTGATCTTTAAATCACTTGAGCTGACTTCCCTCTTTACTGTCCCCATCCCCCAATTACAGCCTTTTCCATTTGCCTTTCTGTCCTTAGAAGATGTTCTTTGGATCAGAAGCCTGCTAACTTCTTTAGGCAGAAGTGCCAAAGTGCAAACCAAACAAAAATAAGTGAAGTCATGGAAGACAAAAAGCAGCCAAACGGCAAGATAGACAATGGAAGCCCAGGACAGAGTAAGGGTTGATTTTTGGTTTCTAAATCGCTTGAATAGATTTGGCTCATTTGGGCTTTATAAATGTTGTCCTTGTGTATGGTGGCCCTTATCCAGAGAATTCTTGAAAATCAAAACTCTCTTGCACAAGAGCTTTACATGGAAGGAGTGGGTAAGTTTTCGTGATAAAACTGGTGTTCTTTCCAAAAGCAAGCAAAAGCCCTCCTGTGGGTCCTGAAAGGCTCCCATTGTAGAGCTTCCTCAGTACTTAATTTTGTTTCCTAGAGCCCCAGGTAGTTCCTAGAATGCTAACGAGGGGCTGGCGAGGACTAGAGTGAGGCCAGGAGGGGACTCACGGTCAAGGTTATGCAAGTGCAGCAAGTGCAAGGCACATGAGATTGAGTGCCTCCTTAAATTTTGCACTCTAAGTGCCTCCTTTGCCTCATCCTAGTCCTTAATCTGACAAGGAGTAGCCACGGATATCCACTCTTGTTCCCCAGCCCCACCCCACCCTTAGCTATGGGGCTGTCCAGAACCAGTGTTTGGAGAAGTTTGTTGGCAAATTTTCTCTTAAGTTTATGCTTCCAAGTCCTAGAGGGATGGGAAATAACTAATTAGTGGAATAATGTAAAAGAATTTGAGATTCTAAAAATCCCACTCCACCCACCCCTTCAAATGATACCTAAAAGCAGAAGAAAATGTCCATTCCGCAGTGTCAAGAAAATAGGGTAACTAAGAAACTAAGCTTTCTCTTTACAAAATAATTTTTAAGTGACAGTTTATTGCTTGGACAAAAAGAGAAGACCAAACAGTGATGGAGCATTTTTAATTCCTGCTTTGACAAAAGCCTTTAAACTACAGCTACCATTTACTTAAATTAACAAGCTGCCTACATTTTAAAGTAGCTATTCTGTTTCAACAATCTGGATATTTATTTATTTAATTTCACTTTAGAATCTTAAGGGGGTGACACATTACTTGTAAGATTTTTTTAAATGTTTATCTGTAATGTGATGGCACCTAATTGCCTCTGTGAATAACCAATTCTTTGGTGACCACATATTGGAAATTAGTCCAGATCTTCACAGAGATTTATTTTATTTTAATCTTTCCAATCTTCCCAAGGACATTTAAAGGGTTTCTTTTTAAGACTTTTTCCATATCAGCTTCATTCTGGTCTTCAGGGTTTTGGGGGGAAAAAAAGTCCAGGTAATGGCAAGGCTGAAGGTTTCTGAATTTGGCAAAATCTCTATATAATGGGTTTCCTTCCTTTCTTTTCCTGCAATTCTTCTGTCACAATTTCCCAAAAAGCAGCTACTCCAGCAGAGTGGAAAGAGCATTTTTATATTAAATATTTCAACGGACCTGACCAATGTGAAGATTTTACCCCAAGCCCCAGGTCAGGCTCTTTTCCGGCTTATAAACATTTCAACCACACTCCAGTTTCACCAAAAAAAACGACGGCCCCTGCTCCCCAAATGCCGCAGTTCCTCTCGCCTCCACTTTAATGACCCACTCCACTTCCACCCGTCACTCCCTCCTTTCCCTTCGCCAGTTTGTTTATAAAAAATCTGGGAGGGAGGGGAGAAGACGATGGGGGTGGGGAGGGCTTGCTCTTTGTTTACATTAAACAAATGACAGGCAAAGAGCTCAAGCAAAGTCTTCCTTGACCTCGTTCCCTCTCCCTAATTTTAACAAAAAGGAAAAAAATATTGTATCCAAAGAGAATGTGAATGGGGCGGGAGGAGAGGAGAAGCAGCTTTTCGCTCTATTCAACGGGGACGCGAGAGCGCGGACGATTTCCGCTCCTTTTGTGAGGCGGAGCCCGGGGGCGGCCGTGAATGGGGGGTCTGTGGAGCGGCCGGCGGGGCTGTCAGGCGGCTCTGCGTAATCAGGGCTAATGACGGCGGCCGGGCGCTCGGCGGGACAATGCGCGGGGCCGCGGGGTTTTGTCGGCCTGAATGGCTAATAGGTTTGCCTGTGAGCTGCGAGGGGGCGGTGTCGGGGAGGAGGCGGCGGCGAGGGGAGAAGGGGTCATTGTCCGCGCGCTGGCCCGGGCGCCGAGGCGTGTCCCTGCCTGCGCCGCGCGGCTACCCCCGTGCCCGGCGCCGCCGACGGGAAGGCAGCGGCGGGGAGGCCCCCTGGAGGCCTGCTGGGAAATGGCGGCTGGAGCGGCGGGCGCGTGGGTCCCCTCGGGGAGGCGCCCCAAGCCACGGTCCGCTCCCAAAGAGAAGCCCAGACTGGGCCCACAGTACCCGGGAAGGTGAGTCCTTACTCGGGGGCCCAGATCTCCCCACGGAGGCCACAGATCTGGGTCCCCGAGGAAGGAGAGCCCCCCTTTTCGCGCACCCACCTTTTCCATCCAGCGCCCCGCGAACTCGCGGACGTGTAGGCCTCGAGCCACTCCTACTGTTGGGCTGCGTGACTCAGCGGCTCGAGGAGAGAAACCTCTCAAAACCGGGGGACCGAGACGGGGTTCAATTTAAACCTAGGTGGGAGAATGAGCCCACAAGCGCGCGCCCCTGCAGCTGCGGAGGCGCGCGCCCGCCCACCCTCGGGCGCCTGAAGTCGCAGCGGTTGCAGAGCCTCGAGCCCGTGGATGCGGCGCGCGCCGCGGTCTGGGCCTGCGCGAGAGGCTGCCGCCCGCGTCGGGCCTGGGCCTACGCGTGTCTGGCCTGGGCCTGCCGGTGCAACAGCAGTTGTCGCCACCGGTCCTAGGCCGCGCCGAGCGAGTCGCCGAGAGGGGCGGGAAGAGGGGAGAGGTCCGAGACCAGGGAGCGGGACCTAAAGGGGGCTTTCCGCGCCCGACAGGTCCGCCGGGGTTAGCCTTCGAGGCGGGGAGAGGGAGCGGGGTCCTTCAAGGACCGCATGTTCGCGATAGCACATTTGAGCCCTGGCAGGCCACCTGGGCCGCCTTCTTTCGGAAACCTTGCGGGGTTTCCAAGCAAGGTTTACAATGGGAAACTTTATTTCCCATTGTAAGCTCTTACAAATCTCCTCTGGCTAGATCCTTCCTTGCAGCTCTCTTTGCTAGGATTTATATTCCCAAACTTCTTCAGACGTGCCCTACCGCGAGGGAACGAACTGGTTTTCTTCCCGTTTTCACCTCCTTGTCTGGAGACAAAGGGGTGTGAGGGCGATCCCAGAGCTGAACAAGCAGTTTCACGCCTCCCTGCCCGCTCATGCTGTTTCCGCTTGCCCTGTGGTTTGCTCTGCCTGGAACGCCGCCCCCTACCTCAACTGCTACCCTGTCATTCCACAAAGCCTACCCCACCTCCACTAAGTTTTCCGTGAGCCAGTGAGCTCCACACAGATAATGTGCCACCACCTTTTTTAATGCTCCCACCGCACCTTATCTAAACGTCTGTTTTAGCGCTCTAACACTTTTGCTCATTTATTTGTCTGTCTGACTTCCCCCTTCAGCCTTTGCTAGAATGTAAGCTCTTTATTTAAAGGCAAGGACCAACTCTTACCCATCTTTGTATTCCCAGCACCTAGCCCAAGTAGTAGGTGCTCAATAAATGTTTTAAAGCTGAATGAATTCATGCATCTTCCTTGAAATCTGTCTGCTCTTACGTTAGTGGGGGACCTCTGCTAGCTCGGGAATCATTTGAAGAGAAGAGATGACTTATATTGGCTGGACCCAAAGTTCACTGTAATCCTCCCAGCTCAGTAAGTTACTGGCTGTTACCTACTTGTCGGGTTCTCTGGGATGATTCCATAGAGTGCTGTCTCCCTCTAGGCATGCGGTTTTTTTAGAGTGCTATGACTTTGGGTTCATACCATGAAAATTATCTTCTCACACAACACATTTTCCCAAAAAGGTAAGAGTAATCCTCTTGGATTTTGAAAATTCTAGGTATTATACTCTCTGAACCCTACAACATAAGAATTTCTATTCTGCTTCAAAGATAACTGCTATGGTTTAATGTTCATATCCCTCCAAAATTCATGTTGAAACTTAATCCCCAATGCAGTAGTATTAAGAAGTGGGACCTTTAGGAGGTGATTCACTGCCCCATGAATGGAATTAGTGCTTTTATAAAAGGGCTTGAGGAAGTCTATTATTTCCTTTTTGCCCTTCTGTCCTTCTGCCACGTGAAGGTGCAGGAAAAAGACACCATCTTAGAAGCAGAGAGAACCAGCCTTTACCAGACACAGAACCTAACCAGGCTTTGATCTTGCACTTCCCGGCCTCCAGAACTGTGAGAAATGTATAAATTACCCAGTCCAAAGTATTTCCTTTATAGCAGCAGGAATGGACTAAGACAATAACCCTTTCCTTTCTCCTCCCTCCCACCTTTTCTCTCCTCTGGCTTCCCCACCTCACTCCAGTCCTGACCTACACATGATAAAGTAAACCACAAAAACAAAAAAATCACAAACCCAGACAAGGTCTCCAATTCTAAGATAATAGATTGGCATCCCACCACCATGCTTAGGCTCACCTAGGGGGGATAAACAGTTTTCATTAAAATATTTTTTTTTTTTGAGACGGAGTCTCGCTCTGTCGCCCAGGCTGGAGTGCAGTGGCGGGATCTGGACTCACTGCAAGCTCTGCCTCCCAGGTTCACGCCATTCTCCTGCCTCAGCCTCCCGAGTAGCTGGGACTACAGGCGCCCGCCACCCCGCCCGACTAATTTTGTGTATTTTTAGTAGAGACGGGGTTTCACCGTATTAGCCAGGATAGTCTGGATCTCCTGACATCGTGATCAGCCCGCATCGGCCTCCCAAAGTGCTGGGATTACAGGCGTGAGCCACCCGCACCCGGCCATTAAAATCTTAAATCGCAAGGGCTGTGTGAAAATACTGGATAGCAAACTCATCTCTATTTTAAAATTTAATGGGCAGAAGCAAGTGAACTGTGTATAATTTCGAATTCTGATAAAATACGTATAAGGCTTCCTCTTGGAAATTCATTCTAGCCTGGCACTGCCAATCTGCAACCTGAGAATACTGAGTTACTGTTTGTTTTTCTCACTGAAGAGATTAGTCTTAAATTTTCTAGCACGAAATCGAACACTTGAGAGGGCACATTAATTTGGCACATGAAGAGTCTGGTGGGCAAAAAATTATTATGCATTTCGAACATTTTCAGATATTTAAGATTCCTATAAAAGATTTGCCCATTTAAATTAATCACCACTTAAAGCATTTTCCATGGCATTGGGTATACTCCTGACTTTCTATAAATTCCTGGTAAATTACGTATTTGAACTGAAGACCTACGCATGTATATCTTATCTAAAGAAATTATTTTTGCAGATACTTGTAACTGTATGAACTGGATTTGTCCATTTAAAATAGAAAGCAAGTGGGAAAAAGAAAACTATACTGGAAACAGTCTGTGGACAATGGGCTGGCACCTGAGAAGGTGGGATCAGACAAACCTGGCTTGAAATACCTAATCGCTGTGAATTTCAGAAGTCACTCAACTCTCTGAGCCTTAGTTTTTACTTCTGCAAAATGGGTTGATAATATCCAGGAATATTGTGAGTGTTATTTGGTTAATGCATGTAAAGCACCTAGCACAGACCCTCACATATAATAGGGGTTCAGTGAATGGAACTTCCCTTTCCCCATTTTGCCTGGTTAAATGCTAAGGCAAAGAAATAAGCTTAAAAGTTGTTTTTAATAGATGTAATGTACATATTTGTAATATTGAATTTAAATGCTAAATGCTTTCCTTAGTACTAGAAGCAGCTTCCACTCACCACCCCCAGTAGGTAGGACCCAATATGTTGGTTTTCCAGCAATGGCAATGGAGGAGCTTGTGCTCACATACCATCATCCTTTCCTTGCTTCTTTACTCTGCTTAAGGCTGCTTGTCAACTATGTGAAGCTCTCCAAAGGGATCCTGGCCCATCATGCAAGTCAGGATAACCCCACATATAAAGTATGATCACTGAAAATGTAACATAACCTTTTGGGGAAAATGCAAGGTTCATTTCTTTGAGGAGAAAGTAGTGATCTCACTTCAATTACACTCGCATGGCTCTTTTTATAGCTAATAATAAAATATTTCACTTGCACTATTTCACTTCCTCACAAGAACCCTGTGAGGTAAATCAGCAGATAGTGGGATTCCCATCTTCCGGATGAGGGAACTGGGGCTCATTACTTGCTCAAAGTCACAGGACCAGGAAAGAATCCAGATTTTGTAGGGTTTGAAGCTTACACTATTTGGAGGGGTGGGGCACTCTTTAAGATTAAAGATATAAAATTATGAGTACAAAATTGGGTACAAAAAATAACATCAATTACAATTTTTTTAACCTGGCAAATACAACAAACCACAAAATCCAGGCAAGTAATAAAATCATTTCATTAACTGTCTTACATACCTCTAGAATTGTTTTTTCCCTACTGTTTTTCTGTATGTTCTTTGATTGCTCCTTTGTGTGACAATAATTTTATTATACAACCTCAAATAGAAAGATAATTCAGTCTTTACTGTGGGTTGGTTTAAATATTTTTATTATTGATAACTTAGAAAAGTTTCTCGCAGTTTCATAGCTCATTATTGGTAATGCCATATATTATTTTTAGGATTGGCATCAACTATGGGAAAGCCTCAGTGAAATTTCTTCCATATATAGGCAGTTAAATTTCAGGACACTACACGTTTCCTTGAGCAATAACCCATTAAATAATCTTTACATTGACAACATTCATTAACTAGTTTGTGATCAGGGTCTTACACTTACAAAGAAGTAACAGCAAATCATAAAAATATAACACTGAACTCAAATAAACTGTATACCCAACTCAAGTTCCCTTTAACTACCAGATCCCAAAAATGACTATGGTTACTCCATTGAAACCCAGCATGAAGGGAAATGGACAGAGGGAAAATAGGAATGGAAAGAAACAATGATCTATTGTTGTTAAATTGCCTTATTTTATAAATTTTCAAAAAATGCAATGATTATGTGAACATATTGCTAGAACCACTTCCAGGACCTTGGAAGAGACCTGTGCAAGTGAGGAATCTTGAAGCCTAAGTGTCATTTGCTCCAAGGTAATGCTGCCTGTGCACAGGCCCAGTGAGTGATGAGAACAGGTTTTCTGACTCCAAGTCCATTACACTTTTCTATTACCTGAGACATAATTTATTTTCTCAGAAAGTTTTGATAAGTTTCTACTGAAACGCTGTTTTAAAAAAAGATAACTCATAGACGGAGGGAGAGAGAGTTTAAGATTGCAACTGGAGAGCTGGCCCTGAGTAGAACTGTGAGGTACGCAGTTTACCCCTTTGAACCTGGTTACCTTTCCGTTTCCTTTTGGAGGTCCTTCACCTTGCCTACTTACAGGTGCCCCATCCCAAACTGTCAGAAGCCCTTCGATGTTCTTCACCCTCCATTTATCAAAATCTATTCTCGGTTGTCACAAAAATCAGATAAACCAATTCACATCAACATAGAAGTAGAGCTGCTAAAAGCTTGATGAATTACCTACAGATGGGGGCCTGGGAGAGTACTTACTATCTGTTAGGAGATAATCCTTTAATTAAGTAACCTCAAATCACTAATGGTAGCAATTCAAACACCACTAGCAGGCTAGTAGAAAATTATTTTTGGTTGGAAAAGAGCCAAGTACCCTTCAAATCATTCCATTGAAGTAGATGACTGCTTCGGGAGTCAGATATCACCAATATTAAAAGTAAAATAAAGTAAAAACCTTTTCAGGCCCCTCAAGCTTTCCCCTCAAGAAGCAATTCCTTCTCTTCACCACCCAACTTCATGAGAGAGTAGCCTACATT